>NC_000014.9:50217773-50520803 GCF_000001405.40 Homo sapiens
GTGAAACCCCGTCTGTACTAAAAATACAAAAAATTAGCTGGGCGTGGTGGCGGGCGCCTGTAGTCCCAGCTACTCGGGAGGCTGAGGCAGGAGAATGGTGTGAACCCGGAGGCAGAGCTTGCAGTGAATCGAGATCGTGCCACTGCACTCCAGCCTGGGCGACAGAGCGAGACTCTGTCTCAAAAAAACAAAAACAAAAACAAACAAACAAAAAAAACTTTTGGTCTCCAAAAGATAGTATAGGCCAGGTGCAGTGGCTTATGCCTGTAGTCCCAGAACTTTGGGAGGCTGAGGCAGGATGATCATTTGAGGCCAGGAGCTTAAGACCAGCCTAGGCAACACAGCAAGACCCTATCTCTTAAAAACAAAAAAAAAAAAAGAAAGAAAGAAAAAGATAAAAAGATAGTATTAAGAGAATGGTATATAATGAAACTTCGATAAAAGGAAAAAAAAAAAAAAAAAAAAAAGGCCGAGTGAGATGGCTCATGCCTGTAATCCCAGCACTTTGGGAGGCCAAGGTGGGTGGATTCCTTGAGGCCAAGAGTTTGAGATCAGCCTGGGCAACATGGCAAAATCCTGTCTCTACTAAAAATACAAAAATTAGCAGGGCATGATGGTGGGTGCCTGCAATCCCAGCTACTTGGGAGGCTGAGGTGAAAGAATCGCTCGAACCCGGAAGGCGGAGGGTGCAGTGAGCTGAGATTGTGCCACTGCACTCCAGCCTGGGCGACAGAGCAAGACTCCATCCCCCCAAAAAAAAACAAAAACAAAAACAAAAAAACAAAACAACTCAACAAAAATGGGCCAAAGATCTGAACAAACACTTCACCAAAGAAGATATATGGAAGGCAAATAAAAACATGAAAGATGTTGAACATCATTAATCACTAGGGAAATGCAAACTAAAACCACAAAGTACCATTACACTGCTATTAGAATGGCTAAAATTAAATTACCAAGTATTGGCAGGAGGAACAGGATCTCTTATATTGCTGGTGGGAATGTAAAACTATACAACCACTTTAGAAAACAGTTTGAAAGTTTCTTAAAAAGTTAAGCAGCCAGGCGTGGTGGCTCATGGCTATAATCCCAGCACGTTGGGAGGCCGAGACGAGTGGATCATGAGGTCAAGAGATCGAGACCATCCTGGCCAATACAGTGAAACCCTGTCTCTACTAAAAATAGAAAAATTAGCCGGGCGTGGTGGGGCGTGCCTGTAATCTCAGCTTCTCAGGAGGCTGAGGCAGGAGAATCACTTGAACCCGGGAAGCGGAGGTTGCTGTGAGTCAGGATTACACCACTGCTCTCCAGCCTGGCAACAGAGCAAGATTTCGTCTCAAAAAAAAAAAAAAGTTAAGCATCCACCTACTATCCGATCCAACCACTCTTTGGTAATTACCAGCAATTTCCATTCTTTGTATTGAAACATATCTTCATACAAAGACTTGTACACAAATATACATAGCAGCTTTATTTGAATAGCCAAGATCTGAAAAACTAAATGTACATAAATAAGTGAATGGATAAACAAGCCACAGTATATCTACACAATGGAATACACTACTGAGCAATAAAAAGGAATGAACTATTGATACATGCAACATAAATGAATCTAAAATAATCATGCTGAAAGCCAGATTGAAAAAAAAGAGTATGTACTGTATGATTCTATCAGTATTAATATAAAACTCTAGAAAATGCAATCGATAATGACAGAAAACAGATTAGTGATGGCTTGGGATGTCTCCTGAGAGTGGGGAGAAATAGGAGGGAGAATTACAGTCAAGAGGAAATTTATGGGGCTGAAGGATATGTCTACTAGCTTTACTGGGATGGTTTTACTGTGTATATATAACTTATCACATTGTTGAAAACATCAAATTGTACATTGTAAATATATGTACTGTAAATATATACTTTATATCAATTACATCCCAGTAAGGTTTTAAAAAATAATTCTAAAATATAATATTCTAAGGCAACATTTTTCTAATCAAAGTGTATAATTAAAAATTGAAACCACAGCTGCATACTCTAAACTCATTAAGATCAGGAACCATTTCTCGTTTGTTTTTTGGGGGGCAGGGGAGAGGTGTGGAGACAGAATCTTGCTCTGTCACCCAGGCTGGAGTGCAGTGGTGTGATCACCACTCACTGTTAAGCCTCGAACTCCTGGGCTCAAGTGATCCTTCCACCTCAGCCTCCCTTGTGACTGGGACTACAGGTGGGCACTACCACACCAGCTCCCATTTCTTGTTTTCGGTCTCCTCCTCCTATTTCCCTACACCTGTATGCTTAGCATACAGGTAATCTAGTATGTCATTAAAAGAACAGACCCTGCATTGGGCCAGGCGCGGTGGCTCACGCCTGTAATCCCAGCACTTTGGGAGGCCGAAGCGGGCAGATCACGAGGTCAGGAGATCGAGACCATCCTGGCTAACATGGTGAAACCCCATCTCTACTAAAAATACAAAAAAAAAAACTTAGCTGGGCGTGGTGGCGGGCGCCTGTAGTCCCAGCTACTAGGGTGGCTGAGGAAGGAGAATGGCGTGAACCCGGGAGGCAGAGCTTGCAGTGAGCCAAGATAGCACCACTGCACTCCAGCCTGGGCGACAGAGCGAGACTCCATCTCAAAAAAAAAAAAAAAAAGAACAGACCCTGCATAAAGAAAGCACTCAGTAAATACTTGTTAAATAGATTCACAGCAGCAAACAGATCTCTTGGCCTCACTGAAATTATCTGGATACTGGAAAAAATTTTAAACTCCATAAAATTTGTTTTCATTTCACTGGAAATGTATCTGGAGACCTGGTTCTCATACAACATTATAAATGAAGGAATTCCCTCTCTTACGTTTCTCTATTCCTCCCACTGTCCATTAATAATTCTCAGAGTCCATGCTCTTAATTAGGTACTTTCAGCAGGCTTTCACAATGTAAGTTTATTTAAAATGCAGATAAGTACAGGCCAAGAAGCTATTTCTACTTAATATTAGGTGAGAGCTTACCATAATATAATCAAATATGTAAAAAAGATTAGCTGAAGCAAAAATTTTTGTCATCAAAGTTTTCTTTGAATGGCCTATGACCCAGAAGCACCTTCCCATAAAGGCAGGTCATTTGCTTGTAAACCCAAGACAGTACAGGCTAGAAAAATGGTTCCCAATTTGTTCCAGTGGCAGATCATTTGGAAATCAGTGTTCTTTGCAGAACGTGAAATTTTAAGACTCATATTCTATCACAGCAGGGACAATGCTAGTAATGACTTTAAAACTTAAAATCAAACTACAGGAACATGTTTCTAAGAAAAAAACCAAAAAGTATTAAAAGCCATTTTCCCTTTAAAACCTCCATGATCATTCGCTCATTTATTTTACAATCTTTCACTACTCACTAGCAAGTAAATTGCAGCAGACAACAAAGATTTTTTTTTCTAATTTATGGAAGAAAAATAAAATTGAAAAAATAATTGCTTTTTTTCCCCTGTGAACTGGGAAAAGATCGCTATTAAATTTGTTTCATTCACTTATGTTTAATAAATTCCCAGGCCAAACACCCACGTCTGTCAGGACACTTTCTAAACAGCCATATGTACTCTTTCCTAAAGAAGATCTGCCTGACAAGGTGCCTGCACACAGTGAGTAAAGCAGGGTCTCCTTTTATACCTGTTTTCACAGTTGCCCTCTCATTTTACTAAGAAAGGCAGATCTCTCACTTATCTTGAAATTCTCTATAGGATACATGTTGCTCTGAAGTGCAATAAATAAATCCTAGACACTAAACAAAGAGATAATTACAAATATTTTCATTTAAGTATCTTGCCTCTTCCATCCTCTAGCCTAGTGGAAAAATACATCCTCCTGAGGGGACAGGCCCATGAAAATAAAAAGAAAGCATCTTTAAGATTTTTAAAAAATTAGCCAAGTGTGGTGGCATGTGCCTGCAGTCCTAGCTACTCAGGAGGCTGAAATGGGAGGATCGCTTGAGCCTGGGAGGTTGAAGCTGCAGTGAGCCATGATCATGCCACTGTACTCCAGCCTGGGTGACAGAATGAGACTTTAATAATAATAATAATAATAATTCAGTTCAAAAGACAGGTTTTAAAGCTTTACGGTTGTAGGGAAAATCCTTTTAAATTCAATATGTAGACTTTTTTGTTGTTGTAAGGAGTATAAATAAAAAAGTGCGATTAAAGACTTAAATCTAAAAATATCATATTAGAATTATGCAGGGGAAATATAATGAAAAAAGTTCACAGAGAAAAAAAGGACAATGTAAAATTTCCAACTTTTAAAGACACACTTTTCATGTGTATTTTTAAAAAATGATGGTGGATATCAAATTATTTTGGTATTTAAATTCCATTCAGCACATTTAAAAGACTGATGCAACTGTTTTACCTTAAAACATCAGTATTTATAACACATATGAAATTACATCTACTGCAACTATTTAAATGTAAAATGAAAATTTCTAGATGTCAGCATAAAAATGTGCAAGTTTTTCAAAATTCTTTTGGGGATACACAGCAAAAAAAGTTAGAAAACTCCTAATTTAGGAGAAAGAATCAAGTAGATTCAGTGATGAATACATGTTAGCCTGGCATGAGAAAGAGGGGAAGAATGATGACTAGGTTTCTGGCTTGAGAACTGGATACATCATTTATATTGGAGATACAGGTTTATGGGAAAAAATACTGTGAACACTGATGTGGGACTGTCTGGGAAGCAGGAGGATGTAGCAGTTTTAGATAGGCTGTAAGAGAAAATCTCTCCAAGAAAATGATGTCTGACTATAAAGACCTAAAGGAGGTAAAAGGGCCAGCCACGTGATTATCTGAGGGAAGGGTGTTTCAGGTAGAAAATTCAGCAAGTACAAAAGTCCTAAGACTAAAACATGTCTACGTTATAGAAACAAGAAAGCCAGTATGGGGCAGAAGCAGAACAAACAAGGGACAATATTAAAGAGGTCAGAGAGGTAAAAGCGGGAGGTGGGGCAGCCCTAGACTGCAGAGGGCCTAGTAAACCTTTGGGAGGACTTTTTTGACTTTTATTCTGAGAAGCACTGAGAGGGTTTTGAACAAAGGAGTGAAATGATCTCACTTATCTCTTTGTGTTTGGGGAGAAAAAGAAACTAAATAGGACAAGAGCAGATGATCAGAGACCAGTTGAAAAGATATTTCAATATTCCAGGAGATTGGTGATGATGACTTGGTTCCAGGTGGTAAAAGTCAAAAAGTATAAAACGGTAACTAAATATATAGTTTGAGGTAGAGCTAAAAGGATGTGCTGACAAATTAGATGTGTGGTATAAAAAAAGACAATATTCAAGAATAACTTAAGATTTTTAGTTTGAGCAACCGGAAGGATGGAGTAGCCATTTATTGATATGTTAACCACTACAAAAGAAACAAGTTTGCAGGGGAAGAAAAGGATACAGTGTTGGTTGAGATGCCTCTGTGGAAATATCAAGTAAAAAGTTGGCCGGGTGTGGTGCTTCATGCCTGTAACTCAAACACTTTGGAGGCTGAGGCAGGAGGAATGCTTGGGCCCAGGAGTTGGAGACCAGTTTATGCAACACAGTAAGACCCTGTCTCTACAAAAAGTTTTTTAAAAATTGGGGCTGGGCGTGGTGGCTCATCCCTGTAATCCCAGTACTTTGGGAGGCCGGGGCGGGCAGGTGACGAGGTCAACAGATTGAGACCATCCTGGCCAACATGGTGAAACCCCGTCTCTACTAAAAATACAAAAAAATTACCTGGGCGTGGTGGCACACGCCTGTAGTCCCAGCTACTCGGGAGGCTGAGGCAGGAGAATCACTTGAACCTGAGAGGTGGAGGTTGCAGTGAGCCAAGATTGCACCACTACACCCCAGCCTGGCAAAAAAGCGAGACTCCATCTAAAACAAACAAACAAACAAAAAATTAGCTGGGTGTGGTGGCACACACCTGTAGTCCCAGCTATATGGGGGCGGCAGGGGGGTGAGGTGGGAGGATCATTGAGCCCAGGAGGTTAAGGCTATAGTGAGCTGTGATCTTGCCACTGCACTCCATCCTGGGTGACAGAGTGCGACCCTGTCTCAAAAAAAGAGTTGAACATTCATGTTTAAGAAAGAGGTCTGAGCCAGAAATGTAAATTTGGTAATTATCAGATTTAGATTATACGTGAAGCAATGAGGCAGGATGGCATCTCCAAAGGAGGATGTGTTAATAGAAATAGAAGTCTAAAAATTGGCCAGGCGCAGTGGCTCACGCCTGTAATCCCAACACTTGGGGGGCCGAGGCGGGCAGATCACAAGGTCAGGAGTTCAAGGCCAGCCTGGCCAACATGGTGAAACCCCATTTCTACTAAAAATATAAAAAAAAAAAAATTAACCAGACGTGGTGGTGCGCGCCTGTAATCCCAGCTACTCGGGAGGCTGAGACAGGAGAACTGGTTGAGCCTGGGAGGCAGAGGTTGCAGTGAGCCAAGATCGCACCACTGCACTCCAGCCTGGGTGACAGAGCAAGACTCCGTCTCAGGAAAAAAAAAAAATATATATATACACACACACACACACACACACACACACACACACACACACACACACACACATATATATAAATGGGCTCTGGGGAGGTCAGAAGGATGTGGTCACAGAAAGATGAGGAGGAATCAAGGGAAGGGAAACTAGAAGGAATATTCAGAGAAAAAAAATCCCTGAAAGCTTGATATTCTTCTGGAAGCCAAATGAAGAAAGGATTTCAAAAAAAGAAGAGATCAACTGTCAAATGCTGCTAATAGGTCAGTTAAGAAAGAACTATAATATACTTTGTATGTAAGAAGTAGTTTTTGGCAGGCAGGTGGCTCACTCCTGTAATCCCAGAACTTTGGGAGGCCAAGGCTGGAGGATCACTTGAGTCCAGGAATTTGAGACCAGCCAGAGGACATAGCAAGACCTTGTCTCCACAAAAAAAATAAGAAAATTAGCTGGGTGTAGTGGCACATGCCTGTAGTCCCAGCTACTCAGGAGGCTATAGTGGGAGGATCATTTGAGCCCAGGAGTTGGAGGCTGCAGTGAGCTATGATCATGCCACTGTACTCCAGCCTGCGTAGCAGAGCAAAACCCTGTCAAAAAAAAAAAAAAAGAGAGAGAGAGAGAAATAGTGTTTGAGTTTACAAAATGACCTAATGAGGAAGAAAACTGGAGTACAGAAAACTTTACTTAGAAGAGCTAATACTAGTCCTTATATCTAGATCTTGGTATTATTTTCATCTTGTTGCTTCACTTCTACATGTTAAAATGTGAATGTGTAATACTTTATCCATTTGAAAAAACTTTGTACTAGCATATATTCTTATGTAAAAGAAGAAAATAATTTTTTATGGACATGGGGTCTCGCTATGTTGGCCAGGTTGGTCTTGAACTCCTGGCCTCAAGCAATCCTCCCATCTCAGCCTCCCAAAGTACTAGGATTACAGGCATGAGCTACTGCACCTGGCCCATGGAAGAAAATAATTTTTGGTTGTTAATTTTTAACATGAGATAATGCTAAATCCACTAGTTACATTAAAATTCCTTTTGATTCAAATATGCAGGATATAATCAAATTACTGTTCCCTTGAAAGAGAGTCCATGGTTAATACAAAAGACATATAGTTGATTTATGTCAAGGGGTAACACAGGTAATGCTTTGAATACTCAGCATAAAACACTTTAATGGAATATTATTGCTCCAAATATACCATACCAAAATTAAACCAAAAATAGAAGGCTACTTAATCATTGCTGACAGGGAGCCAAGTACAGCAAGTTAAAGTACATTCCTACCGCTCATCTAGTTCTGGCTGAACTCTTCGGGTCAGTTTGGGTCATTATTAGTTTGGAATAATTCCAAATGACTCCCTCGAGTTCTACTGTTACATTCAGCGGCTTTAGGAATTCCAGAACAGGCTCATGTCACAAAAATCACAGGATCTCTTATTAGTTTTTGGCTTTGACTTGAAGTAATCTTTTCAAAAAGCAATTCTGATCAAGTTAATCTAATTACTTTGCTATGTAAATGAGAACCCAACAGGACTTCCTATTCTCAGGCAGAGACCTTAACTCAGTGTACCTACAGTCTACCATACTAGCTTCATCCACTTATTCTTCTTGTTTTTTAAAATAAGTCATTAAATTCAGAATCTGAGACCTATTCAAAACAAACAAACAAACAAATCATGTTCTTACTTTCCCCTCAGCCTCAAATCCTTCCCCCCCGCCCTTTTTTTTTCTTGTTAATTCTACTGATCTTTCAGATAATTGTTTACTTCCTTATTGTCTGTCTCTCTGCCACAGCCACTTAGAACACAAGCTTTATAACAGCAGGGGCTCTGCTACATCTTCCGTATCAAGAACAGTGTCTGCAGCCAGGCGACGTAGCTTACACCTGTAATCCCAGCATTTTTGGAGGCCAAGGTGGGAGGATCGCTTGAGCCCAGGAGTTCAAGACCAGCCTGGAGACAGTAATATTACTATATTTGAATATATAATCCAGAAAGAAGCACAAATGTTGCTTGCTTAAAGTCTTCTTTGACTCTCATATATCAATGACACCAGTTATATTTTCTCAGATCACCCTGTACTTTTCTTGTGGGCCTCAGGAAAGATCCAGTGCCATCTTCTAAAACAAACTTCCAAGAGACATTTGTACAAACGCAGAAACACTAGGATCTCAGTAGAACTTCACAAAACCATTTTTAAATCAAAGCCCCTACCGATCTTTTTCCTTGCCGTAGACTGCTATTAATTAACCCAGACATTCTCTCACACCTCTTGCCTTTTAGATATCTAAGAGCAAATTGTCACAGGGTGGGGAGGTCGATATTTAACCTGAATCTAATTGGACTCAGGAACAAAGTAATTCAACCAATTCTTTCTAGCTTTCTCTGACATTTTTAACTACAGCTGGCAAGAAAACAGCCATGTTCTTTTCTATGGCTAGCCTGGTGAAAAACACCTTACAGAAAAGACATCTACAAAATAAATATCAGGGACTGTAAAATCTGATAAAATGATTTTGAGGCATATTTCCCATATGAAGAATGCTGATTTATCTCAACATATAATCAAATAACACATGCATATAGTACCAAGGGATTTCAACGACACAGGTAATAAACTGCATTTACAAATATACACCATGCTCTTTTTTCCCCAAGTAACACAATAGCTTCAATGATCTTGGGGAGCAGTGGTGAAGGCAATTATGTTCTAGGCTCTTTTAGGGAAGATACATAATTTAGCAGTAATGTTAACAATCCATGCATTATCCATTAGTAGTGTCATTTCACTCTGCTTTGTAGCTCTCTGTTTTTAAATGATCTAGGTGAGGTTCTATTTTAAAAGTTTAAGAACAAGCAAAAAGCTAAAGAACACCACATTTCTATTCCCAAAATTATTTTTCCATAAACCTATTTGTCTATCTCTGTGTTTCTTTTTCTTTCTTTCTTTCTTTTTTTTTTTTTTTGAGACAGAGTCTCGCTCTGTCGCCCAGGCTGGAGTGCAGTGGTGCGATCTCAGCCCACTCTAACCTCTGCCTCCCATGTTCAAGAGATTCTCTGCCTCAGCCTCCCGAGTAGCTGGGATCACAGGCATGCACCACCACACTTGGCTAATTTTGGTATTTTTTTTTTTTGAGACAGAGTCTTACTCCATCGCCCATGCTGGAGTGCAGTGGCGCGATCTCGGCTCAACTGCAAGCTCCACCTTCTGGGTTCATACCATTCTCCTGCCTCAGCCTCCCGAGTAGCTGGGACTACAGGCGTCCGCCACCACGCCCGGCTAATTTTTTGGGTTTTTTTCTGTATTTTTAGTAGAGATGGGGTTTCACCGTGTTAGCCAGCATGGTCTCGATCTCCTGACCTCAGGTAATCTGCCCGCCTTGGCCTCCCAAATGGGATTACAGGCATGAGCCACTGCGCCCAGCCCATCTCTGTGTTTCTATGTAATGCAATGAATACTTGAGATTGGTTTTTTAAAAATCCCTTGAATTTTCAATGTTGACAATGGTGACTTTGTCAAATACATATATATATGGATCTATATATGGGTATATATGGATATATACATGGATATAGACATAGATATCCAGTTTTCATAAAAACTAGCCAAAACTGGAAAATAAGCAAAAGAATACTGGCTGTGTTTCAGTACAGTGCTATGCTTGAATCTTTTATTAATTTCTACTGACTATTTTACACATCTATAAGATTAAGTTACAGCTTTTCAGCAGATAGAGATGCAAGTAATTTTTTTTTTTTTTTTGAGATGGAGTCTCGCTCTGTCGCCCAGGATGGAGTGCAGTGGTGTGATCTCGGCTCACTGCAACCTCTGCCTAGCAGGTTCAAGTGATTCTCCTGCCTCAGCCTCCTGAGCAGCTGGGATTACAGGCACACACCACCACACCCAGCTAATTTTTGGTATTTTTTAGTAGAGACGGGGTTTCACCATGCTGGCCAGGCTGGTCACGAACTCCTAAACTCAGTTGATCCACCAGCCTCAGCCTCCCAGAGTGCTGGATTACAGGTGTGAGCCACCACGCCCACTGAGATGCAAGTAATTTTTAGCCAGAGGAAAATATAACCCAAAGCCTACTCTTTTATGTTTCTTGTAGGGTATTAACTAATTCTGTATGTAACCCAACAGTCTTAATATTCCCTTATTAAATTGCCTATAAATACCTCCTCAAATTTTCATATTAAGTGACTTTAACATCTTACTAGTTCCCTCATCAATGGGCTGAATCAAAATAATTGATACATGTTCATTTACATTTGCATGGAAGTGATGACTTTACCTTTCTGAAAATTACGTTCTAACAGTTTTGGAGGTTCCACCAAGATGTCCAAGTGGACTAAACTGACAGAGCCAAGTAAGCTACATTGCTGCTTTCATAGACACACAAATACCCCTTACTGAACTCTGAGCTCAGAACCGCTCTCATTTACATAAACCAAAACCTCAAATTTTAGAATTTTTGGTTTAGATGGTATACATCTTTGGAGGGGCCTTTATTTTAACTTTGTACTCTTAGGATCCCGCATCATGTCAAGTATGTAAAATGTGTTCAATAATGGTTAAGTGAATTAATGAAGCTAGAATACACCACATGTACAATGGCAACACCAATTGAAGGAGAGAGATATTCCAATCAAATCCTAGTTGTCTTTGTAACGATCTGGTCAGCTAGAGGAAGGATGCCAAGTTCTAGATGCTCTGAATGTGAAGACAGAGACTCCCCCAAAATGGTAGAAATTCTCATTTTACAAAGACAAGGTGGCTGATGCATACCAGAATTTAAAACTTCCTGCAAAGAAAGAGTGAACCTTTAGCTCCCTAAGAGCTACAGCTCTTAGCAGGCACTACAGACCTACAAGTTGCAATGTCCTAAATACCATAAAAGTGGACATAATCTTAATTACTTTTACCAAAATTTTTCCAAAAATATAAAAAAATTTTCCATACGTATGTATTTCAATTCTATCACAACAGTAAGTTAATAGAAAATGTTTTCTGAATTCACCTCAAAAGACCAAATTTTCTTAGATGTATTTATTTCATAAAGAACATACTAGAACTGTGGAATATAACATAGTATCTACAAGGCACCTGAGTTCCAGGAAAACAAGCACAATATAAATGCAAAGTAATAGCACCAAAGCAATGGACTAGGATTGGATGCTAATCTTGGCTTCTCCAGCCTAACTTGAAAAAAAAAAAAAAAAATCTGGGTCTGGTGCGAGGTGGTTTATGCCTGTAATCCCAACAGTTTGGAAGGCAGAGGTGGGCGGACTGCTTGAGGCCAGAAGTTCAAGACCAGCCTGGGCAACATAGCATAACCCTGTCTCTATTTGAAGAAAAAGAAAACATAAATCTGTTTCTGGACATAAAGGATTATTAGAATCAAAGCTACCTATTGAACAAGTTATGCAACACACACCCAAATACTATTTGCTACCAGAAAGTTATAAATGGGTATATACCTGCGTCACATTGCCAACAATATAGGCCTACCTGATTACTGCACTCACACTTGTCTGTGGTCAAAGGGCTAATTACTATCTAGGCATTTCCCCCTTTGCTTTTAATTCAGGCCAGAGTTCATTTTCACCACTCAGCACACTTTTCATTTCTTTCCCTCTCCTTACAGAATTGGGCTGCACATGGAAGTAAGGTCAATTTAATACTTTAGCACTTGGTATACCAATGGAATAACTGTCTAGCTGCCACTAGTCATTTCTGCCAGGTTCTTTAAAAAGATACGACTTAGTGTTTGCCCTGAGGAAAGCAATACTTCCTTGTAAGAATTATGAAAATAAGGGAAAATCTGCAACTCTCATCGCATGAGGAAAATGTCTTTAACTTTAAAATACACTACTTCCTTTCATTTATAGAAATTTAATGTCTGAGGATATATTTTCCAAGTATAGTCTTTTAAATTAATCTTTATTTTTTCCTTATTTTAGAATGTATTCTTGGTTATTTTGCACAAAAGGCAGAAGAGACTAAGTCTGCATTAACGGCAAAGAAAGAAAGCCCCTGCTCAACAGGCATGACAGCTGATCACGCACCTATTCACAGTCTTTAAATGTCTTGATCTTACAGAAGGATTTATTATAAAAATGATCGTATGGTTACTACCTAAATTCACAGAGGAAGACCGCCACCATCTACAGGAAAGATGCACCCTAGCAATGCACCCAAACATGAAAGACTGATTTGCAGGAGTTGCCCCTTTCTTGTTCCTTAAAATGATTTCAAGTCCTAAATCGCAATTTGGTCGTGAAGACACTGAAGACACTGACCAAATTTTCTAAGGGTAATCTCTTGTAAACAGGTAAGACACCGTTTGCAGGAAGTGGGAAGGCGCTTTAAATTTACCTTGAGAACTGTAAAATGAATAAGAATATTATGACTCACTGACATTTCACACATGTGAAACATCCATATTACAAAAAACCATTGCCTCATAAGTGGATACCCTTGACAAGCAAACCGCCTAGGGGGAACACTCCCAAAGAACTTAATTAAAAGTAATTACCCGGCCTGAAAATGTGCTTTTGTTTTAGAAACTGTCTAAATACCAGCGGGACTTTCTCTTGCCCGATTCCAGCCTGAGGACAACAAATTGGTCAACGGCGGAAGTTGCCTGACGAAATGACTGCAACATGAAATCCAGTTTTATGATCATAACAAAACCTTCCTTCCGGGACCAGGCAAAAAAAAAAAACTTGAGAAACGTCCTTCAGAATGCAACAGGCAATTGTGAGCCCCCCATTGCCAGCCAACGAGAAACGGCTCGGCCCCGGGGACTCGAGCCCTGTGGGAGGGACGACCTGCTCCCCGTTAGAAGCTCGGGGGGCCACGGGCCACCCGCCGGCCGCCCCGCCCCTAGCACTGACCTTCCGCAGGGCCGAGACCAACAGTCCCCGCCATTTCGGACTGTTCTCCTCGCTGAAGAACTCGTAAGGCTGCGGCGCCTGCTGCATGGCCCCGGCGACAGCGCCTCCGCATCGGGGGCAGCCCGCGGGCCGGGCCGGTGGCCTGACAGGCAGGGCGCGGGCCGCCTCGCCTCGCCGGCGGCCGCCGCCTCCCGCCCGGGCCGAGGCTACGGCCGAGGCGGCTCGGAGGCGGCGCCGGCGGGCTGGCGGAGACCCCGGGGTCGGCTTCCTCCGCCGAGGCGGCCCTCGCCTCCCGCAGCGCCCGCAGAGGAAGCGCGGCGACCCGCAAGCCCGGGCGACCCCGGGCGGCGACCTCCTTTCCCGGCGGCGCTGGCCCGCTTCTGGGGCGGCTCCTCCTCCTTTGTCTGGGTTCGCGGCCCGTCAGGGGTACAGCTGGCCCAGCCCCGCCCCGACTCCCGCTACGGCCGCGGCGGGCGGTGAGCAGCGGCGGCGGCGGCGGCGGCTGCTCGTCTCCTCATCGCCTCCTCCCCGCCCTCCCAGCCGACAGCGCCGCCCGGCCCTGCCCACTCGAGTCACCTCCACAGAGCTCTGGGGACCGACCCGGAGTGCGCGTCGGGCGAGCGAGCCTCGCTATGGCGCGCACAGCGCTGGCCGCCGTTGCTGCCCCTTTAGCAGCAGCGCAGAGTGCCTTGGGGTCGCCGCTGAGCCCTGAGTCCCAGCAGCCGAGGCTCGGCCCGCCCCCTCGGCCCGGCGCTCATTATCCCGAATAGCCCAAGAGGCCTAACACGGAGCATGCGCGCCGCGGAGCAGGCACAGGCGCCAGCCCGGCGCGGGGGTGCGGGGCCTGGGGCCCCGGGGGAGTCCGCTTTTCCCGAGACTGTGCTGGGGGCCGCTCCAGACTCTTCAGTTTGACTGCTTTTTACCCATATGCTCCCTCCTCTCGACCTGCTTAAGACAATCCGGACTCGGTGCCACTCTTGTAGCGCTGGAGCCCCAGGACTACCGTCGTGGGAGGCTGCATAGGGACGTGGAGAGAAAGGGGCATTCGGGCTGGACAGGATATTTAACGTATTTGTGCTCTACGTGGCTTGTTTTCATGAGTACCGTATGTTTACACAAAGTAGGTACTATATATAATATATCGTTAGGAGATACAGTAACTATTTCTTAGGGTGATGGTGTGGGGACCGAGAGATGAGGCGTGGAAAGCCCTTAGCCTGGTGGTAGGGTCAGAAGGGGCAGATGACAGTGACGTTGATCAAGCTTGAATTGAAAGGTCCTTCACTTGCACGGGCCCCTGTGCGTTCACAAAATCATATCGTTTTTACAAAACTTTCAAGATATTTTCGAATTGTTTTCTTAATCGTGTCATCCAAATTGTGTAGGCTTCAGGTCCTACAAAACCTGGATCGGCGTCTAGGAAACACTCATTAGCAACCCAGAAAAGATCCTGACAAGCTTTTCAATCCAAAGAGGCATAGGCTCTGGTAACTCATTACCACAAATTTCATCCCACTAAAGAGGCTGAGCACATTACTTTTAACAGGTTGTAAAGAAGATATTTTACTCCCTGTCCCTAGCCACCAGCAGTGAGAAAGGGAAAAGACGAACAGGGTACAAAAAATAAGTCAGTACTACAATTCAGTTCCGGCATCAGTAGCTGAGCAATTATTCTCCCCAAAACATGCACCACTTTTTCATTTGGGCAAAATCAGAATGGCAGAGTTGGAAAATAAGATTATTTTTCTAATCCACTAAAGTATCCACTAAATCAAGAACATCCTCTAATAAATGGCCATATCCATTCACATGTACTTGGGATAAAAGGTGGGATGGTAAAATGCTTGTATTTCTCCCATTAATGTTTCAGTCTGTGAGAGCGAAGACTTTGGCTTATATAGAGGGTCCTTACTTTTCTCTCCTGTTCCCAGACTCCAGCTATAAACTACTGTGATGTCAAACTACTAGACCATGTATGTTCTCTTTACTCATAGGAGAGTAAACTTGTTAGAAATCTCATTCTTGGCTAGGAATATCAGAAGGCTTTTCTGGGCCAAGTCAGGCCTGAAGACATATTTTGTTTAGCTAAGGCTGTATTTAAATTTAATTGTTAACATTTTAAAATCAAGAGGCTTCATATAAAAATGTATATTTTCAGCTTCTCTTGACAAAGATCTGGCAACACTGGGACCTACTGCATTCGTGCAAGAGAGTAATCAGCAGGCACCGGGTAGTGGCTGCCCTCTTTATAAAAATATGCCATCCATTTCCAGTTGGCTATACTTCCCACCTGGCACTCTTCACCCTTTTATGTAACTTGCCTAGTCTCTACAGGCATCTGAGTTCTGATGTCTGGGCTGAGCAAACAGAAATATGATCCACGTGCATGTGGAGGATAGTCCAAGAATGACAGCAGTAAAAAGTTTCCCATTCAGGGCCGGGCGAGGTGGCTCACACCTGCAATTCCAGCACTTTGGGAGGCCGAGGCGGGTGGATCACCTGAGGTCGGGAGTTTGAGACCAGCCTGACCAACATGGAAAAACCCCCTCTCTACTAAAAATAACAAAACTAGCTGGGCAAGGTGGCGCATGCCTGTAATTCTTAGCTACACGGGAGGCTGAGTCAGGAGAATCGCTTGAACACGGAAGGTGGAGGTTGTGGTGAGCTAGATCACGCCATTGCACTCTAGCCTGGGCAACAAGAGCAAGACTCCGTCTCAAAAAAAAAAAAGTTTCTCATTCAGACAAATGGGCTATCTAGAAAAAATGTTGGATCCATACCCTATACAATACACTAGCAAAAACTCCAGATATGTCAAAGATTTAAATGTAAACAATAAAACCATACAATGATTCATTTATAACCTCAGAACGGAAAAAGACACTTTCACTATGACACAAGATCTAAAAGACCGATAAATTCAATTTTTATAAATGTATGAGCCGGGCATGGTGGTACATGCCTGTAATCCCAACAACTCCAGTGGCCGAGGTAGAAGCATAGCTTGAGGCCAGGAGTTGAAGACCAGCCTGGGCAACACAGTAAGACCCTGTCTCTTTAAAAAAAAAAAAAAAAAAAAAAAAAAAGGGCAAAAAAAATCACCAGATAAGCCAAAAGGAAAATGACAAACTGGAAAAAATAGCAGCAACTCATTTTTGTGGGTTTTTTGTTTGTTTGTTTGTTTGTTTGAGATGGGGTCTTACTCTAACTCAGGCTGGATTGCAGTGCAGCGGCATGATCTTGGGTCACTGCAACCTCCGCCTCCTGGGCTCAAGTGATCCTCCCACTTCAGCCTCCCGAGTAGCTGGAATCACAGGCACGTGTCACCATGCCCGGCTAATTTTTTGTATTTTTGGTAGAGACAGGGTCTCACCATGTTGCCCAAGCTGGTGCAATTCATTTTTGTAGTTAATTTCAGTAAAATATAAAAGAGCTCCTACAAATTAAAAGGCTAAAATTCAATAAGAAAAACAAAGGGGCCAGGCACAGTGGCTCAACACCTGTAATCCCAGCACTTTGGGAGGCCGAGGCAGGAGGATCCCTTGAGCCCAGGAATTGAAGACGAGCCTGGGCAACATAATGAGACCCCATCTCTATAAAAAAACTTTTTAAAAAATTTAAAACAAAAAAAGAAAAAAGAAGACATACAAATGGCAAATGGGATATGACAAGGTGCTCAACATCATTGATCATTAGAGAAATGCAGATCAAAACTACAATAAGATATCATCTCACCCCAGTTAAAATGGCCTATATCCAAAAGACAGATAATAACAAATGCTGTTGAGGATGTGGAGAAAAAGATAATTCTCTTTTGGGGGTTATACTGTTATCATTTTTCACCTATTAGAATAGCACAGATGAAAAAGTTTGATTACACACTATGATGGTGAAGATATGAGGAAACAAGCATTCTAATATATTGTAAGTGTATTAGGACTATAAATTGTTTCAACTTCTGTCAAGGGGAACTAGATAATATCAAAGTTTCTCTTTGACCTAGCAAATTCTAGGAATATGTCCTGTAGATATACTTGCTCTTACATGAAGTCACTTAGAGACAAGGTTATTCATTGCAGTGTTGTTTATTATACCAGAAGTAAAGCAAAACAAAAAACGCCCTAGAAATAAACAGTTTAAATAATCATCAGTAGGAATAGGGGACTAGTTCAATAAATAATAGTAAATCCATACAGTGGAACCTATAAAGTTATTTTAAAATAACCAGGCCTCTGTGGAACATTATCTAAGATATGCTGCAAAATGAAAAGTGCAGGATGTATAGTACTGCAAGTATGGTTCCTCATATATATATATATATATATATATAAGGAATGCAGCATTTTATTATATAAGCATTTGACTCAAATAATTTCTCTGCATTTACCGTATTGGTCTGTTCGCATGCTGCCAATAAAGACATACCCAATACTGGGTAATTTATAAAGGAAAGAGGTTTAAACAACTCACAATTCCACAGGGCTGGGGAGGCCTCAGGAAACTTTACAATCATGGTGGAAGGGGAAGCAAACATGTCCTTCTTCACATAGCGGCAGCAAGGAGAAGTGCTGAGCAAAAGTGGGAAAAGGCCCTTATAAAACCATCAGATTTTGTGAGAACTCACTATCATGAGAACTGCAGCATGGGAGTAATCGCCCCCATGATTCAATCACATCCTACCGGGTCCCTCCCATGACACTTGGGGATTATAGGAACTACAATTCAAGATGAGATTTCGGTGGGGACACAGCCAAACCATATCAGCAAGGCTACAAAGATTTTTGTTGCCACAGGGATGAAAACTGGGTGGCTGGAGATGAAAGGGAGATTTTTCACCGTGTACCTTTTTGTGACTTTTGTTGTTGTTGAGATGGGGGTCTTGCTATGTTGCCCAGACTGGTCTAAAAACACCTGGGCTCAAGAGAGCCTCCCTCCTTGGCCTACCAAAGTAGTAAGATTATAGGTGTCAGCCAACTTTGTCTAGACCCCTTATTGTGACTTTTGAATTTGCAACCACATAAAAATGGCACTTATTCAAAACACTAATTAAGAGTTATTTTTAATGAAAAATTTCCAGTCTAACTATAAACTTTTGCTTCAAGTGTTAAAAAATAAAAAATTAGGCTGGGCGTGGTGGCTCATGCCTGTAATCCCAGCATTTGGGAGGCTGAGGCGGGCAGATCACCTGAGGTCAGGAGTTTGAGACCAGCCTGGCCAAAATGGTGAAACCCCGTCTCTACTAAAAATACAAAAATTAGCCAGGAATAGTGGTGGGTGCCTGTAATCCCAGCTACTCAGGAGGCTGAGGCAGGAGAATCACTTGAACCCGGGAGGTGGAGGAGGTTGCAGTGAGCCGAGATCGCGCCACTGCACTCCAGCCTGGGCAAAAAAGGGAGACCATCTCAAAAAAATAAAAATAAAACAAAAAAATGCAAGTATTAAACACACTGATACTATAAGAGGGAGGGCATATGTATACATAACAAAAAGCTTAATCACAAATTTGTACTGAAATATGCTAACTATCATGCTAATATATTTTTTTTTTTTTTCGGGACAGAGTCCCACTCTGTCACCCAGGCTGGAGTGCAGTGGTGCGATCTTGGCTCACTGCAACCTCTGCCTCCCAGGTTCAAGCAATTCTCCTGCCTCAGCCTCCCGAGTAGCTGGGATTACAGGCACACACCACCAAGACCGGCTAATTTTTTTGTATTTTTAGTAGAGACGGGGTTTAGTCATGTTGGCCAGGCTGGTCTCGAACTCCTGACCTCAGGTGATCCGCCTTCTTCAGCCTCCCAAAGTGCTGGGATTATAGGCGAGAGCCACTGCACCCAGCCAATAATTTGACAGATTGTAATTTTGCTTCCCTTTTTAAATTAATTTTTTTTAAGAGACAGGGTCTCGCTCTGTCACCCAGGCTGGAGTGCGGTAGCGTGATCATACTAGCTCCCTGCAGCCTTGAACTCCTAGGCTCAAGGGGTCCTCCTGCCTCAGCCTCCCAGGTAGCTAGGACTACAGGTATGCACCACCAAGCCCAGCTAATTTATTTTGTAATTTGTATTTTTTTTTTTTTTTAAGAGATGGGGGTCTTGTTCTGTTGCCCAGGCTGGTCTTGAACTCCTGGTCTTAAGCGATCCTCCTGCCTCGGCCTTCCAATGTACTGGGACTGCATGAACCACTGCATGAACCACTGCACCCGTTACAGGCATGAACCACTGCACCTGGCCTTTACCTTTTTTTTAATTTAGAAAGGATTTGGGGAAAATGTGAATGATCCAAGCCCAATTAAAATGTTAAAAGACAGTTAGAAATTTACCACTAATATTCTCCCACTTGAAAACATTTTCAAGAAGGACTTACTCAACATTTCTTCCATTTACTCTCTCATACTTCCTCAATTTATTTAAAGCTACAAGCGCTACCAGTCAATAGCAAAGCAAAGCAACGCCACAGGAAACAATAAATGTTGTTATCACTCACTTTCATGGGTTGCTGCCATAGCCAGCTCGGTCCTCTCACAGCCACCTGCCTGAAAGAAGTTGAAGCAGGCCCTCAGACAGGCCTTTGTCCTCTGACCCTTATGGGAGGCTCATGCCCAACCCCCTGTAAGAGACAGCATACCTAAAAGGTCTTCCCAAGAGGAACTATAATTTTGTATGAAACTCCAAAAGATCGATTTAAAAGTATGCCTCCCCACTCCCCACAAAAAAGGCATTGTATGTTTATATGTTACATACAACGTGCTATTGAGCAAAAAGAGTGTTTTCTGGTTCTCCAAGGTATGAAGATGCCACCGAGGTCATCCAAATATTGCCACCACCACCAGGTGGAAAGTCATCGTACGTGGGGGAAGTAGCTGTTCCAAACACCATCTCCTATAATCAAGGTGAAAGGGCAAAGCATTGCTGGGCGTGGTGGCTCACGCCTGTAATCCCAGCACTTTGGGAGGCCGAGGCGGTCGAATCACAAAGTCAGGAGATCGAGACAATCCTGGCCACGGTGAAACCCTGTCTCTACTGAAAACACAAAAAATTAGCCTGGCGTGGTGGCAGGTGCCTGTAGTCCCAGCTACTCGGGAGGCTGAGGCAGGAGAATGGTGTGAACCCCGGAGGCGGAGCTTGCAGTGAGCCAAGATCGTGGCACTGCACTCCAGTCTGGGGGAGCAAGACTCCGTCTCAAAAAAAAAAAAAAAAAAAAGCTATCTGAAAGGTTGAGATGGGGATCCCTTGAGCCCAAGAGTTCAAGGCTGCAGGGAGCTATGATTGCACCACTGCATTCCAGCCTGGGTAACAGTGAGACCCTGTCTAATAATAATAATAATAATACATTCGTTCAGAGAATACAGAATCATTGGAAAGCTAATGAAGTAGATTCTGGTTGAGCTTTCAGGAACAAGTCCCAAAGCCACATCACAGAACCAGGCCACTAAGAGAGTAATTTCAAAATAATTATGATCCACAGAGAACTGCCACACCATGAGTCTAGCCATTGCTGCTGCCACATAAAACTAGTGACTGAAAAAAAGCATCATTCAAATTTTTGTTATTTATGTTATCGCAATAGAATCCTTCAAATTCCTGACAGTTAATGAAGTTGAGCTGTCAACAACGAACGTATTCGTAATCTGTTCAGTATAGCTCCCAGTCTATCAGATACACTAGAGTGAGATATAGAAGGCAGAAGTGAGCCCAGGCACGGTGGCTCACGCCTGTAATCCCAGCACTTTGGGAGGCTGAGGTGGATGGATCACCTGAGGTTAGGAGTTCAAGACCAGCCTGGCCAACATGGCGAAACTCTGCCTACTAAAAGTACAAAAATTAGCCGGGCGTGGTGATGGGCGCCTGTAATCCCAGCGACTCAGGAGGCTGAGGCAGGAGAATAGCTTGAACCCAGGAGGTGGAGGTTGCAGTGAGCCGAGATCACACCACTGCAACCCAGCCTGGGTGACAAGAGCGAGACTCCCTCTCAAAAAAAAAAAAAAAAAAAAAAAAGAAGAAGGCAGAAGTGAGTTGGAAGCCGCAACTCTGATATTTCTGTTAGCAAGCACCATTCAGTCACTAGTTTTATGTGGCAGCAGCAATGGCTAGACTCATGGTGTGGCAGTTCTCTGTGGATCATAATTGTTTTGAAATTACTCTCTTAGTGGCCTGGTTCTGTGGTGTGGCTTTGGGACTTGTTCCTGAAAGCTCAACCAGAATCTACTTCATTAGCCTTCCAATGATTCTGTATTCTCTGAATGAATGTATTATTATTATCATTAGACAGGGTCTCACTGTTACCCAGGCTGGAGTGCAGTGGTGCAATCATAGCTCCCTGCAGCCTTGAACTCTTGGGCTCAAGGGATCCCCATCTCAACCTTTCAGATAGCTAGGACTGGTCAGGCAAGGTAGCTCACCACGCCTGTAATCCCAGCACTTTGGGAGGCCAAGGCGGGTGGATCACTTGAGGTTAGGAGTTTGAGACCAGCCTGGCCAACATGGCAAAACCCTATCTCTACTAAAAATACAAAATAAATTAGCCGGGCATGGTGGCACATGCCTGTAATCCCAGCTACTCAGGAGGCTGAGGCAGGAGAGTTGCTTGAACCTGGGAGGCAGAGGTTGTAGTGAGCCAAGATTGTGCCACTGCACTCCAGCCTCGGCAACAGAGCAAGACTACGTTTAAAAAAAAAAAAAAAAAGATAGCTAGGACTAACAGCCATATGCCACCACACTCGGCTAATTTTTTGTTTTTGTTTTTGTAGACAGAGGGTCTCGCCATGCCATCCAGGCTGGTCTCGAACTCCTGGCCTTAAGCAGTCCTCCTGCCTCAGCCTCTCAAAGTGCTGGGACAACAGGCATGAGTCACCACACCTGGCCCAAAATAAATTTATTTTTGTTTAGCTAGAATGGATTCTATTCTCTTCCAACTGAACCCAAAATAATAAACCAAACAGGGCAAACCCCCTCTCTCTGGGGTAGGTTTATACTACTGTGTTAGTTTATATCACTAACTCACAACAAAGTGTTGTTTTGTTCTGTGATTACTATATTCACTGATAACCAAACTTCAGTTTTTTGACCCAAATATATAATCATTTACTCTCTACTTGAAAAAACAGTGTGATTCTTTGGTGTTATCCATTGATGTGATTTCTGGAAGCTGAGTAGCCTAGAATGACCCTCCAGATTCCCTTCAACTCTGTGGTTCTCACCTACCATATCCACTCTTAGAATAAATGCCATCACTATATGACTTTCATAGGAAGTTTCCTTCCAGAGGAAACTACTATTCTCTCAATTAGAAATGCTGGTAGAACCTTGAAATCCTCAATGTCGCATCAACTCTTTTAAAATAACATTTAACACTAGGCTTTTTCTTTAATTCCAGAAAACTTACCAAGTAATTCTGGAGAGAATTCAAAAATAAAAGTATATTCAAAAGTTCACTACCAACCACAAAATTCTAACATGCAAAGTAGAAGCAAAAAGCATCTTTATATCCCTAAATTCCAAAGCACAAAGTTGGATGTCAGAAGACAACCTTTTACTGTTGGCCTGTAACATAACCAACATGCTTGGTTCTGAGTATTTAGAAGGATCCAGGAGGTCCCAGCTGGAATGACTGATCAAGAATCTAAGAAAGGCTGGGTGCAGTGGCTCATGCCTATAATCGCAGCATTTTGGGAGGCCAAGGCAGGTGGATACCCTGAGGTCAGGAGTTCGAGACCAGCCTGGCCAACATGGTGAAACCCCATCTCTACTAAAAATACAAAAATTAGCCGGGCATCGTGGTGTGTGACTGTAGTTCCAACTACTCAGGAGGCTGAGGCAAGAGAACTGCTTGAACCCAGGAGGCGGAGGTTGAAGTGAACTGAGATCATGCCACTGCACTCCAGCCTGGGCAACAGAGTGAGATTCCGTCTCAAAAAGAAAAAAAAAGGGAAAAAAAAAGCATCTAAGAAAAACATAGGCAAAGGTTAAGGATCTAGGCATTCTGGGAAAGAGCAATTAGTACGTGGCCCCTGTGATTTGGGAAGCTACTCAGAGACCAAAACAACAACAAAAACCCAAACAAACTAAAGAACCTGCTATTATTATAAACTGATATCACAGCCAGGTGTGGCGACCCATGCCTGTAATCTCAGCACGTTGGGAGGCCAAGGCAAGAAGATTGCTTGAGGCCAAGAGTTCCAGACCATCCTGGGCAAAATAGTGAAACCTGTCTCCTCAAAAAAAAAAAAAAAAAAAAATTAGCTGGGCATGGAGATGCACACCTGTAGTCTCAGCTATTCAGGGGGCTAAAGCAGGAAGATTACTTGAGTATTTAGAAGGATCCAGGAGGTCCCAGCTGGAATGACTGATCAAGAATCTAAGAAAGGCTGGGTGCAGTGGCTCATGCCTATAATCCCAGCATTTTGGGAGGCCAAGGAAGGTGGATACCCTGAGGTCAGGAGTTCGAGACCAGCCTGGCCAACATGGTGAAACCCCGTCTCTACTAAGGATGTTGAGGCTACAGTGAGCTATGATCATGCCACTGCACTCCAGCCTGGGTCCTGGGTGACAGAGTGAGACTCTGTCTTAAAAAAAAAATAAAAAGGCTGGGAGTGGTGGCTCACGCCTGTAATCCCGACACTTTCGGAGGCCAAGGTGGGTGGATCACTTGAGGTCAGGAGTTCCAGACCAGACTGGCCAACGTGGTGAAACCCCATCTCTACCAAAAACATAAAAAATTAGCTGGGTGTGGTGGCGCGTGCCTGTAATCCTAGCTACTCGAGAGGCTGAGGCAGGAGAATCGCTTGAATCCAGGAGGCGGAGGTTGCAGTGAGCCAAGGTGGTCCCACTACACTCCAGCCTGGGAAACAGAGCAAGACCCCATCTCAAAAAAAGAAAAGAAAAGAGAAAAATAAATAAAAATTAAAAAATAAACTGATATCCCTAAAAGACATCTCTTATATTCCCAGTGGACAAATTTACAGAAAATTAAACCTGAAAGGCGTAAAAGAAACAACCACTGCTGTAGCCATTTCATTGTGCTTCAGAGCAACAAAGTTAAAAGAGGTTTTTCTAAAGATACAGTTTTAAGCAGAAGTTGGCTGAAATTCAAGGTTCTCTAGTGAGAGAGGTCCCTCTGTTATCATTGTCCCTCAGGTCTTTCCTAATATTCAAAATTGGGCTTCCTGAGCAACCCAAGACCTGCCATCTCTTGCCATATCTAAAAGGTAAATTTTCTCATTTTATCCCAGGGACAAAAGAAACTTAAAATAAGATAACTTTAATGTGAGATCCTTCCCATAAGCAGAAAATACAAGCAATTAACAACATCAACAACAACAACAAACCCACAATACTTTCTAGGATTTGAGGCCAGAAAAGTAGAGTTGGTTGGTATCAACACTGTTCTTCCCTTCAGGGCTTCAGGGTTTATTTCCATTCTTAAGCTATTTAATGAGTACAAACTATTTGAAAACATCTCGAGGCAGCTTTTGCTTTCCCAACCATTTCACCCTGTCCTTCTACCTTAAGCCCTGATGAAGAGATTTCAAAAACTCCCTTTGAGTGTGTTAGAAAAGCTTAGAAACTGACTTTACGATTACAACTCAAAAATGTTTACAAGATCTTTAGATAATAGTGTATGCGCAGAAAGATGAGGAAACCTCTGACCAAGAAGTCTAGACACAGATTAAGGGCCCAGGAGGGCAGAGCCAGTCCTTAAACAATATAGACACCATGTCTCCTGTGTTTACAGGGATAGCTCATAGGTACAGCCATCAGGGTTGGATTGCCTCCAAAAGTAGGCCCTACAAACTCCCGTAGGCCAGGGCCTGGCAGTATACCCCATTCTCACCACCATCCTTTGAAGAAAGTTCTAAGAGTTAAGGTTATCCCACAGGCTACTAGGTAGATTTCCAAATGGCCTCAGGGAAAGTGGAATTCTGCCAACAGTAAAGGCAACTCCCCAAACAGTGCTAATGCTGAGAGGATCAAGGGAAGGACTTTGATATACACATATATGTATGGATAAAAGAGTTAAGCTACGTAACATGAAACACCAAAAATATACTTGCTGGTACATCAAGAGTTCCTCACAAACACTCTGAAGTTAAAATCTAAAATGCTCCACTTTTTACCCAAAATATAAATGACTCAACCTCATTTTGTATTATATACTAACACAGAAATGAGTTTTTTAAAAAGGTTGGCTGCTATCTATCTAAAGCAAACAGTTTATGTTTTACACATAAAAAAATTTATTTGCATAAAAGTTTTTATGGAACTAAAAAATATGTTCTCTACAACACCAAGGCTCATTAAAATATTTTAAATATTAATATACATTTCTTCTGTCAGAAATACATAAAACTTTATTATATCAGTATTAAACAAAAAAACCCTATTGACATACATATAAAACGTTTTACAAGCAGAATAACCTACATATTCAAAACACTTTCAACAAATTTTTCATTTTTATTTTTCAGGGTATTTTATATATATATATATATATATATTGTTTATTATTATACTTTAAGTTTTAGGGTACATGTGCACAATGTGCAGGTTAGTTACATATGTATACATGTGCCGTGCTGGTGTGCTGCACCCATTAACTCGTCATTTAGCATTAGGTATATCTCCTAATGCTATCCCTCCCCCCTCCCCCCACCCCACAACAGTCCCCAGAGTGTGATGTTCCCCTTCCTGTGTCCATGTGTTCTCATTGTTCAATTCCCATCTATGAGTGAGAACATGCGGTGTTTGGTTTTTTGTTCTTGCGATAGTTTACTGAGAATGATGATTTCCAATTTCATCCATGTCCCTACAAAGGACATGAACTCATCATTTTTTATGGCTGCATAGTATTCCATGGTGTATATGTGCCACATTTTCTTAATCCAGTCTATCGTTGTTGGACATTTGGGTTGGTTCCAAGTCTTTACTATTGTGAATAGTGCCACAATAAACATACGTGTGCATGTGTCTTTATAGCAGCATGATTTATAGTCCCTTGGGTATATACCCAGTAATGGGATGGCTGGGTCAAATGGTATTTCTAGTTCCAGATCCCTGAGGAATCGCCACACTGACTTCCACAATGGTTGAACTAGTTTACAGTCCCACCAACAGTGTAAAAGTGTTCCTATTTCTCCACATCCTCTCCAGCACCTGTTGTTTCCTTTTCAGGGTATTGTACAGACTCAAATGGATTGAGGACTGCTTCAATTAGGACAATCATTTTTTGTAATTCAATGTTTACAACTTAGTATGTATGCAATCGTACTACTGACAAAATACAGAATGATAATATTTTCCATCTCTTAGTAATCTTGTAATGGAACAGAAAAATATCCTGTGTTTGCATTTCTTGCAGGAATCAGCTGTTATAAAGAAACATTAGGGCTTGTTTCTTCTGTCATTGATATCTGAATGCTTTTAATATACTCATCCTAAGAGTTGAATAATGGCCTACTCTGTTTACCTGGGATGTGCTACTTCTTAAACATGAGCTGATGAAGTGTAGCCTTTCAAATTAATGGATGAGGTAGCTCAATCAATGTAATCATCAATGCTTGAAGTGAGGGGAAAAGGAAGAAAACAGAAACATTTTTCCTATCAACCAAAATGCACATCCTTCTCACCCATCCATCATACAGCTTTGGAGAGCTAAGAGGAAAGAAGACATACACAGTAGAAGATGAATCCTGAGAGAGCAAATCAGAGAGAATGGATGAAAATGCCTCACCTAAATGTGGTTCAGTACTCAAAGTTCTGCAGTCAGGTCGCCACATTTTCATTTACAATTTCTATTTTCTAACTTTCTAAATTATAAGAATAATTTCGATAGATACCACAAAACACATATATACAGGATATACCACAGCACTGGGCATCAACTTAAAATACTCATGAGGTGAATGTAAGGCACTTTCGCGGTTTACAAAAGTGAATGCCTCAAAGTTAGATATTTATCAAAAATGGAAAAATATCCCTATACAAGTTTATAGGAGCCCTGAAAAATCAAGTACGTATGAATCATTACCAATCTTGGCCAACATTTTGAGAGCCTTAGTGTGACTAAAGATCAGAGATATAATAGATAAATAACTTTTTTAAATTGGAGTTCTATACATCAGTGTCAGGATTCTAAAACTGCTCTCATAAAAATCTGTCTCTTCTAAGTTATTTCAGTTCTCAGCCACAGAGATTGAAGAACAGGACAACCACTCAGTGTACCACTGTTTAGATTTCATGATGATACCATACCACATCAGTTACAAAGAGACTGGAAATAATAAAGGCTTTGAGTTTGTTTTGTTATTTCCTACAAATATTATAATTAAGATAGAAACTTATTCAAACTACTCAAAAATGTAAATTTTATGTATTTTCTTGAAATCATGAATTTTTAATTTCCAAATACAAATATTGTTGCTCTAAATAATGTGAGTTTTGTGACTCTTCAAAATTAAAAGAATGTAACCTACAATATAATGTATTTTCTTGTCTATGAGAGACCAAACGAGCTTAGGTAGCGTAATGCTAAAAAATTGATTTAAGGAAATAATCTATTTTTATGCCATCTTTCTCCAAAACTCTTAAAAAGCCAAATCTTCTCTAGGTCATGGTTGGTAAGGACAGGTCATTAACAAAGTCAGGGATTCAGGGCTGAGCATGATGGCTCGCACCTGTAATCCCAGCATTTTGGGAGGCTGAGGCAGGTGGATCACCTGAGGTCAGGAATTCGAGACCAGCCTGGCCAACATGGCAAAACCCCGTCTCTACTAAAAATACAAAAAATTAGCCAGGCATGGTGGTGGGCGCCTGTAATCCCAGCTACTCAGGAGGTTGAGGCAAGAGAATCGCTGGAACCCGGGAGGCAGAGGTTGCAGTGAGCCAAGATCGTACCATTGCACTCAAGCCTGGGCAACAAGAGTGAAACTCCGTCTGAAAAAAAAAATAAATAAAAGTCAGGGATTCGGACAGATAAAACTGTACCTTGCCTCTTTATTCGCAAAGTAAATAAGCATGGAATTTATTTTTTGTTGTTGTTTTTATTTTTTGAGTCAGGGACTCACTTTGTTGCCCAGGCTGGGGTATAGTGGCATGAACACAGCTCACTGTAGCCTTGATCTCCCGGGCTCAAGCGATCCTCCTGCCTCAGCCCCCAAGTAGCTGGGACTACAGGCACACACCATCATGCCCAGCTAATTTTTGTATTTTTTGTAGAGATGGGGTTTCATTCACTATGTTGCCCAGGCTGGATTTTTTTTTTTTTTTTTTTTTTTTTTGAGACAAGATCTTGCTCTATCATCCAGCCTGGAATGCAGTGTCATGAACATAAGCTCACTGCAGCCTAGACCTCCTGGGCTCAAGTGATCCTCTCACCTCAGCCTACTGAGGAGCTGGAACTACAGAGGCACCAGACCCAGCTAACTTTGTGTAGAAACAGGGTTTTGCCATGTTGCCCAGGCTGTTCTCAAACTCCTGGGCTACAATCTACCTGCCTTGGCTTCCCAAAGTGCTGGCCACGGCCCCCAGCCTAACATTTTGAAAATTATTATTATTATTATTTTCTTGCTCTGTCACCCAGGCTGGAGTGCAGTGGTGCAATCTCAGCTCTCAGCTCACCTCCGTCTGCTCGGTTCAATTGATTCTCCTGCCTCAGCCTCCTGAGTAGCTGAGATTACAGGCATGCGCCACCATGCCTGGCTAATTTTTGTAGAAAATTATTATTTCTATGTTACATCATTTTAACAATGCAGTGGTTATCTTTGACCTAAAAACTAAAGTTTAAAAACCATTTTTTAAATTAAAGAATGCAATTAGTACATTCTTGTTGCTGACATGAAGATTACAGTGCATACCTAGCTCCTTTCATTATTTATAATTCAAATCTTTGTTGTACTTCATCTGCAATCATTCCAGAAATTGCAATGGAAGAAGTAGCAGCAGGAGAAGGTGCATTTCTCACATGAAGAATGCGATTTCCAATATCCCCAACTCCTGCATCAAATACAAAATCTTCTACCAGATTTCCATCTCTATCCAGGGCCTGGGCTCTTACTCCAGCTGGGCCCCTGCAAAAGTAAAAGATGGGAGTCAGCTGACTCAAAGACATAGGATACTTTACAAGTCAGCGTTTCCAAAAAGTCTTAAAGCAATAAAGTATTCTTCTAAATGCACAATTATATGGAAACCCAATGAGTTTATGTTTAACCAAAGGCTGTCAGTTGTAGCCTGTCAAACCTATATTGTTAGCTTAGAGCCTAAAACCTATTACGTAACAATAGTGTAACAAACGCTTATCAAAGAAATACATAAAAACAAGTAAGTTATTTATCAATGTCTGCTCTTTCCAAAGGTAGTAGGTAAATCCACACTTAATTAGAACAGGTATATTTTTATTTAAATTTATAGAATGAATTTATTATAAAAATCAATCAATGGCAACAATAAGCCTCATCTGAGTAATACAAATCAATGAAAGCAGAGGTTATGTGTCAGTTGCATTCCTGTATCCTATTCTACTTATTTTTGTGTTTTTAAAATTCACACAATTAAAATTTATGGAGAGAAATATTTGCAAATGGCAACAAGTTCTTGTTTTGCAGTTTGTTTTTAAGAGTTTACCCTTCAATATCAGGATCATCTTCAATTTCAAAAGATGATAGGAAAAGCATAAAAATAAATTTAGCAGCATGTTAATAAAATGAGAGTCTTTTTTTTTTTAATTGAGATAGTCTTGATCTGTTGCTCAGGTTGTGTACACAACCTCGCCTGGCTAATTAAAGAAAATTTTTTTTTGTAGAGACAAGGTTTCCCTACGTTGCCCAGGCTGGTCTCAAACTCCTGGCCTCAAGTGATCCTCCCACCTTAGCCTCCCAAAATGATGGGATTATAGGTGTGAACAACTGTAAAGACACTGATAATCTTTATTACTTAAAATTCTATTTTATAACATTTGAGCTCACAGATTTTTGTTGTTTTTTTAAACAGTTAAAATTTACAGATGAAATTTGAATCCAATGTTTTTGAACTACAAAAAAGCACCTCTTATGAAACTTGTCCAAGGAAGCCCAGTGTGAAAAATTCTATCTTATACACACCAGCAAGGCTCAAGAAATCAGGAAACAATATTAAACATTTTTTACTAATTCTGGGACAAATCAGATAAGTACTTGCAGAAGATACAAAGAACACTATGAAGGCACTGCCCTCTAAGACTTCAGCTGGCTGAAGAGAGATAATAGTAATAGCTATTATTTAGTAAGTGCTTACTCTGTGCTAGGAATTACCTCATTTAATCCTCAAAACAACTCTTAAGAGGCTGACACAGTTTATATTTAACAGCAAAGAAACACAGAGAGATTAAGTAACTTGCCTGAAATCACAGAGCTATACTATTCATTCGTAGAGAGGTAAATAAGAATTATAACAGTAAGAGTGAAAGGTTGTATGATAAAGATAAGTGATCTTCCCTATAGAATCCTGCAGGGAATCTGGACAAGAGATTTTTTAGCTGTAAGAATTTCCAAGTAAGAATCAGATATGGGAGTGAGTGGAGCAAGACGGTGGAAAAGAAGCCTACAAACATTGGTTCGGCTGCTAGAACACCAAATTTTAACTATCTGCACACAGAAAAGCACCGTCACAAGAACCAAAAATCAGGTGAGCAATCACAGTGGCTGGTTTTGACTTCATATCTTTGAAAGAGGCATTGAGGAGGGCAGAAAAGATGGTCTTGCATCGCCAATGCCACCCCTCCCTCACCCCCTAGCAGCAGCCAGCCATGTGGTGTGGAGACAGAACCTATGCACTTGGGAAAGGGAGGGTACAGTGGCTGGGGGCCTTTACACTGAACTCAGTGCTGCCCTGTCACAGTGGAGAATAAAGCTGGGCTGGGCTCAGCCAGCGCCAGCACATGGAGGGAGCATTTGGACCTGCCCCAGCTAGACAGGAAGCATCCATCCCAGTGGTCAGAACTTGAGTTTCCCTGCAAGCCTCACCACCGTGGGCTGAAAAGCTCTGGGGTCCTAGATAAACTTGAAATACAGTCTAGGGCACAAGGACTCCAACTCCTCAGCTACTAGCACTAGGCTGGGCTTATAGTCAGTGGACTAGGGTGGCATGTGATCTAGGGAGATACCAGCCGGCATAGCTAAAAGAGTGCTTGCATCATCCATCCCCCAAACAAAGGCAGCTGCAATAGAAGTGACTCCTTTCTTCTGCTTAAGGAGCAAAGAGCAAAGAGTAAAGAGGACCGTCTTACATCTTGGATTCCAGCTCAGCCACAGTAGGATATGGCACTGGGCAGAGTTGTGAGGCCCGCATTATAGGCCCTAGCTCCTGAACAACATTTCTAGACCCACCCCGGGCCAAAAGGGAACCTACTGCCTTGGAGGGAAAAACCCAGTCCTAGCAGGATACATTACCTGCTGACTAAAGAGCCCTTGGGCCCTGAATAACCAGCAGCGATACCCAAGGAGTGCGTCATGGGCCTTGGATGAGACTCTGAGATGTGCTGGCTTCAGGTGTGACCCAGCACATTCCCAGCTGTGGTGGCTACAGTGAAAGACTCCTTCTGTTTGAGAAAAGCAGAGATAAAAGTAAAGGGGACTTTGTCTTACACCTTAGGTACCAGCTCAGCCACAGTGAGGTAGAGCAACAAGCAGGTTCTTGGGGTCCCCAAGTCAAGGCTTACACTCCTTTTTTTTTTTTTTTTTTTTTTTTTTTTTTTTTTTGTGAGACAGAGTCTCGCTCTGTTGCCCAGGCTGGAGTGAAGTGGCGTGACCTCGGCTCACTGCAACCTCCACCTCCTGGGCTCAAGCGATTCTCCTGCCTCAGCCTTCCAAGTAGCTGGGATTACAGGTGCACTCCACCACGCCCAGCTGATTTTTGTATTTTTAGTAGAGATGGGGTTTCGCCATGGTGGCCAGGCTGGTCTCGAACTCCTGACCTCAGGTGATCCACCCGTCTTGGCCTTCCAAAGTGTTGGGATTACAGGCATGAGCCACCGTGTCTGGCCCAGGCCAACACTCTTGGACGGCATTTCTAGCACTACCCTGGGCCAGAGGGGAGCCCACTGCCCTGAAGGGTAAGTCCCAGGCCAGGCAGCTTTCACCACAAGCTGATGGAAGAGCCCTTGGGCTTTAAGTGAATATTGGTGGTGGCCTGGCAGAAACCCTGTGGACCAAAGGTGGTGGTAGCCACAGGGAGTGGCCCCTCTGCCTGTGGAAAGGGGAGGGAAGAGTGAGAAGAACTTTGTATTGTAGTGTGAGTGCTAGTTATCCGCAGTAGAACAGAACATCAGGTAAACTACTAAAGTATTTGACCCCAATCTGTGGCTTCCAGACAGCATCTCTGGACACGCCTGGGGCCTGAGGAAGCTTACTGCCCTGAAGGGAAGGGCCCTGGGCAAGACCCAGTGCTGGGCTGGCTTCAGGTCTGACCCAGTGCAGTCCCAGTGGTGGTGGCCACAGGAGTGCTTGCATCACCACACCCCCCAGTTCCAGGGGGTTTAGCACAGACAGAAAGAGACTCCATTTATTTGGGAGGAAGTAAGGGAAAAGAACAAGAGTCTCTGCCTGGTGATCCAGAGAATTCTTCTGGATCTTATCCAAGACCACTTAGGTGGTACCTCTACAAGTCTACAAAAGACACAATGTTATTGGGCTTGTTACCCAAGTCCCTTTGAATACCTGGAAAGCCTTCCCAAGAAGGACAGGCACAAACAAGCTCAGACTGTGAAGACTACAATAAGTACCCAACTCTTCAATGCCCAGACACCAAAGAACATCTACTAGCATCAACACCATCCAGGAATACATAACCTCCTCAAATAAACTAAATAAAGCACCAGAGACCAATCCTGGAGAAACAGAGATATACGACCTTTCTGACAGAGAATTCAAAATAGCTGTTTTGAAGAAACTCAAAGAAATTCAAGACAACACAGAAAGAATTCACAATTCTTTCAGATAAATTTAACAAAGGGATTGAAATAATTAAAAAGAATTAAACAGAAATTCTAGAAATGAAAAATGCAACTGACATGCTGAAGAATATATCAGAGTCTCAATAGCAGAACTGATCAGGCAGAAGAGTTTGTGAGCTGAAAGACAGGCTATTTGAAAATACATAGTCAGATGAGACAAAAGAAAAAAGAATAAAAAACAATGAAGCATGCCCACAAAATCTAGAAAACATTCTCAAAAGGGTAAATCTAAGAGTTATTGGCCTAAAAGAGGAGGTACAGAAACATATAGGGGTAAATAGTTTATTCAAAGGGATGATAACAGAGAACTTCCCAAACCTAGAGAAAGATATCAACATTTGAGTACAAGAAGATTATAGAACCCCAACAGCATTTAATCCAGAGACTAACTCAAGCCATTTAATAATCAAACTCCCAAAGGTCAAGGATAAAGAAAGAATTCTAAAAGCAGCAAGAAAAAAGAAACAAATAATATACAATGGTGCTCCAATATGTCTGGCAGCAGACTTTTCAGTGGAAACCTTACAGGCCAGGAGGGAGTGGCATGACATATTTAAAGTGCTGAAGGAAAAAACCCTTTTACTCTAAAATAGTATATCCAGTGAAAATATCCTTCAAGCATGAAGGAGAAATACTTTCCCAGACAAAGTTGAGGGATTTCATCAACACTAGATATGTCCTACAAGAAATACTAAAGAGAGTTCTTCAATCTGAAAGAAAAGGATGTTAATGAGCAAGAAGAAATCATATAAAGGTACAAAACTTCCTGATAACAGCAAGCACACATAAAAAACACAGAATAGTATAACACTATAATTGTGGTGTATAAACTTCTCATCTTACATAGAAAGATTAAATGATGAACCAATCAAAAATAGTAACTACAACAACTTTTCAAGACACAGACAGTACAATAAGATATAAAGAGAAAAAAAAAAAATTAAAAGCCAAGGAACAAAGTTAAAGTGTAGAGTTTTTATTAGTTTTCTTTCTGTGTGTTTGTTTGCATATGCAATCAGTATTGTCATCAGTTTAAAATAGTGGGTTATAAGATAGTATTTGCAAGCCTCATGGTAAAATAGAAAAACATACAATGGATATCAAAAAATTAAACAAAAAGAAAGAAATTAAAACATACCATCAGAGAAAAATCACCTTCATTAAAAGGAAGATAGGAAGAAAGCAAAGAAGGAATTGAAGACTGTAAAGCCACCAGAAAACAAATAACAAAATGGCAGGAGTAAGTCCTTACTTATCAATAATAACACTGAATGTAAATAGACTAAAGTCTGCAGTCAAAAAGACATAGAGTAGCTGAATGGATGAAAAAACAAGACCCAATGATCTGTTGCCTAAAAGAAACTTACTTCACCTATAAAGATACAAAGAGACTAAAAATAAAGGGATGGAAAAAGATATTCCATGACAATGGAAATGAAAAAAGAGCAGGAATAGCTAGAATAGCTATATTGATATCAGACAAAATAGACTGCAAGACAAAAACTGTAAGAAGAGACAAAGAAGATTATTATATAATGATAAAGGAGTCAATTCAGCAAGAGGACATAATGATTGTAAATATATATGCACCCAACACTGGAGTACCCAGCTATACAAAGCAAATATTATTAGAGCTAAAGAGATAGACCCCAATATAATAATAGCTGGAGACTTAAACACCCCACTTTCAGTATTGGATAGATCTCCCAGGCAGAACCTCGACAAAGAAATGTCAGACTTAATCTGCACTACAGAACAAATAGACCTAATAGTTATTTACAGAACATTTCATCCAATGGCTGCAGAATACACATTTTTCTCCTCAGCACATGGATCATTCTCAGGGATAGACCATATGTTAGATCACAAAACAAGTCTTAAAACATTCAAAAAATTTGGAATAATATCAAGCATCTTCTCTGACCACAATGGAATAAAACTACAAATCAATCACAAGAGGAATTTTGGAAATTATATAAACACATAGAAATTAAACAATATGATCCAGAATGGGATCACATCAAGTTAAAAAGCTTTTGCACAGCAAAGGAAACAATCAACAAAGTGAAGAGACAACCCACAGAATGGGAGAAAATATATGCAAACTACTCATCTGACAAGGGATTAACAACTAGAATATACAAGAAGCTCAAACAACTCTATAGGAAAAAAATTTAATAATCCAATTTTAAAAGGGGCAAAATATCTGAATAGACATTTCTCAAAAGAAGACATACCAATGGCAAACAGGCATATGAAAAGGTGCTCAACATCACTGATCATCAGAGAAATGCAAATCAAAACTACCAGGAGATACCATCTCACCTCAGTTAAAATGGCTTTTATTCAAAAGACAGGCAATAACTAATGCTGGTGAAGATATGGAGAAATGGGAAACCTCATACACTGTTAATAGAAATGTAAATTAGTACAACCACTGTGGCCAATAGTTTGGAGGCTCCTCAAAAAGCTAAAGATAGAGTTACATGATCCAGCAATCCCACTGCTGGATATATACCCAAAAGAAAGGAAATCAGTGTATCAAAGAGATATCTGAATTTCCATGTTTACTGCAGCAGTATTCACAATAGCCAAGGTTTGGAAGCAACCTAGGTGTCCATCAACAGATGAATGAATAAATAAAATGTGGTATCTATACACAATGGAGTACTATTCAGCCATTAAAAAGAATGAGATCCTGTCATTTGCATCAACATGGAGGTCATTATGTTAAGTAAAATAAGCCAGGCACGGAAAGACAAATATCATCCGTTCATACTTATTAGTGGGATCTAAAAATCAAAACAATTGAACGCATAGAGGTAAGAGAGCAAGACTGTAACCAGAGGCTGCGAAAGGTAGTGTGGAGTGGGGATTTACAGGGGAGGTGGGGATGGTTAATGGATACCTCCCCCCAAAAATAGAAAGAATGAAATGAATAAGACCTAGTATTTGATAGCACGACAGGGAGACCATAGTAAATAATAATTTGATTGTATATTTAAAAATAACTAAGAGTGTAATTGAACTGTTTATAAGACAAAGGATAAATGCTTGAGGGTACGAATAACCAATTTTCCATAATGTGATTATTATGCATTACATGCCTGCAGCAAAATATCTTATGTACCCCAAAAATATATACACCTACTAGGCACCCATAAAAATTAAAAAAAAAATCTTAAAGAATCAGATATACCACATAGAACACAAAAAGAAGGGACGGAACTGAAAGCTGAAACTTCTTGGGGTAGAGACGCATATGTTTATCAGCTGGTATGTGGCCTATTTTGTATACTATTTATAGTTTATCTGAACTCATCGAAGTAGCATTTCTCCCCTCAACATCAGGACCAGCCACTGATGTTGAGTGTCCAATGTAAAACTCTGCTGTATAGAGAATCAGTCAGTACATTCCCTTTGCTCCTTCTAGGCACATAAAGGTTAAAATTGATTAACCACAGTTAAAAATGTCTACACTTATTTTTCTTACAAACAAAAATTATGTTCTCAATGTCCCCTATACTCTTGTCCACATATTGAAAACCCTACAATCCAAATTTTAAAATAATAATAATGTTTTTCTGGCCAGGCACAGAGGCTCATGCTTGTAATCCTAGAACTTTGGGAGGCCAAAGCAGGTGGATCACTTGAACACAGGAGTTTGAGACCAGCCTGGGCAACATGGTGAAATCCCATATATACGAGAAAAAAAAAATCAATCAGGCGTGGTGTTGAGTGTCTGAGTGTCTGTAGTCCCAGCTACTTGGAAGGCAGAGGTGGGAGGATCCCTTGAGCTAATGGCGGTAGAGGCTGCAGTTGAGCTGTGATCACACCACTGCACTCCAGCCTGGGTGACAGAGTGAGACCCTGTCTCAAATAAATAAATAAATAATAATGATGTTTTTCCTACGATTTCATTTTAGTTCAAACAAGTTTTTAACATGAAATGTTTAAAGTACCAAATTTTTCATTCCCTTTTCAAGCACTTAAGGCAACTTCAGGGTTTTTCTTTGTAGGATTACATATGCTTTCCCCTCAGAACACTTCAAACTGAAATAAGTATTATTATTTGAAATCTCAGCCAGGAAAGGTGGCTCCCGCCTGTAATCCCAGAACTTCGAGAGGCCAAAGTGGGTGGATCACCTGAGGTCAGGAGTTCAAGATCAGCCTGGCAAATATGGCAAACCCCCGTCTCTACTAAAAATACAAAAATTAGCTGGGGCGTGGTGGCAGGCACCTGTAATCCCAGCTACTCGGGAGGCTGAGGCAGGAAAATCGCTTGAATCCAGGAGGTGGAGGTTGCGGTGAGCCAAGATTGAGCCATTGCACTCCAGCCTGGGCAACAAGAGCGAAACTCCATCTCCAAAAAAAAAAAAAAAAGAAAAGAAAAAGAAAAGAAAATCTCAGGTAACATAAACCATAAATGTCTTGAGGGCAAGTATGGTGTCAACACCCCTACATCACCCAAATGTGCAGATCTGTGTCTTGCACATAGTAGGCATTCAATAAGGCTAGAAACTTTAAGCTTTAAGTTAAAATTTAAAATTTCTATTTTTTTAATTTTTATTTTTAAATATATCCTGGGCAGGGTGGCTCAGGCCCAATCCCACTTTGGGAGGCTCGAGGGGTGGATCGCTTGAGGTCAGGAGTTCCAGACCAGCCTGGCCAACATGGTGAAGCCTCATCTCTAACTAAAAACATAAAATTAGCCAGCCATCATGGCACATGCTTGTAATCCCAGCTACTTGGGAGGCTGAGGCAGGAGAATCACTTGAACCCAGATCGCACCACTGCACTCCAGGCTGGGTGACAGAGTGAGACTCCGTCTCAAAAAAAGAAAAAAAAATATGTCCAGAAACAAGAACAGCTGAATGTGTAACTAAATACATACATTCATGAGAAGTCTTGTATTACATTATTGTCATATGTCAAGCATTACACTACAGGTTGGAAAAACAGCTACGAAAAGCTGTAACAGGCATCTTCAGCCAGTTCCAAATACAATGAGACAATCTAGTATTTTATAAAACTCCACTGCTAATCTAAATATATAAGTCCATACCAGGCATAGTGGCTCATGCCTATAATCCCAATGCTTTTGGAGGATGAGGCAGGAGAATCACTTGAGCCCAGGAGTTCCAAACCAGCTTGGACAATATAGGGAGACTCTGTCTCTAAAATAATAATAACTAGGCAGGTGTGGTGGCACACACCTGTTGTCCTAGCTATTTGGGAGGTTGAGGCAGGAGGATGGCTTGAACCCAGGAGTTCAAGGCTGCAGTGAGCTATGATCACATCACTGCACTCCATTCTAGCCTGGGTGACAGGGCGAGAGCCTGTCTTACAAAAAAAAAAAAAAAATTAAAAGCATTTTTCTAGCACATAGATTTTTTTAAATCCAACCTGATAATCTGTCTTAACTATTAAATACATTTACATTTACTGTAATTACTGATATGCTTGATTTCTACCATATTATTTTATGCTATCTAACCTGATTTTCTAAGGTTTCTATCTCCTCTTTCTTCACTTATTGAGTTTTCTATATTCTTTTTTTCCTTCTCTACTAAATTGGAAATCTATTTCCATCTTGTATTTAGTTTTATTTACTCAGATGGGATGCACTGTACATCTTGAATTTGAGGTCTGTCAATTCTAGAAAATTTTTAAGTATTCTCTCCTCAAAGGATTGCCTCTTCTCAATTTCTCTGTAACACCTATGAGAGATAGGCTGGAATCTTCTCAGTTTTCTTTTCCATGTCTTATTTTATTTTATTTTTGAGACGGAGTCTCACTCTGTCACTCAGGCTGGGGTACAATGGTGTCATCTCAGCTCACTGCAACCTCTGCCTCGCAGGTTCAAGTGATTCTCCTGCCTCAGCCTCCCAAGTAGCTGGGATTACAGGTGCCCACCACAGCTAGTTTTTGTATTTTTAGTAAAGACGGGGTTTTGCCATGTTGGCTAGGCTGATCTTAAACTCCTAACCTCAGGTAATCCACCCTCCATGGCCTGGCAAAGTGCTGGGATTACAGGCATGAGCCACTGTGCCCAACCCCATGTCTTTTAATTTCTATGGATACATCTTTATCTTGCAGTATTGCTTTCTAAATTCTTCTGAGTTACCTTCCAATTTGATAATTTCCTCTTAAGGTAGGTCTAACCAGCTGTCTAACCTAGTCATCTGAGGTTTTTCCTTTAATTTTTTTTTTTTTTGAGACAGGGTCTTGCTCTGTTGCCCAGGCTGGAGGGCAGTGGTGTAATCACAGCTCACTGCAGCCTTGACCTCTTAGGCTCAAGCCATCCTCCCTCCTCGGCCTCCAGAGTAGCTGGGACTACAGGTGTGTACCACCATACCTGGTTAATTTTTAAAACTTTTTGTAGAGACAGGATCTTACTATGTTGCCTAGGCTGGTCTTGAACTCCTGGACCCAAACAATCCTCCCACGTTGGCCTCCCAAAGTTCTGGGATTACAGAAGTGGGCCACCAAGCCTAGCCTGAGTTTTAAAATTTAAAAACTATATTTTTATTTCCAGAAATTCTCATTAGGTGGTTTCCAACTAATTTGCCTAGTTCTTTTTTCTTTGGTTTTTTTTTTTCATGTTTTCATTACCTTGTTTTTGATTAATTGAAGCATATTTACTTTACAGTTTCTATTATTACTATTACCCATAGTTGTTGGAAGTCTAATTCTGCCACTTATTTTATCTGCTGACTCTCACTTATGGTGGTTTGTAACTTCTGATTGTGAGTTTCTGTTCAGTACGACTTTATCTGTGGGAATCATCTGGGAGGGGTTGGATTCAGGGTGTGTCCCTCTGCAGTGGTTTTACATTTGCTTCTATTACTATCCTGAGAGCACTTTTTTTTAAATGGAAAATTTTAAACACGTCAAAAAGTTAAAAAAAAAAAAAAAAGAAAAAGAAAGAAAACCAACAGTATAATGAACTCCCATGTATGTATTATCCAGTTGCAACAATTATACACACACAGCCAATCTTGTTTCATCTATGTACCAATCCAACACCAATGTCTCTCCACTGGGTTATTTTATTTTTTTTAGAGACAGGCCTCACTCTGTCACCCAGGCTGGAGTGCAGTGGCACAATCACAACTTACTGCAGCCCTGACCTCCCAGATTCAAGCAATCCTCCCTTCTCAGCCTCCTGAATAGCTGGGACCACAGGTGGACACCACTACACCCAGCTAATTGTTTTTTAAAAATATTTTTTTAGAGACAAGGTCTCACTATATTGCCCAGGCTGGCCTCAAACTCTTGGGCCCAAGCAATTCTCCCATCTCAGTCTCCCAAAGTGCTGGGATTATAGGTGTCAGCCACCACGCCCAGTCTTATTTTTTGAGACAGGGTCTTGCTCTGTCACCCAGGCTGGAGTGCACTGGCATGATCATAGCTCACTATAGCCTTTAACTCCTGGGCTCAAGCAATCCTCCTGCCTCAGCTTCCAGAGTAGGTGGGACTACAGGAACATGCCACCACACCCAGCTAGTTTTTAAATTTTTGGTATAGATGGGGTCTTGCTATATTGTCCAGGCTGGTTTGGAACTCCTAGCCTCAAGAATCCTCCTGATTCAGCCTCCCAAAGTGCTAGGATTGCAGGCGTGAGCCCATGGTGCCTGACCTATTTATTTTAGTATTTTATAATTTTTTATTTAATTTTATTTATTTTTGAGACAGGGTCTCACTGTTGTCCAGACTGGAGTGCAGTGGTGTTATCATGGCTCACTGCTGCCTCGACCACTAGGCTCAAGCAATTCTCTTGCCCCAGCCTCCTGAGTAGTTGGGACTACAGGCATATGCGCACCACCACGCCAGGCTCTTTTTTTTTTTTTTTTTTTTAATTTTTACTAGAGACAAGGTCTCATATTGCCCAGAATGGTCTTGAACTCCTCAGGTCAAACAATCCTGCCTCAGCCACCCAAAGTGCTAGGATTAAAGGCAGGAGCCACTGAGCCCAACCATATTTTATTATTTTTTAGACATGTTGTCTTGCTAAGCTGGATTAAAACTCCTGGGCTCAGGCAATCCTCCTACCTCAGCCTCCCAAGTAGCTAGGACTATATGCATGAGCCACAACACCCCCACTGAATTATTTTAAAGCAAATCCCAGATGGCATACCACTTCACTTCAATGTGTATTTGTTTTCTTTTCTTTCTGTTTTTTTTCTTTTTCGGTTTTTTTTTTTTTTTTTTCAGAAATGGGGTCTCACTATGTCACCTGGGCTGATCTCACTATGTTGCCAAGGCTGCCCAAGCAATCCACCCACCTCGGCCTCTCAAAGTGCTGAGATTACAGGCATGAGCCACCCCGCCCGGCCTCAATGTGTATTTCTTTTAAAAAGATTCTTAAAAATTATCCAGGTGCAGTGGCTCACACCTGTAATCTCAGCACTTTGGGAGGCCAAGGCGGGTAGATCACTTGAGGTCAGGAGTCCAGACCAGCATGGCCAACATAGTAAAATCCCATCTCTACTAAAAATAGGGAAAAAAAAATCAGCCAGCCATGGTGGCACATGCCTGTAATCCCAGCTACTCAGGAGGCTGAGGCAGGAGAGTCACCTGAACCCGGGAAGCAGAGGTTGCAGTGAGCTGAGACTGCGCCACTGCACTCCAGCCTGGGAGACAGAGCGAGACTCTTAAAAAAAAAATTCTTAAAAATAATTATAAACCAATAATTGCTTAGTGTCAGTAGTCATTTTGTGGTCAAATTATCTGATTTTTAGTCTCTCTAATTTACTTGAATTAGAGGGGGTGGGGAGGGGAGGGAGGGAGAAAGAAGGAGAGAGAAGAAGACAGAGAGAGAGAGAGAGAGAGAGAGAGATTGATTGAAGCAGGATCCAAAAATGTCTGGCTCTACTTTTTCAGTTAATTTGTTAGCTTACAGTTCCTAAACCAAGCTGGTGGTATACGTTCAAAATCTAAGCACTTTGAGGGATTCTAGATTTTGGGGAAGATTCCTCCCACTCCCCATCCCCAAGACCAAGATAGACAAAGTTCCTTAATACTTCCCAGTGCCAAGGGGAATATTTTTTTTCCAGACTTCCTTTCTTCTGAGGGTATAGCCTTTCAAGAGCCCCTAGGGGGCCTTACATTAGAGTCTGAGTTCCAACTTTCTACCTTGTATAGACCCAAGATTTCTTTTTCAGCACTTGAGTGGCAATTAAAATACAAGTCCCTAATGTCCTATATCTTGTTCTGACTGGTGGATATGGTTTGTACAATTATCGAAATTTACTAAGCATTTAAGATCTACATATTTTATACGTTGAGTCACACATAAATTACAAATATAACTCAAGCCCCTCAGTTATTAAAATTAGCAAACCATCCCCACCTCTCCAAGTCAGCATCAGCACCAACTCCTTTTAGTATGAATTTTAATTTTCTTTCTGTTTTTTGCTCTGGGATGCCCCTTACTTTCCCTTACTCTCAGCTATATGTATTTCAAGGATGTTTATCATATTTCCTCCAGACTCTTATTACTATTTTGTAGTGTGAAGGTTACCAAATTCTCTACACTAGTGGTTCTCAACCAAAGGAGATTTTGCCCCCTACAGGACATCTGGCAATGTCGACATATTTTTGGTTGCCACAATTAGGAGAATGAGTAGAGGCTGGGGATGCTGTTAAACATTCTACAATGGCTGGGCACGGTAGCTCACACCTGTAATCCTAGCACTTTGGGAGGCCAAGGCGGGTGGATTACCTGAGGTCAGGACTTTGAGACCAGCCAGGCCAACATGGTGAAACCCCATCTCTACTAAAAATACAAAAAATTAGCCGGGTGTGGTGGCAGGCGCCTGTAATCCCAGCTGCTCAGAAGGCTAAGTCAGGAGAATCGCTTGAACCCGGGAGGCAGAGGTTGCAGTGAGCCGAGATGGCACCACTGCACTACAGCCCAGGTAACACTGTGAGACTCCGTCTAAAAAAAAAAAAAATTATACAATGAACTGGACACTCCTCCACAATAAATAATTATTTGGCTCAATATGTCAATAGCATCAAGACTGAGAAACCCTAATCTAGATCACCATAAGCCATTACAACTTTATTGTAGAAATGTTTGAGTTTTGCACCTTTGTGTTTCACACACTCTAGTTATCACTTGCTATGAAAACATCTTGCCTGAAAGTTTACTCTAGAATTCCCCACAGAAGACATTTTCCAAATTGAAAATGGGGAAATTGTGACATATATGTCTTCGTCTTTTACATCTTTACAGTGCTAACAGATACAAACTGCTGTTAGATTAACATGTCAAAATTAATCACAGAACAAATTTTTAAAGTTTAGAGCTATATATATATTTGAGACAGGGTCTTGTTCTCTCCACCAGGCTGGAGGACAGTAGTGCAATAATGGCTAACTGTAGCTTCAGCATCCTGGGCTCAAGGGATCTTGCCACTTAAGCCTCTCTAGTAGCTACAACTATAGGCGTGCACCACCTGCCCAGCTAATTAAAAAAAAAAAATTGTAGAGATGGCATCTCACTATATTGCCCAGGCTGGTCTCAAACTCCTGGGCTCAAGCGATCCTCCCACCTCAGCCTCCCAAAGCACTAGGATTACAGGCATGAGCCACTGTGCCTGGCCTAGAGCTAACATTAAGAGTCTTAGAGACCATCATTTAACAATGAGAAGTTTATCTAATGCAAATATTTAACAGATTGTAACTTTATATTCCAATCTCATGTTCACCAGTAAATTATTGCCCAAAATGCTCTGGCTAAGCAATGAGAAGTCAACCTGGGTGCCCTTCAGTGGTTAATGAAATTTAAGGACACCATCCTGGGAAACACACCCCACTGAAAGTGTTGCTTCAACTATATTTTACTATTTACTAATGCCTGATGTGCTTTCACTGCAATACTAAGGGCATTTATGGTTTAGTATACTGGTTGCAAGACAAAGGAGACAAGGCAGGACTTAGGCTTCAAGCTGTGGAAAAGTCTATTGATCTTGGCCAGGCGCATTGGCTCACCCCTGTAATCCCAGCACTTTGGGAGGCCAAGGCAGGAGGATCATGAGGTCAGGAGATTGAGACCATCCTGGCTCTCTATGAAACCCTGTCTCTATTAAAAATACAAAAATTAGCTGGGCATGGTGGCACGTGCCTGTAATCCCAGCTACTCGGGAGGCTGAGGCAGGAGAATCGCCTGAACCAGGGAGTCGGAGGTTGTAGTAAGCCGACATTGTACCACTGCACTCCAGCCTAGCAACAGACCGAGACTCTGTCTCAAAAAAAAAAAAAAAAAGTCTATTGATCTTATTTTTATTATTTAATATTTCAGGCTATCACAAGGAAGAGAGACTAACACAATGAATACCCATTTTTTTATCTAACAGCTTAAGAAACAAAGCATTACCGATATGATAGAAGCCTCTGTAGAACTCTCAAGATCCCATTCTCTTCCCTCACCAGAGGTAACCACTCTCCTGAATTAGGTGTTTATCACTCCCCTGCTCATTTTTATTTTCATACTACATGTATAATCCGTAAGCAATATATGGTTTTGCTATACTTGTTTTAAAACTTATACAAATGGTATCAAACGTATCTTCCCCCGAGAAACCCAAAAACATATCTTCTACAGCTTCCTTTTTGTTATTAATAATTTCCTGCACTTAATAACTATAGGAATCAAGAGACGAAGCAAATGGAATTGCTGAATTAGTTAGCTTTTCTCTCTTTAAAGAGGAACTCATCTGTGATTGGGTTGAATTTGTCCCCAAATGCACCTGCCTGCAGTGCTGTGCCCTTTTCTACTACATGCCAATGAAATTGGTAACAGAAATTCACACCCTTACACCCAGAGACAGGAGAGTTCACTAATAACCACAAGCCCGAAGTCCAGTTCTACCATATGAAATCCAGTGGTCTAAAAAGTTTTCCTCAGGCTTCTATAAAGGGTGGTAACTGAATACAGGCAGTGAATTCACTGCAACTATTTTTATACAGAATTCACTATGCTCACCTCGTTTGTTTTCCAAGGAATATCAATAGCAGTAATAGAAACCAGATTTGACCAGTCTATTTTCAGATATAAAACATCACAAGTTTGCTAAAGCAGATCACTGAAAACATAAAAGCCCTTACTTATAAGTGAGTGAAAGAAAATAATGGCTAGATATTTTTATCCCTTCTATTTCAGAAGGTGAGTAGAGGAGTGAAAGAGATAAGAGGAAAAACGTTAGCTGAGTTTTAATCTTCTAAGGATTCAAACATGCTGGTCTCAGAATGATACATTACAGTCAGATTTAAACGAGGACGCTCCCCTAAGAGAGACAGCTGACATGATTATTGCTCTCTACACAGATACACAGTCAAGCCTGCTGACATTTTTTACCAGGCTAGTTCAGCAGCTGTTGCAGAGAAAGCAGATATCTAGTGCTAAGAAAATTCATGGAGGGATGGATTGTAAATGGAGGGTGAGAGTACCTCAAAGTACACTGCTGATTAGGCCTAACGAATGGCTTGCTCAGGAAAAAAGGTGAACACTAAAAACATTACCAAAGAGGGGAAAAAAATAGGTTTGGGTGGTATTAAGAATAATCTACAGATCAAGTCTAGAAAGCCTTTTATCTTTTTTTTTTTTTTTTGTGAGACGGAGTTTTGCTCTTGTTGCCCAGGCTGGAGTGCAATGGTGTGATCTTGCCTCACTGCAACCTCTGCCTCCCAGGTTCAAGCCATTCTCCTGCTTCTGCCTCCCAAATAGCTGGGATTACAGGCATGTGCCACCATGCCTGGCTAATTTTGTATTTTTAATAGAGACAAGGTTTCTCCATTTTGGTCAGGCTGGTCTCGAACTCCTGACCTCAGGTGATCCACCCGCCTCAGCCTCCCAAGTGCTGGGATTGCAGGTGTGAGCCGCCGTGCCAGTCTTTTATCTTTAAGAATAAAAGATGTGGCTGGGTGCAGTGGCTCACGCCTGTAATCCCAGCACTTTGGGAGGCTGAGGCGTGTGGATCGCCTGAGGTCGGGAGTTTGAGACCCGCCTGGCTAACAGGAGAAACCCTGTCTCTACTAAAAATACAAAATTAGCCGGGCGTGGTGGCACATGCCTGTAATCCCAGCTACTCAGGAGGCTGAGGCAGGGGAATTGCTTGAACCCAGGAGGCAGAGGTTGCAGCGAGCTGAGATGGTGCCATTGCACTCCAGCCTGGACAAGAAGAGCGAAACTCCATTTCAGAAAAAATATAAAAATAAAAGATGCAAGTTGTCCTTACTTTGCCCCACACCCCTGTAGCAAGGACTCTGATTGTTACCACACTGCTTTCCACTTCTATCCTGAAAGTAGAGTCCCTGAGTGCAGTAAGGTCCAAGAAAGAACAAAAGAAGTAGAGAAGAAGCAAGGTGAGATGCCAGGTCTAGGAGTGTGTTTCTAACAGGTTTTAATGGAGCTGGAGGCTATCATCCTTAGCAAACTAACACAAGAACAGAAAACCAAATACCACATGTTCTCACTTATAAGTGGGAGCTAAATGATGAGAACACATGAACACAAAGAAGGAAACAACAGACACTGCAGTCTACTTAAGTGGGGAGGGAGGGAGGAAGGAGAGAAGCAGAAAAGATAACTATTGGGTACTGGGCTTAATATGTGGGTGATAAAATAATATGTACAATAAACCCCATGACATGTGTTTACCTATGTAGAAACCTTCACATGTACCCCAAACCTAAAAGGTTTTTTTTAAGTTTTAAGAATCAATCAAAATATAATGTTTTAATGTGCTTATTACCTAATTAGTTAACATAGTGATCAATAATCTTATACAAAATTAAGGCCAAAAGGCTTTGGAATCACAAGACTAACTGGCCAGAGAGATTTTTAAAAATTCAGGCAAGTTGTTTTTATCAGGAGTGATAGTTAGACAAAAAGGCTAAGGTAGCATCACAATAAAGCTGTCATAGAGATTTCAGATTAGAGCTGTAAGGCAGTCTAGATAATTATAAATGGACCAGCACTAAGGGCCATGATGTAGCAATGCCCAATAAATGCACTGCAAAGGGAATTCAACAACATGTTGGGAAAGAAAGCAAACAAAAATTCAGTGCATATGCAGACTGACTCTGAAATGGTACTTACTAATCACCAAGTCAGACCCACCTCTCAAGTTCACATAGGTCAGGACTGTATTTACACTCCTTATCCCTTTTCCTTACCTAAGTATATCACTGATAGTAATTTCAGGGATGAATTTTTGAAGATACTTCACTGTTGCACCAAGAAAACATGCTTTATACATTTCAGTAACTCCATAGGAAAAATTCTGGGATGCCAGTTTAATCAAGCCACTGAAAACAGAGAAAAAAAATCTTTATGAGAGAAAGGAATTCTTTATTACGTAAAATACCTTTATAATTATTAGATTCTTTTTTTATGTCATCACAAAAATCTAGGCAAAGTCAGAAAAACTACAGATTAAAAGAAAATCAAGGCCAGGAGTGGTGGCTCACGCCTGTAATCCCAACACTTTGGGAGGTCAAGGCGGGCGGAATACTTGAGGTCACGAGTTTGAAACCAGCCTGGCCAACATGGCAAAACACTGTCTCTACCAAAAATACAAAAATTAGACAGGTGTGGTGGTGCACACCTGTAATCCCAGCTAATCAAGAGGCTGAGGCAGGAGAATTGCTTGAACCCAGGAGGCAGAGGTTGCAGTGAGCTGAGATCGTGCCACTGCACTCCAGCCTGGGCGACAGAGAGAGACCCTCTCTCAATCAACCAATCAATCAATGAATCAATGAAAATCAACTTTTGGCCAATATCAGAAGAAAACCTCATCAGCTCAGGAGGTAAACAGAGCTGGGCATGGTGGTGTGTGCCTGTAGTTCCAGCTACTAGGGAGGCTGAAGTGGGAGGCTCGCTTAAGCCCAGGAGTTTGAGGCTGCAGTAACCAATGATTGTGCCACTGCATTTCAGCCTGGGCAACAGTGAAACTTTGACTCAAAAAAAAAAAAAAATACAGAGGTAAACACCCTCTAAACTCAAATTCCCAAGGAGTGCTGGTTTCAAACTGGAACTCTATAAAGCCTGCCAACATCAAGGCTTTCTAATGGAAATATTAGATGCCTTCAACACACCTAAAAGGCAGGGTATGAAAGAAATGGGACATCTACCCTAGATTTCTTTAGTCAGCCAGAGGTAAAATACTTTAGTTGTTTAGGCAGGGTGTAGTGGCTCATGCCTGTAATCCCAGCACTTTGGGAGGCCAAGGCAGGTGGATTGCTTGAGCCCAGGAGTTCGAGACCAGGCTGTGTAACATGGCGAAACCCTGTCTCTACAGAAAACACAAAAATTATCTGGGCATGGTAGCATCTGCCTGTAGTTCCAGCTACTTGGAGGCTGAAGTGGGAGAACTGATTGATCCCAGGAGGTTGAGGCTGCAGTGAGGACAAAGTGAGACCTTGTCTCAAAATTACAAAACAAAAAACCAAAAAAACTTTAGTTGTGATTTTCAAGTGAGACTCTGCAAAGCCTAGATGCACATATGTATATATTTTTACAACTACATGTGCCAGGAAGCTCCATCCTAAACTTTCTGTTTCAGAATCCATAGAGGGTGAAACTCAAGTATAGCTTTAAATCTAGTGATTTAAACAGGAAAATCTAGTGATTTTCATGTGAAACCCTTTAGAGAGAAACATTGGTAAAAGGACCAAACAAAATACCTAATTCAGTATTTCTTACAATAGTAAAGAATCTGCATCTTAGGTCAACACAATCGTATTGTTAGTTTCCTACACAAGGAAATTACTTTGGTCATCAGTAATTTCTCCAGTGGCTTACAAAATGATGGAGACTGGCTCAAAATGATTTTATTAAAATAGCCATCTACTGATTTTGAGAGAATCTATTTCCTCCCCCACCAAATAAAACTGGAAACTTAGCAATACAAGATTTGGATTGCCAGATATATGAATAACTCTTGGCCTTATCTTCTTTTTATTTTTATTTATTTATTTATTTATTTATTTATTTATTTATTTATTTATTCATTTTTTGAGATGGAGTCTTGCTCTGTCGCCCAGGCTGGAGTGCAGTGGCAGCGATCTCAGCTCACTGCAAGCTCTGCCTCCCGGGTTCATGCCATTCTCCTGCCTCAGCCTCCCAAGTAGCTGGGACTACAGGTGCCAGCCACCACGCCTAGCTAATTTTTTGTATTTTTAGTAGAGATGGGGCTTCATCGTGTTAGCCAGGATGGTCTTGATCTCCTGACCTCATGATCCACCTGCCTCGGCCTCCCAGAGTGCTGGGATTACAGGCATGAGCCACTGCGCCCAGCCAGCCTTTTCTTTTTAACCCCAGCTCAACAGAATTTTCTTGAAGTAGTTAAAATGTTATACTTATTCCAAAAGGCATTTTTTTTTTTGTTTGTTTGTTTGTTTGTTTGCTACCCCATCCACTCCAAAGCTTTTAATTTGGATTAATACAACATTCAATATACCAATCACAAATATGGGGATTTACCCAATAAGTAGAGTATCAAGAAAGACAAAACTTCCCACATTGAAAATATAAGCACATAAAATCATTTTTAAAAATAAATAATGTTACCTATTGATAATTATATCCATAACATCTGTGGCACTGAAGTCAAAGGGTCTGTAACCCTCTCGTTTAAAGGCAAGAACTGCATTAGGCCCTAGCCAAATACTGCCATCCATCCTTGGTGTGAAGTGAACTCCTAGGAAAGGAAACCGGCTATCTGGGACCTATAAATTTAACATAGTAAATAACAGCCTCATTTCACATTCCATGTTATCAGAGATGCAAACATTCAATTGGTAACATAAAACACTTTCTTCTCATGCATTTAATTTGTATTGTGAGCTGTACTCAGATATACTTTTCCATTAACATGCTTCTGCTTAGAAATGCACACAAGAAACCCTGATGCTGGCTGGGTGTGGTGGCTCACGCCTGTAATCTCAACACTTTGGGAGGCTGAGGCGTGAGGATCATTTGAGATCTGGAGTTCAAAACCAGCCTGGCCAACATGGTGAAACCCCATCTCTACTAAAAATACAAAAATTAGCCTGGCGTGGTGGTGTGCACCTGTGATCCCAGCTACTTGGGAGGCTGAGGCATGAGAATCACTTAAACCCAGGAGATGGAGGTTGCAATAAGCCAAGATCATGCCACTGCACTCCAGCCTGGGCAACAGAGTGAGAATCTGTCTCAGGAAAAAAAAAAAAAAAAAAAAGAAACTCTGATGCTACTGACACTAATAGATTGTTCCATCTATGCATCTTTCTGGGTAAAGGAAAAAAAAAAGATGAACTGTCTTACTTCAGGCTATTCTCGGTCTTTCACAAGGGATGTCTATGACTGGCAAGTAAAATCAGAGCTGCCAGAAAAAAATACACATTCATAGCACAGGCTTCTGCAAAGTACAAATACATGAGGTTGAAGCAGATGAAATTCATGTTTCGGCAAGCTCAAAAATATCAAATAGCCGAATACTGACTATTTCATCTGGTTCGACCTAATATATTTTAAGAGATTCATTCATTTCCAGGGTAGTTCCAGACAGAAGAATGAACTCCTCATTTAAATACCTCTGTCTTCTACTCCCTGAAACTACAGAGTGGCCACATCCCTTTTCTGTACCTACAGATAGTGAACTGAGGAAAAGGGTTGGGTATCAGGGACTTCCATAAGGGAAAGTTTTCCCTTTCCCTCCACCAGAGAGAAGGTAGAATTCAGTTCCTTCTTGATAGCACTTCCCAGAGTGCACTCATGCTTTCTGGAGACATGTACCTGCAGGCAATTAATTACAATTTAATAACCATGATACAGGGATAAAGATTTAGGGATTTAACCACAAGAGAAACCGATGAAATGCTTACAAAAACGGTCCTTCAAAATTTCTCTTATTTCTGACCCAAGTGAAAGTTGTTTTCATCTCCTTTATGACCACCACCTGCTTGAAAAAAATGAGAAGTAGGAAGCATCATTACCTACCGGATAAATATTTCCTTTTACAAGATAACATTTTTCTGGCTTCAAAAGCAGGTAATCTCCCCGGAATGGTACAATTCGAGGATCAGGAGTGCAGCCACTCAACTCTGAAATACGGTCTGAGTAAAGTCCTGCACATGTCACAACATACTGACATCGAATTTCCTCTCCCTAGTGCAAAATAAAAGAACAGTTATTTGTATAAAGTGGAGTAGAATAGGTCAAGAGGGGAAAAACAGGTGATAGAAAAGAAAAAAAGGTACAGAAATAGAATTTTTTCTAAAAGAGGATATTCAATACAGGTATCAGCAAAATATGTTCTTTAGCATTTAGGTGGCAGCTAGAAACTTAGGATAGTGGCATGTAAGAGGATGTCACCTTAAATTTTGTACTGTAAAGATAATAATGGTCAACCTAGCAAGGATACTTAGTAAGGTATACATGCATGCACACAAATACATACATACAAATACATACAAATCTGTTTATTAGGACCTAGCAGGGAGCTTCTTAACTATTTGCTGCATGAGGAAGCAAATGTCATTTAGACAGCCTCCACCAATTTTTTTTGCTCCCCCACCCACCCCACAGCTTTTAATTTGGATTAATTAAAAATTCAATATACCAATCACAAATATGAGGATTTACCCAATCAGCAGAATATCAAGAAAGACAAAACTTCCTACATTAAAAATATAAGCACATAAAATCATTTTAAAATTAAAGTTATTACCTATTGATAATTATATCCATAACATCTCTGGCACTGAAGTCGAAGGGCCTGTAACCCTCTCATTTAAAGGCAAACTCTGTATTGCAACCAGCTTCTCCTGTATCTGAGCAATTACCGTGTTACTCTTCGGTTGCTTCACACTCAATAATCCTGCCCAGTTGCAACTGTAACCTACCCACCAAGCAATTTCTCCTTCCTAATCAATATCTACTTTGCAAACTGAGGACACTTTAGAAATCTCATTCATTCAATGCACATTTAATGAGAGCACACACTACGTTCAACGTTTGCTTTAGTGACCAGCTTTAGACTGCTAATGTTAGGCTGTTATGATTTCCTATAAATTTTATTTTGTGATTATCATCTGCTTATTTTTAACTTTACTCACTAAGTTTAGCCAATTTGTCACCCTATTTCCTAAATGACTTCATTTATCCCGCATTCACCACCACACTTGAATTCCCATCTCTTTACTTCTTACAGAGTAAACACCTAGCAATTCTGTTCTTATTCTTAGATCTTCTTCCCAGATGACCTATTTTTGAAGCCTCAGAGTTCTCACCTGTCTCAACATTTTCTTTCTTTCCAGGCCTTACTGTTTTGTTGTTGTTGTTGTTGTTGTTGTTGTTTTGAGACGGAGCCTCACTCTGTTGCCCAGGCTGGAGTGCAGTGGCAGCGATCTCGGCTCACTGCAAGCTCCACCTCTTGGGTTCACGCCATTCTCCTGCCTCAGCCTTCCGAGTAGCCGGAACTACAGGCGCCCGCCACCACGCCCGGCTAATTTTTTGTATTTTTAGTAGAGACGGGGTTTCACCGTGTTAGCCAGGATGGTCTCGATCTCCTGACCTCGTGATCCACCCGCCTCGGCCTCCCAAAGTGCTGGGATTACAGGCGTGAGCCACCGCGCCCGGCCAGGCCTTACTGTTTAGCCTTACTCTATTGAGCTAAATTTTCACCTCTATATGTATCCTATTTTTGCCCTTGCTAGAAAGTTAAGCCTCTTTTCAGGAGTTATACATGTCATAGTTTTTACAAAAATTAGATGCAACTTCTCCATAATGAATTCAAATTAGCTAGACTAAGCCATGACTGTTTTAAGACCTTTGAAGTCAAAAGGGCTGTCAAGATCTTGCTCCATTACCCAGGCTGGAGTGCGATGGCGCAGTCCTGGCTCACTACAGCCTCAACCTCCTGGGTTCAAGTAATTCTCCTGCCTAAACGAACAGCTGGGACTATAGGCGTGAGCCACCGCACCCAGCCAAAAATAACTTCTTCTAAATAGGTTAATATCTTTCCTGTTCATCTAGAGTTATATTCTAGAAATATGAGAAGTATTTTTGTGATATAAATCATCAGCTCCTACACAAAAGATTGGCAGTTCTTTCGTTCTTGGAACAAAAAAAATGCAGATAAGTCCTATGATAGATGTAAAGATAATAATAGAATTTATAAAATGGTACCAGCATGCAATAACCTAATAGTTCTCTTTCAAAACTCAAGCAACAGTTCCCAAGAAAGAAATTATCAAAAACTATCACAGGTCTCTGAAATCATTTTATGCTATATGTGAAACAATAATTAAATTCAGTAACATATTAATTTTACCTCCAAATTAAAATTTAGGTAACCATCAAATGATACATTAGTTCAACAAAAATTTCTTTTAGGCTTGGCACGGTGGCTCACGCCTGTAGTCCCAACACTTTGGGAGGCCAAAGTGGGAGGATCACTTGAGCCCAGGAGTTCAAGACCAGCCTGGGCAACACAGGGAGACCTTGTCTCCCTATGTTTTATTAGAGATAAAGTCCCCAATTAAAAAAATAAATAAATAAAAAGAAGACAAAGAAATAAACCATGCATGTCTGTTGCTCTTTCATAAGTGAAGCAGATTCCCCCCTCCCCATATCCAATGTATAAACCTTTAATTAGCAAATCCTACCTGCAAAAATTTATTTTAAAAATCCCTGGCCAGGCGCAGTGGCTCACACCTGTAATCCCAGCACTCTGGGAGGCTGAAGTGGGTGAATCACTTGAGGCCAGGAGTTCAAGACTAGCCTGGACAACATGGTGAAACCCTGTCTCTACTAAAAATACAAAAATTAACCAGGCGTGGTGAGACACACCTGTAATCCCAGCTACTCATGTGGCTGAGGCACAACAATCACTTGAATCTGGGAGGCAGAGGTTACAGTGAGCCAAGATCGTGCCTCTGCACTTCAGCCTGGGTAACAGAGTGAGACTGTCTCAAAAAGAAAAAATTTCTTTAAACTTTTCATAAAACTATTTCAACCTGGTAAGTGGACCCCCCAATTTGAATGTGAACCCAAAATTATACTTACTGAAAATGCCAAAATAAAGAATGGCAACTCTGGGTACAAAGTATATATCCACTGGTATGCCATAGGCCCCTGTATATATTCTATCATATGATGCTATACTCTAGTGAAAATGTCCCTTAGATGAGGGCAGGCACAGAAACAGATTTTCAATTCTTCTTTGAATGGAAAGCCTGCCACCTGGGTCACATGACCCGGCAAATCTGATGGTAATCGAAGGGTCTACAGCAGATAGTCATGCTTTATGGAGCCTTTGGAAGGCACCTGTAGGCAAATCACAGCACAGAACTTTAGGGTTTTTGGAGGAAAGTTATATCATCCTCTGCAGATAACTAACCTCCTTTTGAGAAAGTGCTTCTGGCTTTGACTGAACACTTGACCACAGGTCACTAAGTTTACCATATGAGCTACCCATTATTAACTGGGTGGTGTTGTCTGACTCATCAAGCCACAAAATTGGGTGTATATAGCAGCATTCCATCATTAAGAAAAATTGTAAGATAAGGGTTGTACAGGTCCTGCTGGCACACGTAAGTTGAAGAGGCAAGTGGTTCAAATTCCCATGGCCCCTACTCCTGCTAAATTGCCTCCTTCCTATCAACCTGCCTCTATAGACCCATGGGGAGTTCTCTATGACCAGTTGACCAAAGAAGAAAAAATATAGGCCAGGTTTAGAAATGGTTCTGCACAATATTCTGGTACCACACACAACTGAACAGCCACAGCACCAGAGCCCCACTCATGAGTGGCCCTGAAGGACTGTGGTGCAGAAAATATTCTCAGTGGGCAGACCTCTGAACATCACACCTAGCTGTTCATCTTACTTTAGAAGGACTGATGGCCAAAGATATGGATCTACACTGTTTCATGTGCAACAACTAATGGTTTGGCTAGATGGACAGGGAAAGGACCTCTGGAGAAAGGTATATGAATGGACCACTCCAAAACAGTTTCAGAGAGTAAAGATATTCAAGCTCCATATGAATGCTCACTGAAGAGAAATCTTGGCCAAGGACAATTTTAATAATCATTAGAAAAAGATGACCTGCCCTGTGGATGTTAGTTAGCCTCTTTCTCCAGGCACCCCTGTCTTTACCTGACGGCATCATGAACTACATGATTAGGTGTAAAGATAGTCTCCATAAATGGTGCTGGGAAAACTGGATAGCCCCATGCAAAAGAATGAAATTGGACTCCTTTTTTACACCATTCACAAAAATTAACTTGAACTGGATTAAATATTTAGATTAAAAGATTAAAGATTTTAGATTGAAAACTAAGACTCCTGGAAGAAAACACAGGGAAGACATTGGTCTCAGCAATTTTTTTTTTAATATATAAGGCACCAAAAGCACAGGCAACAAAAGCAAAAATAAACAAGTGGGACTATATCAAACTAAAAAGCTTCTGCACAGCAAAAGAAATGACAATAAAGAGACAACCTACAGAATTGGAGAAAATATTTGCAAACCATATATCTGATAACAGGTTAATATCCAAAAAATGTAAGAAACTCATATAATTCAATAGCAAAAGAACAAATGAGCCGATTAAAAAATGAGCAAAGAAAGGCCGGGCACAGGGGCTCACGCCTGTAATCCCCGCACTTTGGGAGCCAAGGCGGGTAGATCACCTGAGGTCGGAGTTCAAAACCAGCCCGACCAACATGTAGAAACCCCATCTCTACTAAAAATACAAAATTAGCTGGGCATGGTGGCACATGCCTGTAATCCCAGCTACTCAGGAGGGTGAGCCAGGAGAATCGCTTGAACCCAGGAGGCAGAGGTTGAGGTGAGCCGAGATCGCGCTATTGCACTCCAGCCTGGGCAACAAGAGTGAAACCCCATCTCAAAAAATAAATAAATAAAATAAGATAAAATAAATAAATAAAAATGGGCAAAGAAGCCGGGCATGGCAGCACGTGCCTGTAATACCAGCTACCTGGGAGGCTGAGGTAAGAGGACAGCTTGAGCCCAGGAGTTTGAGGCTGCAGTGAGCCATGATCATGCCACTGGACTTCAGCCTGGGTGACAGAGACCCTGTCTCAAAAAAAAAAAAGGGGAGTGGGGGGGCCAAGGACCTGAATATGTATTTTTATGTATTTTTTCAAAGATATACACATAGCCAACTGATATATGTAAAGGTGTTCAAATCACTAATCATCAGGAAAATCAAAACCACAATAAGATATCATCTCACATCTATTAGGATGGCTATTATCAAAAAGACAAAAGAAAACAAGCATTGGTGAGGATGTAGAATGCCCTATTGATGGGAATGTAAATTGGACAGCCATCACAGGAAACAGTAAGGACGTTTCTCAAAAAATTAAAAATAGAACTACCATATGATCCAAATTAAAAATAGAACTACCATATGATTTCCTCTGGGTATATACCCAAAGAAAACAAAATCAGTACCTCAAGGAGATATCTGCATTTTCATGTTCATTGCAGCATTATTCACAACAGCCAAGACATGAGAACAACGTTAAGTGTCCATTGACAGATGAATGGATAAAGAAAATGTGATATATATACACAATGCAATATTATTCAGCCATAAAAAGGACAAAATTCTGCCATTTGTGACAACATGGGTGGGCATGGAAGATACTGTGCTAAGTGAAATAAGCCAGACAGTGAAAGACAAATACTGTATGATCTCACTTACATGTGAGATCTAAAAAAGTTGAACTCATAGAAAAAGAGAGTACAATGATGGTTGCTACAGACTGGGAGGGGGGTGGGCAGGAATGGGATGATAGCAGTCAAAGGGTACAAACTTTCAATTATAGGATGAATAAGTTCTAGAAATCTAATATACAGCATGGTGACTACAGGTAATAATACTGTATGGTATACTTGAAATTTGCTAAGATAACAAATCTAAGTGTTCTCATCACATACACATAAATGGTAACTATGTGAGGTGGCAGATATGATATCAAATAACTTGATTGTGATAATCATTTCACAATGTAAACATAGAACTGGAAAACATAGTTATGGTAGCAAGGATGGAGGTGATCAGCGACATGGACTTACTCACCAAGGCTGATCTGTCTACAGCTAATGCTGAGTGCTCAATCTGCCAATAGTAGATAGCAACAGAGCCACTGATGTGGTCCCTGGACCACTTCCATCATAGAAAAGGTAGCACTTACTTCTCACTGGCATAGGCACTTGCTCTGAATATAAATTTGTCTTCCCTGCCTATAATGCTTCTGCCAAAGCCACCATGTGTGAACTTATGAGATGTCTTATTCACCATCATGGTATTTTACAGAGAAGCATTACTTCTGATCAGTGAACTTATTCTGCAGCAAATGAAATGCAGCTATAGGCTCAGGCTCATGGAATTCACTGATTTTACCATTTTCCCCATCACCCTGAAGCCACTGGGTGACAGAAACTGGAATGGGCTTTAGAAGTAATAGCACTAGCTGGCTGGCAACTCCTTGCAGGGCTGGGGCAATGTCCTCCAGGATGCTCCATGTGCTCTAAATCAGTGACTAATATATGGTATTGTTTCTCCCACAGCCAGAATTCACAAGTCTGGAAATTGAGGTAGAAATGAGAGTGGTTCCTTACTATTACCTCAATCATCTACTACATGAAATTTTTGCATTCTATCCCCACAACTTCGCTATTATGATCTAGAGGTCTTAGTTCCCAAGGGAGAAGTACTTCCATTAGAGAATGACAGTGGTTCCATTAAACTGGAGGTTGATACTGCAACACCTGGCCACTTTGGGTTCCCCTGCCAGTAAATCAAAGAGGGGACTGCTATACTGAATTGGATAACTAATCCTGACTCTCAAGAAAATGAGTTGCTACCACAACTAGGCTTGGGGATGATAAAGAGGAATATGCCTGGAATACACATCTCCTGAAGCTTCTCTTAGTATTCCCATGTACTGTTATAAAAGTTACTGGAAACTACCTCGACCCAAAACAGCCAGGGCTGCTAACGGCACAGACTTCAGGAATGAAAGTTTGAGCTACACCACCAAACTAGAAACCATGACCAGCTGAGATGCTTGCCAAAGGCAAAGAGAATATGAAATGCATAGTAGGGGAAGGAAATTATAAATATTGGCTATGGCCACATGACTAGTCACAGAAATGAGGGATGTTATCATCTGAGTATATCTTCTTTACTTTAAAATAATACATTTCTCCATACATTACCTAATTCTTTTTTTATTCCCATTGCTATAGATTGAATTGTGCCCCCCCCACCCCAATTCATATGTTGAAGTCCCAACCCTTAATGTGAACTGTATATGGAAACAGGGCCTTTAGGGAGGTAACTAAGGTTAAATGAGGTCATAAGGGTAGGGGCTAATCCAATAGGACTGGTGTCCTTATAAAAGGAAGAGACACCCAAGATCATGCGCTCTCTTTTCCGGCACACACAGACAAGAGGTCATGTGAGGACATAGTAAGAAGGCAGCCATTAACAAGCCAAAAGTCAACCCTACCAGCACCTTAATCTTGGACTTTTAGCCTCCAGAACTGTGGGCTTTTTAGGCCACCCAGTTTGTGCTATTTTGTTATGGAAGTCTGAGAAGACTAATACACTCATCTCTACCATTCCCACATTATCTAACACAGGGTTTCTCAACCTCAGTACTACTGACTTTGGGGGCTAGACATTTCTTTGTTTTGGAGGCCTATTCCCCACACTGAAGGATGTTTAGCAACATTCCTGGTATCTACCCACCAAATCCCAGTAGCTGTGTCCCTCCCCCATCCCAGTTGTGACAATCAAAAATGTCTCTAAACATTGCCAAATGTTCCCCGAGGAGTAAAATTGCCTCTAGTTGAGAACTACTAATCTAATATAAAATGCTTAAATAGTGGTTAACCTTATATCTTGGTATTTAAGTGACAGGATCTCAAAGGGGGAGTGTAACTCAGCTAGTAGAAATTAAACATAATCCAGGATGGATAAAGTAGACTGTTTTTTTTTTGTTTTTTTTTTTGAGAGTTAGTTAGCATGTCTTCAGTCCTATGAAGGACAGTTACACCTTGTTAGGTGGAAGCATACTTTTACTTCTGTCTTTATTTGGAAGCTAAATATCGTTATAAGGTTATAAGGGGCGTGGACAGATGTCAGGTTGACAAAGGGTGGACTGTAGGGGTTTGTACTGAGTCCATTTGGTTAAGCTAGGAACTATGCTTGACAGAATCCCCTTCTCTTCATGGTTCCAACTTAAACTTGGTCAAAACAGGAGATGCATATAATCTGGTGGCAGAGGGCCAGGCGTGGTAGCTCACACCTGTAATCCCAGCACTTTGGGAGGCCGAGGCGGGTGGATCATGAGGTCAGGAGATCGAGACCATCCTGGTTAACATGGTGAAACCCCGTCTCTACTAAAAATACAAAAAAATTAGCCAGGTGTGGTGGCGGGCGCCTGTCCCAGCTACTCGGGAGGCTGAGGCAGGAGAATGGTGTGCACCCGAGAGGCGGAGCTTGCAGTGAGCCAAGACTGCACCAATGGACTCCAGCCTGGGCGACACAGTGAGACTCCGTCTCAAAATAATAATAATAATAATAATAATAATAATAATAATAATAATAATAATAATAATCTGGTGGCAGAAGTAAATCAGCAGGTATTATTCTCTGAAGGTCATCCTAGTCCAATGAGGTGACAGACAGATACCCACTGTCCAGTGAATTCCAGCTCCGCATTCAGCTCTGTTTCCCAATTACTGATCCATCAACTCTCTTCTGAATCTATGCTTTCCCAGAAACTTCCACAATTGTGTAAGGTCTTATTCCTATAATAAATCCTATAGCACTCATTAATGACTCTGCTCCCTTGAGTACAACTTGATGCAGCGAACCTACAGGGAATCCACTGCTTCTATGCCATTCAGTGGTTCTTGCTTTAGGTCCATGTGAAGATGAATAAAAGCAGTCCATCTCCCTCTGGACAACCTGCATACTCCCTCTTCCGAAGTCTTCTGATTTATAGAGAGTTAATAAGTTAGTGGAGATCAGTAGATAGAGTGATAAAATATTAGTTTTGCCTTAAAATTAAACACTCCATATGCTTATAATCCTGTTCTTTGCCAGCAGAGCCACTTAATTAGGACATTCCCAAGTTGAAACCCTCCTTAGAATAAAAGCTGTTAAACTTCCCTAAAAGAAATTCTCTCAGAATTACATTAGACAAATGTCATTCAATAACTTAAAATACAGCCCTGTGGGTTAATTTAATTTTTAATAAAGGGGAGGGAAAGAAAGTAGCCAGCAGTTTTGCTTAAGAATCTTTACCTTTGTATTCTTTATAACAATTGGATATTGCATTCCTGAAAAAAAAGAATAAGTGAAAAATTTATTTTTAGCAAAAGGCCAACATTATTTGAAATATCATACTAGAAACAAACTTAAATAACCTTTTTCTGTCATTACTATGATTGCACCTTACAGTTCATTCTGAAACTTTTTACCAAATAACAATTAAACTAGTTCATACTTAACAACATATAAAACTCCAGCATGTTTTTAGCTTGATTTTAATTCACCTAATCTATGCTTATAAACCATATGCCACCTGACCTCCAATATAGACATAGCTATTCTCTGAACTATAATCCTGGAAACCGCAATGTAAAATGGATAATCATAAATCAGTATGTATTTTCCCACAGACTAAAGCTATGATATGAGAAACCTTGTCATCCAAGTGTTGGTTACTGGATTCCTTGCAGGTTCTATGTTGTTTAGAAAAGCAAGAGTTCTCACAACACAAAAACTTCTAATAAAAAATTGACCATTTTTAAAATTAGTTCCCACTCAGATACATGGGATCTCAAAGTTTTATAAAGCGTATGTAGAGCAGATAAATACAATCTACTTGTATCACAAATTTGGTTTATTATGCTACCTACCTAAAACAACCTTAATTATTTAACAATTTTGCTCATCATCTTAGAATTCAGAAAGACAGAATGATTCAGATGGCTTAGATCTCCTTAAAAACCTGTCAAGGAAGAAAGAACAGAACACTACTTTTTTTCTCCTTCAAATTTCTCAACAGCAAATAGAAGGCTCACAAATCTATCATTTGGACAAAAAAAATTAATGCCCTCAAAGCAAAACAAAACAAACTCTAAGTGAACTCTTAAACTGTGGGGGCTGGGCATGAGGTGGGGGGAGTTCCAAATGGCCAGGTCATTTTATGACCTTAGGCTGTCATTCTGACATTCTAAAACTTGGATGTGTCTAAGAATCACTAAAGGCTTATTACTAGGTGCTATTTCCAGACAGTCTGATTCAGTAAGTATGGGTGATGCTAACATTTGCATTTTGGGCCAAGCACAGTGGCTCATGCCTGTAATCCCAGCATTTTGGGAGGCCAAGGTGGGCAGGTTGTTTGAGCTTAGGGGTTCAAGACAAGCATGGACAACATAGTGAGACCTCAACTCTTTTTATTATTTAAAAAAAAAAAAAGAAGGAAGAAAGTAAAGAGGAAAAAGCATATTTAAAAAGATTGCTTCGATCCCTTTCATGGTTCTTGAAACATACAAGCAGGCTGAGCATGGTGGCTTACGCCTGTAACCCCAGAACTTTGGGAGGCCGAAGTGGGTGGATCACCTGAGGTCAGGAGTTTGAGACCAGCCTGACCAACATGATGAAATCCCATCTCTACCAAAAATACAAAATTAGCTGGGCATGGTGGTGCATGCCTGTAATCCCAGCTACTCAGGAGGCTGAGGCAGGGGAATTGCTTGAACCTGAGAGGCAGAGATTGGAGTGAGCCAAGATCGTGCCATTGCACTCCAGCCTGGGCAATAGGGTGAGACTCCGTCTCAAAAGAAAAAAAAAAAAAAAAGAAATATACAAGCAAAAGAGTTCTTTTGAAATTACTCCTTCGTGACCCTGACACCTCTCTAAGACTGAGCCACATGGGTCACTGCTTTTTTTTTTTTTTGAGACAGAGTCTCACTCTGTTGCCCAGGCTGGAGTGCAGTGCGCTGGTGCAATATCAGCTCACTACAGCCTCTGCCCACCGGATTCCAGCAATTCTCCTGCCTCAGCCTCCTGAGTAGCTGGGATTACAGGCACGTATCACCACACCCGGCTAATTTTTGTATTTTTAGTGGAGATGGGTTTTACCATGTTGGCCAAGCTGGTCTGGAACTCCTGACCTCAGGTGATCCGCCTGCCTTGGCTTCCCAAAGTGTGGGATTACAGGCGTGAGCCAACGCGCCTCCCAGGTCACTGCTTTATATAGACATATTTACAGCTATCAATAAAAAGGATCAGTTCAGTCCTGTACTCTTCACATAGACACCAGGTTTGCCAATTTTCCTACTGACTACGTTTGCCATTTAGAGATACAGAACCTGAATAGTTATACCGGTAAGCTGTACATCTGAGTCCCATAGGATTTTGCAAATTAAGAAAAAATTATTTTATTTAATTAAAAAAAAATTTTTATGTTTAGTAAAGATGGGGTCTCGCGATGTTGCCCAGGCTGGTCTTGAACTCCTGAGCTCAAGCGCTCCACCCACCTTGGCCTCCCAAAGTGCTCGGATTACAGGCGCGAGCCACTGCGCCCAGCCCTAAAAAAAAAATTTTTTTGAGACAAGGTCTCACTGTGTCGGCCTGGCTGCAGTGCAGTGATGCAATTATAGCTCACTGCAGCCTCAAACTCCTGTGCTCAAGCAATCCTCCTGCCTCAGCCTCCTAAGTAGCTGGAAGTACAGGTGTGTGCTACCATGCCCAGTGAACGTTTAAAAATTTTTTGTAGAGGCAGGGTCTCGCTATGTTGCCCAGGCTGGTCTTAAACTCCTGGCCTCAAGTGATCCTCCTTCCTTGGCCTCTCAAAGTACTTGTGCAAATTTTAACTTCACAATTAGATTTGCTGTCCAGACTTCTAAGGGAGAGAAAAAGGAAAAAAAAAATTCTCCAGAATGGTATGTGTTCCTTAGGAGTGGTAAAGTCTAGCACACTGGAAGACTAATTTACATGTTGATATATATAGACAAGCCAAAAAGGAGATGTCATGTCATGAAAATTTTTTTCTCTCCTTTCCAGCAGTATAATAAATTGTCATTCAAGCTGGGTGCAGTAGCTCGCTCCTGTAATCCCAGCACTTTGGGAGGCTGAGGCAGGAAGATCACCTGAGGTTAAGCGTTTAAGACCAGCCTGGCCAACACGGTGAAACCACGTCTCTACTAAAAATACAAAATTAGCCAGATGGGGTGGCACATGTTTGTAATCCCAGTTACTTGGGAGGCTGAGGCAGGAGAATCACCTAAACCCAGGAGGCAGAGTTTGCAGTGAGCCAAGATTATGCCACTGCACCCCAGCCGGGGCAACAAGAGTGAAACTCCATCTCAAAAAAAATAAAATAAATAAAATAAAAATAAATTATCATTCATAGTTATAAAATTCTGGTTTTATAGGAACTTTCAAAATTCTTCAGTTCATGGTTCTTTGTCCTTTTTTCAGTCTACTGGTTTATCTCTATTCCTGGTTGTTCAAACTAGTCTAATTGTAAGTCTGGAGCAATGGTTCTTAACCAGGAGTGATTCCTTCACCCCCAACTCTAAGAGAACATTTGCCAACATTTAGAGATACTTTTTATTTTTTTTGTGTGTGTGTGTGACGGAGTCTCGCTCTGTCACCCAGGCTGGAGTGCAGTGGCATGATCTCAGCTCACCGTAACCTCCACCTCCCGGGTTCAAGCTATTCTCCTGCCTCAGCCTCCTGAGTAGCTGGGACTACAGGCGTGAGCCACCATGCCCAGCTAAGTTTTTGTATTTTTAGTAGAGATGGGGTTTCACCATGTTGGCTAGGATGGTCTCTATCTCTTGACCTCATGATCCGCCCGCCTCGGCCTCCCAAAGTGCTGGGATTACAGGTGTGAGCCACTGCACCTAGCCTAGAGACATTTTTAATTGTCATCACTTGGGGGCGTGATGGTACCGGCATCTAGTGGACAGAAGCCAGGGATACTACAAAACATCCTACAGTGCACCGGATAGCCCCCTACGACAAAGAACGATCTGGCCCCAATATCAATAGTGTCAGGATTAAGAAACCCTTTCCTAGACCTCCCCTCTGCAATTACCTTGGTGTCCTACTTTCCTAGTCCAGCCTCTTAGCTTCCACCTTCCTGTTGTGCTTCATAGCCAGTCTTTTTCCTTCATTCTAACCACCAATTTCTGGAACTCTTCTGTCTTCATTAAACCAATGAAGCTTTCCACCTGACATCTTTGTTAATCTGAAATTCTTGCTCGTTATTCAGCTTGTGGGGAACATAGTGTGGGTCCAGTATAGTTCAGTAATTAACTATGTGGGCTTTAGGTACAGTCTATGAGTTGAAATCCAAACCCCACCACTCACTACTTGTACAACCATGGCCAAGTTTCTTACTCTCTCTGTGCCTGTTTTCTCACCCTAAAAAAATGTGAGTAATAATGGTACCCTGCCACGGAGAATTGTAAAAGTCAAATGAGTTAATACTTGGAAAGGACCAAGTGCTTAATAAATGTTAGCTATTGGCCAGGCACAGTGGCTCACGCCCGTAATTCTAGCACTTTGGGAGGTCAAGTGGGCAGATCACTTGAGTCCAGGAGTTCGAGAGCAGCATAAGGAACATGGTGGAACCCCATCTCTACAAAAAATACAAAAATTGGGACGGGCACGGTGGCTCACACCTGTAATCCTAGCACTTTGGGAGGCCAAGGAGGGAAAATCACTTGAGCTCGGGAGTTCGATACCAGCCTGGGCAACACAGTGAGACCTTGTCTCTATAAAAATTAAAATTAAAAAAAAAAAGAAAAATACAAAAATTAGCTGGGTGTGGTGGCAAGCACCTATAGTTTCAGCTACTTGGGCGGCTCAGGTGGGAGGATCACTTGAGCCTGGGAGGTGAAGGTTACAGTGAGCCGGGATTGTGCCACTGCACTCCAGCCTAGGCAACAGAGCAAGACCCTGCCCCAAGGGGAAAAAAAAAATGCATTTTTAACAAGCATTGTCAAGAGATTCTGACTGTAATCTACAGGGTAGGGAAGTGTTTGGAGACAAATTTTCCATAAACAGCCTTGGCAGTTCAGATTTTAGCACCAGTCAGAAGTGTCGGACCACCGCCTGGTTCTACCAGCACAAGACCCTCCAGGAGTCCCAGTTCTCTCACATTCAGTCTGCACCTTCTGTACCTACCTCTGGTTCTGCACCATACTCTAGCCTAGCTCCATGTGGCCCTCCCACCAGCACTACCCCCTAAAATATCCCAATTAAAAAAAAAATCAATATAAGTACAGCTGTTCCTTAGTATCCAAGGAGGATTGGTTCCAGGAACCCCACAAATACCAAAATTCAAGGATACTTAAGTCCCTCATATAAAATGCATATAACATTTGCACATAACCTATGCACATACGCTGGATATTTTAGATAATTTCTAGATTACTTATAACACCGAATGCAATGTAAATGCTATTTTTTTGTTATACTATCTTTTTTATTTGTATTATGTATTATTCTACTATTATTTTTTATTGTTTTTTTTCCCAAATATTTTTCATCCTCAGTTGGTTAAAACCACAGATGCAAAACCCATGGATATGGAGGGCTGACTATATTCAATAGAAAAGACAAGGATGGCTTACCATCTATACTTCTTGAAGGACTTTCTTTAGCCATTTCAATACCTTTTACTTCAAAATTGGTCAAGACAGAGCCACCTGCTTCTTGGAAATCCTGGGCAAATGACAAAGCCACCTGCCGATAGTCCACAATGCCAGTATGTGGACAATCAATAGCCATTAGACCCTGAAACAGAATTATGAAAAGATAACAGATAAGAGAAATAATACTTGCTAAATAACAAAATCTCTATAATCAAGAAACAATTTTGTCCTTTAGAGGAGTTGATTTTGCCAAGCTTTTCTTGCTGCTACAATGAGTTTTTCTTTTCCATTTATTATCCCTCACCATACCTGATTCTGATTTGATTCATATCTGATTCTGAGTTGAATTACGTATCATCAAACAATTATGTTTTAAATAAGCTCTAGTGAGATTTTTCCCAGTAGTATATACTATGTTGTCCATACTTAGTAAGAACTCAAGAGTTGTTCTAGCTACTCACAATGTTTCCAGAGCATTGCTTTGACTTGCTGCCCAGACCCTATCTTTGAGACTACAAATATGGAATGGAGATTTTATGTGGTTAACTCAAACTTTTTCTTCAGGTAATACAAGAAATTAATAGCCTGGATTTTTTTGTTTGTTTCTGTTTTTGTCCCTAAAGACATGTCCAAATCAATGTTCATCAATCTGTAGATGAATGACCTATATAACACATGCTTATTTTATTTTTTTAGAATAAATGTTGAACGTGTCATTGGCCGTTTCTAATTCTAAAGAAAAGGATAAGAGGAGAATTTCACACACTAAGTACTGACTACATTTTGGTGATCATTGTTAATAGCACCATTTTCTGTTGCCTTTTTTTGTATATATCAGTTCTCCCAATCAATTTCCCCAAGAGGGTAGCCTGGTATCCAGGATAACATCCAGACGGTGAGTGCTATTAATAAATTCTGCCATCCTCTCATTTGGCCAGCACAGCATTATTGTTGTGGTGGTTTTAAAATAATATCTGATATAATACTATTGTAAAGATCTCACTCTTGTATTCACCACCTGACCATCACCCCAACATATTCCCCTGCTTGGCCCTTAGAAGATTTTCATTTTGCGGCCGGGCGCAGTGGCTCACGCCTATAATCCCAGCACTTTGGGAGGCTGAGGCAGGCGGATCACAAGGTCAGGAGTTCGAGACCAGCCTGGCCAATTATGGTGAAACCTCATCTCTACTAAAAATACAAAAATTAGCCGAACGTGGTGGCGGGCACCTGTAGACCCAGCTACTCAGAAGGCTGAGGCAGGAGAATTGCTTGAACCCCAGAGGCGGAGGTTGCAGTGAGCCGAGATGATGCCACTGCGCTCCAGCCTGGGCAACAGAGTGAGACTTCGTCTTTAAAAAAAGATTTTCTCTTTGCTATCCCACTGGGACCAATGTTTTCTAATGACCAGGTCACACTGAGGGTAAAGACTCCCAAAACATCAACAGTCTCTTTTTTAACAAATTGAAAGCAATGTTTGGCAAACTTCATCATTTTCCTGACAGTCTCATTTCTAGAATATAAGAGTATTTGCCAAGCATAGGAAATCATTCCTTCTGTTTTGATACAGTCAGTAAACATAAGACCTAGTCATTGACTAAATTCACATGCCAGTAACTCAACTTCAATCTATAAACAATATTTTGGGTACAATAATCTTAGAAGCTCACTTAGGATAATACCAAGAGATTAGTCCATGAAAACTTCCTTACCTACCATAAAATTATGTGACAAGTATAACAGAGGGATAAAAACATTCTGTAAAAGTGCTTAATTCTCAATCAATAGTTTTTTGCAATTCCAAATAGCTTCCTTATTCATCTTATGCTCCTATTACCCAGCACAACGTCTGACACACTGAAGACACTCAAACATTTACTGAAGGATTGAATTTGAGGGCTGTGTTTAAACATAGAGGATCCCCTTTACTCCATTCCAGACCTTCCCTAGAAGGTGTCTCTTCTTTTCTTTCTCTTTCTAGTCTTGGCCTTTCCTCTCCTCCTAAGATGCTGGTGTGCCCCACCTATACATGTGTGTTGTAGAAAGGTGAAAAGAGTCATCATCACCATGCAATCCAATGCTCTGGCCTGGGACTAGCTGCAAAGGTAGAGGCTGCCAAGTTGGGGTGGTGTTGGTAGACAGGCTGGCTGTGTCTGTCACCCAGGAGGTTGGGCATGAACTGTCCAGGTCAGCAGGTCAGAGACTGAAATCTGAGGCCTTGGCAGATCAGAACCAGGCAAGAACCAGACAAGCAGGACAGGGAAAATTGAGAGTAGATCTCAAGTCAGGATACAGAGGAACAGATGAACATGTGATTGACCAATAGTGCTAACAAAATGGCAAAAGCAGACCAGAGGGCAGAGTAGCAGTGAGGATTTGCCCAGAGAGGGAGCAGTCAAGAGTTACCTTCGGCTACTCTGGGCATACCGCTTATGGGGTAGCCCTGCTCTGCAAGAAGTACTTTAAAAAAAAATAAAAAGAGTTATCCTCCCAAGTCAAAGTTTACAGAGGCAGTTTAAAATTTTCCAAGGGCCTCTCCCCGATGATACTTGGTTTTCTTAAAGGGACTTGGTCTAAGAAGCTCTTTAGAGCTGCCTTGGTAAACTTCTTTCTGGGTGGCCTGGAAAAAAAACAAGTGACCCCGTACAATGGGCATTTTACCCAATATTCCTATAGCAGTGGTAAGGTTGGCAGGGAAGGAAGGACTTTATTCAAAACATCTTTAGAAAATAACCAAACTACATGTTCTACTATATATTGCCATCCCTAAATATATGAAACACTAATGATTACAACTTGGAATCATATAAAGTATATATCACTTCTGTGGAGGCCTCAGAGAGAAGCAGAATATGCCTCTTTTGTAAGTTATTTTACTCATTCATCTTTCAAGTGGGGGTTTGTCTCTGAGGCTTTCTTAAACAATTGTACTAAGCTAAAAGCATTCCCTTAACATTGGTATAAGAGAGAGTACCAGCTCTATCAGAATACTTATCACTATATCTTCTTTTACACTATAACCTCCTTCAGGTTGACAGCCATGCCTTATTCATCTTCTTATCTATCTACAGTGCCTAACATAGTGTGTGGCACATAGTAATCAAAAAACCTTTGGTTGAACCAAACAGAAAAAATACCAGTTCTGAGTCAGATCTTGAGGTGGGCAACTCTTTGGGAGCTGTGTGACCCTGGGAAAGTAAAGTTTCTTCATTTATAAGACACAAAAATATGTGTAATACATATAATTTCATTACCTATGCACACATATCTCACTGACCTCATTCCAAGGACCTGTGATGGTCACCTCATCAGGTACAGAGAACAATATCCAGACTCATCCATAACTTTTACAACATCTGAAAAGTTTTGTTTTTTTCAGTAATGCATAATATAAAAAATCATGGGTTCCTGTTCCGATTTTTTCTCTTTAAAGCCTTAACAAGGATACACAACAGGCAACAATCAGATAGACCAATTCTCCAAATTTCAGTACCATTAGGATACCAGTAATCCTGTTTTTCAAACTCTACAATTAAATTATTTTCATGACCAAATCTATAATGGGGCCAGCAGCTCAGATGTACTTTTTTTTTTTGATATGCATCTTACATTTGAAAGACTTTTCATGAGCAAATAAAAATTAAAAGGTTTTAAAAATTGGCATGTCCTTTTGAAGGAGGTTATCAATTCTTTCATTCTTCAAGGTAATACTTGATAGGAGCACATCAATGAAAGTTTTTTTTTAAATTTTTGAAACTTTTATTTTTAGTTGACACATAATTATATTTTTATTTTTTTCCTTTTTTTTTTTTTTTTTTTTTTTTGAGACAGAGTCTCACTCTGTTGCCCATGCTGGAGTGCAGTGGTGCGATCTTGGCTCACTGCAACCTCTGCCTCCCAGGTTCAAGCGATTCTCCTGCCTCAGCCTCCCAAGTAGCTGGGACTACAGGCACCCAAAAACACGCCTGGCTATTTTTTGTATTTTTAGTAGAGACGGGGTTTAACCGTGTTTGCCAGGCTGATCTCGAATTCCTGACCTCAAATGATCCACCCACCTCAGCCTCCCAAAGTACTGGGATTATAGGCATGAGCCACCATGCCCAGCCAATAGTTGTATATATTTATGGAACACAGTGATATTTCAGTATGTGTCTACAATGTGTAATGATCAAATCAGGGTAATTAGTATATCAATCACCTCAAACATTTATAATTTCTTTGTGTTGTAAAAATTCAAAATCCTTTTTTCTGGGTTTTTGAAAATATGTGAGATTCTGATATATTAGTTTCACAATTGAATTCCATCAAAATCATATAAAGCTATGAAACAGCAATAGATTTAGTCTATTTTCGGGAAGGACATGTTTAATAACGTGTATAGGAAGCTGTTGTTTTGCATTGAGCTTCTGTATTAGACCTCTACAGACCAAACCAAAATGGAGTCTCTCATGCTAAAATCCTCCTCACCAGATGGAAACCAAATTGTTTATATGACCTTCTAAGAAATCACAAGAGATAACTAACAGCCAAGTTCACAAACAGGCTGGTTTTAGCCAGCTTGATAAGGAAGTCTTCTCTGGTTTTTTTGGAGTCCAATGGCGCGATCTCAGCTCACCAAAACCTCTGCCTCCCTGGTTCAAGCGATTCTCCTGCCTCAGCTTCCTGAGTAGCTGGGATTACAGGCATGCGCCACCATGCCCGGCTAATTCTTGTATTTTTAGTAGAGATGGGGTTTCACCATATTGGTCAGGCCGATCTCGAACTCCTGACCTCAGATGATCCGCCTACCTCGGCCTCCCAAAGTGCTGGGATTACAGGCGTGAGCCACTGTGCCTGGCCTCTGTTTTAACCTTATAGGAAAGTAACTTTGAAACAACCAATCTGCTTTTTGTTCTCTGTTTCTGCTTTCTTCAACCCTTTTCTGTCTATAAAGCCAACCTCCTCTGGTCAGCTCATCAGAGTGCCTTTTCTAAATCTTTGAATGAGATGCTCCTTAATTCATGAATCACTAAAAGAGCTAATTTGGTCTTTAAATCTGTTGTAATTTTGTCTTTTAACACACTCAATAGTTTTGTAATGCACTGTATAGATAAGAAACAGAAAGTGGGTTTAATCTAAATTTTTTAAGTAGACTCCTTTTTAAGAGCAGTTTTAAATTCATAGAAAAATTGAGCAAAAAGTTCAGAGATTTCCCATATATTCTCTGCTCCCACATATATAACAGCCTCCTAATTTCTTAATTTTAATACTAGCATTTTTTTTCCTTGAAGCATAACATCAGTCTAAACAACCAGCCCTTATATCAGTTATTCACAACCCTAGTTTTATAATATGCTAGGATCTCTATTGTTTTAAAATAGGCTATCTCACTCTAAAAAAGACTGATATGCCTTAAAGAAAATAAACAGAATAAAATAATAAATTAAATGTAACACATCAGGAAAAGGGGAAATACAAACAGGGGGAAGAATACACATAACTAAATATTCTTAATTATCTTAACAGGGTAATCTATTATCCTGTTTCTTATCTACACAGTGCGTTACAAAACCATTGAGTGTGTTAAAAGACAAAATTATAACAAATTTAGTTTAAAGATCTAATTAGCTTTATTAGAAATTCATGATTCAGGGAGCACCTCATTCATAGATTTAGAAAGAGCACTCTAATGAGCTGACCAGAGGAGGCTGGCTTTATAGGCAGAAAAAAGCTAAAGAAAGCAGAAATGAAAAGTCCCCAAATATTTCAAACAAAACCAATTTGAATTTACTAGGATTGTTCAAAAAAGCATATAATAATATATACCATTTCTTAAGGGATTAACGTTTAGCCGAATGCCTTATACATAGTATTTCATTTAATTCTCAAAACAATCTCCATTTTACAAATGAGTCTGAGGATTAGAAAGATTATAACCCACTCAATGTTAATAGCCATTAAAGAGGCAGATGTGAGAATGGAGCTTATGTCTGTCTGACTTATCAACAGCTACATTATACTGCTCACCTTATGCTAGATGCAAGTTAATTTCAAAAAGTTGAAGGATACAGCAAGATAAAGTAAAGGATAATATGTCAAAACTCCCTTAAGTCGGCCAGGCGCAGTGGCTCACGCCTGTAATCCTAGCACTTTGGGAGGCTGAGGCGGGCGGATCACGAGGTCAGGAGATCAAGACCATCCTGGCTAACAAGGTGAAACCCTGTCTCTACTAAAAATACAAAAAAAATTAGCCAGGTGTGGTGGTGGGCGCCTGTAGTCCCAGTTACTCTGGAGGCTGAGGCAGGAGAATGGCGTGAACCCAAGAGTTGGAGCTTGCAGTGAGTCGAGATCACGCCACTGCACTCCAGCCTGGGTGACAGAGTGAGACTCCGTCTCATAAAAAAAAACAAAAACAAACAAACAAAAAAAACTCCCTTAAGACTGAGAATTATTGGAATCAGATAATTCAAAAATAACAATAAGTGGCTTTGGTTCTCCTCTCCCCACGTCCAGTTCCATCTTACATATTCAAATTTGATTAAATTTCCTAAATTAGTACCTTTTGCCTGTCAGCATTCTGCTCAAGTCCTTCGGTAGCTATCTGCTATTTAGATCAAGGGTAGGCAACCTTTTTTATAAGAGACAGATGGCAAATATTTTTGACTATCTAGGCTTATGATCTCTGTTGCAACTACTCAATGAGGCTGTTTGGCGTTAAAACAGCTACAGACAATACATAACTGAATATTTGCGGTTGTATTTCAATAAAACTTTACGGACACTGAAATTTGAATTTCATATATTTTTTTTTGAGATGGAGTCTCTCTCTGTTGCCCAGGCTTGAGTGCAGTGGCACAATCTCCACTCACTGCAACCTCCGCCTCCCGGGTTCAAGCAATTCTCCTGCCTCAGCCTCCCAAGTGGCTGGGACTACAGGCACACGCCACCACGCCTGGCTGAATTTCATATAATTTTAATTCATCACAAAATAATGTTCTTCTTTTAATTTTTTTAACACACTTAAAATGTAAAAAACATTTTTAGCATGGCCGGGCACGGTGGCTCACGCCTATAATCCCAGCACTTTGGGAGGCCGAGGTGGGCGGATCACAAGGTCAGGAGTTTGAGACCAGCCTGGCCAATATGGTGAAACCCTGTTTCTACTAAAAATACAAAAATTAGCCAGGCATGGTGACATGTGCCTGTAATCCCAGCCACTTGGGAGCCTGAGGCAGGAGAATCGCTGAACCCAGGGAGACGGAGGTTGCAGTGAGCCGAAATTGTGCCACTGCACTCCAGCTTGGGGGACAGACTGAGACTCCGTCTCAAAAAAAAAAAAAAAAAAAAAAAAAAACAAACAAAAAACATTTTTAGTTTTCAGGCCATACAAAAACAGGTGGCAGGATGAATTTGGCCCACAGGACAGAATTTGCCAAGACTTTGACCATTTAGAATTTGCTCAGAGTATGAAATAAGCAGGTGGCCAAAATAAGATGGTCAATGAAAATATTCTACTTAAAAAAATCAGTCACTAATTCACTATCTCAGAGAGATAAGAAATATTTGAGGAGAGAAATGGGAAGTAACAAGACCTAGTGTATCCCACAAGCAAAATAGTTTGATTATCCTGACTGGGTGCCAGGAAAGGAATAGGTGGCTTGCTGGAGACGAAGATGCTATAACCTCTGCAGGAAGAACTCATTCAACACTATTTAGACTCCTGGATACCAGCAGCGTCTTAGGAGCTTTACATGAATTCAGAAAATCTTGCATATTTTGACCCAACTTTAACTTTACAACTAGAGATAAAGGGAAAAAATACATTTTTTTTCCTTCAAGCTTTTATTTTTCCTGGACTTGAAAAAATACATTTCTATCTTGTCTTTTTGCAGAAAGGATGAAGCAGCTTGTAAAAATAAACAAAAAACACATATAAAACTATACAAACTAGGATTAAACATTGGATCAACCAAGTATATGAATTAGAAAAGAAGAAATAAATAGTTATTATTTGCAGATAAAATGTCTGGGTATAAAAAGTCCAAAAGAATTTCTAGACAAATTATTTAGAACCAATACACGAATTTAACTAGAAAGTTGGATACAAGGTCAGAAATCAATTATATTTCCACATACCTGCAACAAACAAATAAAAAGTGAATTTTAAATAACAATACTATTAATGAGAGTATCAGAAAACATCAAATACAAATTCTTTGTAGATAATAAATATAAGAGACATGCCATGCAAGACTTCCATACTGAAAATTAAAATACATTATGTAATAAATTAAAACAGATCCAGACAAAGGGAGGGATATATGAAGTTCAAGGATTGGAAGACTCCACACTACAAAGATGTAAATTGTCTCCACACAGACATACAGATTCATTGCAATCTCAGTCAAAATCATAACAGGTTATCTTGTGGAGTTTAGCAAATTAACTCCAAAATTTATGTAGAAATGTAAAGATCCAAGAGTAGCCAAGATAATGTTGAAGAAAAAAACGGAAGGCCTTACTCTACCAGATATTCAGGCCTATTAAAAAGCTACTATAGGGCCAGGCGCTCACGCCTGTAATCCCAGAACTTTGGGAGGCCGAGGCTGGAGGATCACCTGAGGTCGGGAGTTCAAGACCAGCCTGACCAACGTGGAGAAACCCTGTCTATACGAAAAATACAAAATTAGCCGAGCATGGTGGCGCATGTCTGTAATCCCAGCTACTCGGGAGGCTGAGGCAGGAGAATCACTTGAACCCGGGAGGCAGAGGTTGCGGTGAGCTGAGATTGCGCCATTGCACTCCATCCTGGCAACAAGAGTGAAACTCCATCTCAAAATAAATAAATAAATAAAAATACAAAAGTTAGCCAGGTGTGGTGGCGGGTGCCTGTAATCCCAGCTACTAGAGAGGCCGAGGCAGGAGAATTGCTTGAACCCAGGAGATGGAGGTTGCAGTAAGCCGAGATGGTGGCACTGCACTTCAGCCTGGGTGACAAAGAGAGACTGCATCTCAAAAAAAAAAACAAAACTACTATAGTCCAAGCTACTATAGCTCATGCTTGTATTCCTTGCACTTTGGGAGGCCAAAACAGGTGGATCACTTGAGCCCAGGAGTTCGAGACCAGCCTAGGCAATATGGTGAGACTCTGTCTCTTCAAACATTTTAAAATTAGCTGGTCATGGGGAGCTGTGATCACGTCACTGCACTCTAGCCTGGGTGACAGAGTAAGAACCCATTTAAAAAAAAATGGCTATTATAATTAAACATTATGGTAGTAGCACAGAAGAGGCAATGGAACAGAATGGAGTCCAGACATAGACCCGCCACATACCTGATATCATAAAGGCAATACTGCAGCACAGTGGGAAAATAATGGTTTTTTGATAAGTGATGCTGACACAACTGGATATCTGTTTGGGGAAAAAATACACCTTGACCCCTAACTTATACCATATATAAAAATCAATTCCAAATGGACTGTAGATCTAAATGTGAAATGTAAAACAATAAAACTTTTAGAAAAACACATAGAATATCTTCTAGACCCTGGGCTAGGCAAAGATTTCTTTTTTTTTCTATTTTATTTTATTTTTCTTACCAAGTCTTTGAATGCATCCAGAAAATTTAACTAGAGCACAAAAAACACTAACCATAAAAAAACAAACATATGCATAAATTGATAACATTAAGAATTTCTGTTAATCTGAAGACAATATTAAGAAAGTGAAATGCTGCAATCCCAGCACTTTGGGAGGTCGAGGCAGGAGGATCAAACTCATGCCAGCCTTATCCGCCTATCGTATAGATCAGACACTACAGCTGCCCTCCTCCAAAAATGTTCAATGGCTCCCCGTGCCTACTGGATAAACTTCAATGTTATTAACATGAATGCCAAACCCTTTATGTGGGCCTAACCCTGCCTTTTCAGTCTCATCTCTTATATTTCCCTACATACCCAATGCTCCCAACCACACCTCACTGCTCAGTGTTTTCCAAACATGCCATGTGGTCTCAGGCCTCCTCTTGTCTTCATGTTGGTCAGACCTGGTATTTTCTCACAGAGAAAGAAATCAGGTGTCCAGAGTTTGTGACAATGCCCTCTTGTGTCTGTCACTTCACTACTTCTGTGACAGGATTATCTAACTGATTTTATATTATTCCTGCCTCCTATACACTCACCCTCAGCCTCCATGTCTCAGGACTAAGCCCTAAATAAAAACATCCCTTTGTTAATCACTTACCCTACAATATGGCTCCTTCTTTTTTATATCCTCCTGCTGGATCAGCCTCAGGCCCGGGACACCATTCTGGAGGCCTTTCTCATATAGGGCCTGAAGTCTGGGAATTTCTTCTTGTTCAACAGCTACTATAAGCTTCAAAAAAAAAAAGGTAAGGAGCATGGATAGAGGTGAATGTATCATCAGCGATGAAAGATAAAGTCAATGGAAAATCATCAACTATTGTATGACCCAAAGGAGGTTAATTTTTTAAAATTATTTTTTCTTCACATATCTAATTCTTCCTTTCTTCATGACTATTTTCTTCCTCCACCAAGAAAAGTTGTCTTAAGAAAATGTTATTAAAACAAATTTTCCCTAAAAATGAAATGTAGCTTCAATTTCCACTTCTGTTATCATAGTCTCTATGTGCATCTTGGCCATAAGCAACTCATCACTACCACATTCTCAAACCCAGAAAGGAGAGAAGCATAAGTTGCTTGGACTTTACTTTTTTTCCCCCCCAAAACAGAATGGCCTTCTTATTTCTTCAGGAAAATGTAAAATATCAGCACATCAGAAAGACAACTGGTACTGAATGTGATGGAACATAACTGACAAAACAATCCCTTTTATTTTTGGAATATATTATAAAGTATTTACAAAACATTCTGTTGCAGGGGGAAAACAGTCAATTCATCAACTTATTTATTTCTTTTCTATTTATTTATGGGAAAAATATCTGAGGTACAGTTTCTTCTTTACTTAAAGAAAGGGGCAAAGGAAAACACAGGTGCATATTCGAAGGTATATTAGAATTCACAAGTCATTATTTCATACCAAAGAGGCAACAGAATTTCATGAGGTGACACTTTTAATCAAGGTATAAAGGCTATTTAAATCAATAAATAATTAACCTTAAAAACAGAAGTGGAATCAAAGGACTCTATCAAGTAAGTGAAAAGACAACCCACACAATGAGAAAAAATATTTGCAAGTCACGTAGCTGATAAAGGTCTAGTATTTAGAATATGTAAAGAATTCTTACAACTCATAATAAAAACTGTAACTAGACTTTTATATCTTGCCTTTTTCACTTATGTCAGGCCCATTTTACTGAATTGTTTTTTAAAATGTGGCCATGCACAGGGGCTCATGTCTATAATCCAAGCTACTTCAAAGGCTGAGGCAAGAAGACCACTTGAGCCCAGGAGTTCAAGGCTGCAGTGAGCTGTGATTGTGCCACTGCACTCCAGCCTAGGCAACAGGACAAGACCCTGTCTCTTAAAAAAATTTGTATCTATTTTTAAAATTTCTATTTATTTATTTATTTGAGACAAGGTCTCACTCCCATTGCCCAGGCTATAGTGCAGTGGCCCAGTCATGACTCCCTGCAGCCTCGACTTCCCGAGCTCAGGTGATTCTCCCACCTCGGCCTCCCTAGAAGCTGGGACTACAGGCATGTGCACCACACTCGGCTAATTTTTTTTTTTTTTTTTTTTTTTTTTTTTAGTAGAGACAGCGTTTTACCACATTGCCCAGACTGGTCTCAAACTCCTGGGCTCAAGCAATCTACCCACCTCGGCCTCCCAAAGTGCTAGGATTACAGGCATAAGCCACTGAGTCCAGCCCTACAATTTTTTTTTCATAGCATCTTTTTTTTTTTTTTTTTAATTTCGCTCTTGTCACCCAGGCTGGAGTGCAATGGCAGGATCTCGTCTCACTGCAACCTCTGCGTCCCAGGTTCAAACGATTCTCCTGCCTCAGCCTCCCAAGTAGCTGAGATTACAGACGCCTGCCACCATGCCCAGCTAATTTTTGTGTTTTCAGTAGAAATGGGGTTTCACCATGTTGGACAGGCTGGTCTCGAACTCCTGACCTCAGGTGGTCCATCCACTTCGGCCTCCCAAAGTGCTGGGATTACAGGCGTGAGCCACCACACCCAGCCTCATAGCAACTTTAATGGTGACAATGAGCTTTTATTCTTAAAAATTATAAGGGCCAGGCACGGTGGCTCATGCCTGTAATCCTAGCACTCTGGGAAGCTGAGGCTGGTGGATTGCTTGAGCTCAGGAGTTCGAGAACAGCCTGGGCAACATAGCAAAACCTGTCCCTACAAAAAAATACAAAAAAATTAGCTGAGTGTGGTGGTGTGCACCTGTAGTCCCAGCTACTAGTGGGCTGAGGTGGGAGGATCACTTGAGCTCAGGAGGTCAAGGCTACAGAGAGCCGAGATTGCACCACTGCACTCCATCCTGGGTGACAAAGTGAGACCCTGTCTCAAAAAAAAAAAAAAAAAAAAAAAAACTTATATGAAGGACATGACTACCAACACTGCAGAAATAAAAGGACTTATAAAAGAATACTATGAACAACTGTATGGCAACGAATTAGAAAATCTAGATGAACAAATTATTAGAAAGACACAAACTTCTGAAACGGATTTGAGAAGAAAAACTTAATAAACCTATAACACATGAAGTGATTGAAAACTTCCCACATTAAAAAAAAAAAAAAAAGCCCAGGCCCAGAGGCTTTATTCATGAATGCTACCAGATGTTAAAAAAAAAAGTAATACTAATTCTTCATAAACTGTTCCAAAAAACAGAAGAGTAAGAATCACTTCCCAACTAATTCTGTGAGGCCAATATTAGTTTGATACTAAAACCAGTGCTCTGGTTTCTCTTCAGAAAGAAAAAATATTTTGCCTTTTACCAAAACCAGATATCGTAAGAAATTGCAAACCAATATCCCTTAAAAATATTAATGCAAAACCCTGAACAAAATACTAATAAACTGAATGCAGCAACATATAGAGAGGATTTTACACCATGACCAAGAGGGATTTATCACAGGAATGTAAAATCAATTTAACATCCAAAAATGTATTAATACACTACATTAATAGAATAAAGGATAAAAACCACATGATCACCTTGATAGAAGCAGAAAAGGCATTTGAGAAAATTCAACACCTTTTCATGATAGAAAACATTCAACAAACTAGGAATAGAAAGGAACTTCCTTAATCTGATAAAGGGAATCCACAGCTAACATCATACTTAAGGGTAAAAGATTGAATGCTTTCTCTATTAGATCAAGAACAATTCAAGAAGGTCCACTTTTACTACTTCTGTTCAACACAGTATTGGAGCTTCCACCCATGGAAATCAGGCAAGCAGAATAAGTAGTTAAAAGACATCTAAATTGGAAAAGAAGTAAAACTAACTTATTTGCAGATGACATGATCCTGCATATAGTAAAGCCTAAGGAATTCATAGACACACACACACACATACACACACAATTAGAACAAAATGAGTTCAGAAAGGTCACTGGATTAAAAAAAATCAACATACAGAAATCAATCATATTCTATGCATTAGCAATGAATTATAAAAAATGAAAGTAGGAAAACAATTCTCCTCACAAAAGCATCACAAAGAATAAACTACTGAGCACTACAGACCAAATGGACCTAACAGATATTTACAGAGAGTTTCATCCAACAGCTACAGAATATATATTCTTCTCCCCAGCACATGGATCATTCTCAAGGATAGACCAATATGTTGGGCCACAAAACAGGTCTTTAAAATTTTTTTTAAATGAAATTATATCAAGTATATTCTCTGACCACAATGGAATGAAACTAGAAATCAATAACAAGAGGAATTTTGGAAACTATACAAACACACAGAAATTAAACAATATGCCTCTGGCCAGGCATAGTGGTTCACACCTGTAATTTCAACACTTTGGGTGGCCAAGGTGAGAGGATCACTTGAGCACTTGAGCCCAGGAGTTTGAGACCAACTTGAGCAACGGAGGGAGATCCTAACTCAAAAAAAAAAACCAAAACGAACAACAACAACAAAATGACTGGGCATGGTGGCTCATGCCTGTAATCCCAGCAATTTGGGTGGGTAGATCACTTGAAGTCAGGAGTTTAAGACCAGCCTAGTTAACATAGTGAAACCACATCTCTACTAAAAATACAAAAATTAGCCAGGCATGGTGGCGTGAGCCTGTAGTCCCAGCGACTTGGGAGGCTGAGGCTGGAGAATTGCTTGAACCCAGGAGGTGGAGGTTGCAGTGAGCTGAGATGGCACCATTGCACTCCAGGCTGGGTAACAGCAAGACTCTGTCTCAAAAAAAAAAAAAGAAAAATTAGCCAGGCATGGTGGTGCACCTGTGATCCCCATTACTCCAGAGGTTGAGGTGGGAGGACTTTTTTTTTTTGAGACAGAGTTTCGCTCTTGTTGCCCAGGCTGGAGTGCAATGGCGCGATCTCAGCTCACTACAACCTCTGCCTCCCAGGTTCTAGCAACTAACCTGCCTCAGCCTCCCAAGTAGCTGGGATTACAGGCATGAGCCACCACACCCAGCTAATTTTGTATTTTTAGTAGAGATGGGGTTTCTCCACGTTGGTCAGTCTGGTCTCGAACTCCTGACCTCAGGTGATCCCCCGCCTCAGCCTCCCAAAGTGCTGGGATTAGGGGTGCGAGCCACCATGCCCGGCCGGGAGGTCAAGGCTGCAGTGATCTGTGAGATAGTGCCACTATATTCCAGCCTGGGTGAGACAGAGACTCTATCTCAAAAAAATAAACAAACAAGCAAACAAAACCAATACGCTCCTAAATGACCAGTGGGCCAATAAAGAAATTAAGAAGGAAATTTAAAAATCTGTTGAAACAAATGAAAATAGAAAGACAACATACCAAAACCTATGGGAAACAGCGAAAGCCGTACTAAGAGGAAAGTTTATAGCTATAAGCACCTACATCAAAAAAGTAGAAGAACTTCATATAATCTAACAATGCATCTTAAAAAACTAGAAAAGCAAGAGCACACCAAATTCAGAATTAGTAGAAGAAAATAAATAATAAAGATCAGAGCAGAAATAAATGAAATTGAAACAAAGAAAACAATACAAAAGATTAATGAAAGGTTGGTTTTTTGAAAGGATAAATAGAATTGACAAACCTTTAGCCAGACTAAGAAAAAGAGAAGACCCGGATAAATAAAATCAGAGATGAAAAAAGAGACATTACAACCAATACCACAGTAATTCAAAAAATTGTTAAAGGCTACTATGACCAACTATATATGCCAATAAGTTAGAAAACTTAGAATAAATGAATAAATTCCTGGACACATACAACCTACCAAGATTGAACCATGAAGAAATCCAAAACCTGAACAAACCAATAAAAGGCAATAAGATCGAAGCCATAATAAAAAGTCTCCCAGTAAAGAAAAGCCCAGAACCTGATGGCTTCACTGCTAAATTTTACCAAACATTTAAAGAAGAACTAATACTAAACCCTACTCAAACTATTCCATAAAGTAGAGGAGGAAATATTTCCAAACACATTCCATGAGGCTGGTATTACCCTGATACCAAACCCAGACAAAGACACATCAAAAAAATGAAAACTATAGGCCAATATTCCTGATGAACACTATACAAAAATCCTTAACAAAATACTAGCAAACCAAATTCAACAACACATTAAAAAGATCATTCATCATGACCAAGTGGGATTTAACCCAGGGATGCAAAGGATGGTTCAACATATGTAAATCAATCAAGGTGACACATCATATCAACAAGATGAATGACAAAAACCATACAATCAGGCCAGGCGTGGTGGCTCACACCTGTAATCCCAACACTGTGGGAGGCCAGTTCAGGTGGATACATAACAAAAGACCAGTCAGCCTTAAAAAAGGAGAAAATCTTTAAGATAATGAGAAATACTTAAGATAATATCCTCCATGTTCATCTCTATTGTCACAAATGGTCCATGCCACAAATGACAACAGAGATGAACCTGGAGGACATTATCTTAGGTGAAATAAACCAAGCACAGAAAGATAAATACTGCGTGATCTCATTTACATGTAGAATCTCAAAAAGTTGAACTCACAGAGGTAGAGAGTGGAATGGTGGTTACCAGGGGCTGAGGGTGGCAGGGAGGCAGGGGTGGTGTGGAAAGATATTTGTTAAAGGACACAAAATTTCAGTTAAGTAAGAGGAATAAGTTCAGGATATCTATTACACAAAATGTTGATTATAGTTAATAATGTATTATATTCTTGAAGACTGCTCAGACAGTAGATTTAAGTGTTTGCATCATAAAAAAAAAATAAGTATGAAAGGTAATGCATATGTTGGTGAGCTTGATTTAGCCATTCCACAATGTACACATACTTCTTGAGACAGAGTCTCACTCTGTTGCCCAGGCTGGAATTCAGTGGTGTGGTCTCGCCTCACTGCAACCTCTGCCTCCCAGGGTCAGGCAATTCTCGTGCCTCAGCCTCCCGAGTAGCTGGCATTACAGGCGTGTGCCACCACACCCGGCTAATTTTTATATTTTTAGTAGAGATGGGGTTTCACCATGTTGGCCAGGCTGGTCTCGAACTCCTGACCTCAAGTGATCTGCCTGCCTCAGCCTCCCAAAGTGCTGAGATTACAGGCAGGCGTGAGCCACCCTGCCCGGCCCATAACGTATACATACTTCAAAACAACATGTTGTACATGATAAATATTTACAATTTTTGTCAATTAAAAAATAATTTTAGGCCAGGCACAGTGGCTCACATCTGTAATCCCAGCACTTCAGGAGGCCAAGGCAGGAGGAGTGCTTGAAGCCAGGAGTTTGAGACCAGCCTGGGCAACAAAGCAAGATCCTGTCTCAACTTTTAAATAAGAAATAAAGTTAAAAAATAATAATTTTAACTTTTTTGAGGCAAGGTCTCACTCTGTTGCCCAGGCTGAAGTGCAGTGGCATAATCATGGATCACTGCAGCCTTGATCTCCCAGGCTCAAGCAGTCCTCCCACCTCAGCCTCCCAAGTAGCTGGGACTATAGTTGTGCACCACCGCACCCGGCTAACTTTTTAAATTTTTTGTAGAGATAGGGTCTCACTATGTTGCCCGAGCTGGTCTCAAACCCTTGGGCTCAAGAACTATTTTCTAAAAAGGAAAAAATAAAAGACACTCAACATCATTATCACTAGGGAACTGCAAATCAAAACTTCCACTAGGATGGCTAAAATAGAAAAGACAAACCAAAATAGATGTTGGCAAGGACATGGAAAATTGGAATCCTTATTAATTACTGGTGGGAATGTAAAATAGCACAGAGCTTTGGAAAACAATTTGGCAGTTCCTCAAAATGTTAAACATGGAGTTACCCTGACAATCCAGCAATTCCCCTCCCAGGTATATAACCAATATAAATGAAAACATATGTTCACAAATAAACTTATACATGAATGTTCATAGCAGCATTATCCATAATAGCCAAAAGGTGGAAACAATCCATATGTCTATCAACTGATGAACAAATAAAATGTGGTATATCCATACAATGGAATATTGTTCAGCCATAAAAGACATGAAGTACTGATTCATGCTACAACAGGGATGAACTTTGACAACATTATGCTAAGTGAGAGAAGCCAGTCACAAAAGACTACATAGTATATGAATCTATTTATATGAAAAGTGCAGAACAGGCAAATCCACAAAGACAGAAAGTATACTAGTGGTTGCTAGGGCATCGGGGGAGGTAGAAATGGGAAGTGACTGCTAATGGGTATGGGGTGTCTTTTTGGGGTGATGAAAAAGCCTGAAATTAGATAGTGGTGATGATTGCTCAGCTCTATAAATATACTAAAAATTGATCTGTGCACTTTAAAAGGGCGAATTGTATGGTGCATAAATTATATGTCAATAAAACTTTTATTTAGAAAATTACATAACGTCACACCATCTTTTTTTAGTTATTCCCTAAGATTAGATTTGAAAAATTACATAGATACAAAGAAAAAAATACATTTTTAAAAAATGTAATATTAAACATCACTAAGCAAATGCTAGTTGGAAATTAGTCAAGGCTCTAATAAAATGCCATACCTTGCCACACTGCTTGTAGGAAATTCCCTTTTGCTGACAGTACTCATAGAGGAGGGCTGCACCTTGTACACATAATTTGGCTTTCAGAGACTCAGGTTTATAATAAATTCCACTATGTATGACACCACTGTTATGTCCAGTCTGGTGAACAGCTACAGAACAAGAGAAACAGGGTAAGAGTAAGTACATGATTCATACAAAACATAAGAGGTAAGAGAACAAACTTATAGTTGAAGCTATTAGAGACCACATCATGTAAAATTCTGCCTGAATTTGTTCAGATCACTGGTAACTTCTTCTAACATCCCTGGTATCCATGTCACATCCCTCCAGCCCATCTCTGATTTCAACTACAACTTTGGTGCACAAACTCACCTCTCATTACCAGCAAACCACTTCAGGGGCCCCCTAGGGCTCTTTGCACTCTGCCTTGGGGCCTCTGGTAACTTTTTTAGAGAAGGGCACGGGGTGCTCAACATCACTAGCGGCAATCCTCAACCAATAGAGAGAAGAGCCGATGGATAAAGTGAGCACAATCCTGGGAAATACTACATTGCTCCTCAGAGGCTCCGGTGGAATCAAGCTCACAGCCACAATCTTGATGTGTTCTCATGTCTTTTCCTCCTTCCCTGTCTTACTTTCCTCACCCCCTCACTCCTGTTTCCTGAGATAACCTCTCAAATAAATAACCTATAGACACGTCCTCCTTGTCCCACACTCGGCTTTAACCTCTCAAATAACCTATAGCCATGTCCTTGTCCCACACTCTGCTTTTAGAACACAAACTAAGAAACTAACACTGACATTCAGCATGAAAGATTCACAACAGACAAAATGAGCAGATGCCCAAGTAAGCCCAAAGAACAACATTGATTATATACATACCTAAATCTTTCTCCTTTTCCAGAACACCAATAGAAAGTGATGGATGTCGCAGGATGAGTGCTCTGGCAGAGGCAAGCCCCACAATTCCGCCACCAACGATGACTATATCAAATGAGCTTCAAAAGAAAGTCATCTTTAAAGTAATTCATATTTACAGTAGACCTCGCCAAACTTCACATGCATAATTTTCATCAATGGACAATTAAACCATTAATTTGTAATCATGAAAACGTATTCGGCGGCCGGTCGCAGTGGCTCACACCTGTAATCCCAGCACTTTGAGTGGCCGAGGGGGGCGGATCACGAGGTCAAGAGATCGAGACCATCCTGGCCAACATGGTGAAACCCCGTCTCTACTAAAAATACAAAAATTAGCTGGGCGTGGTGGCGCGTGCCTGTAGTCCCAGCTATTTGGGAGGCTGAGGCAGAAGAATCACTTGAACCTGGGAAGCAGAGGTTGCAGTGAGTGGAGATCACGCCACTGCACTCCAGCCTGGTGACAGAGCAAGGCGACAGAGCAATGTATTGGGCCCTGTGCTGTTTGGTTTCACATGTATTAAAAAAAAAAAACCCTTAAAAGTTATACTAATCAAGCCTGGGTGTGATGGCTCATGCCTGTAATCCCAGCACTTTGGGAGGCCAAGGTGGGTGGATCACTTGAGGTTAGGAGTTCAAGACCAGCCCGGCCAACATGGTAAAACCCCATCTTTACTAAAAATACAAAAATTAGCTGGGTGTGGTGGCAGGCACCTGTAATCCCAACTACTCGGGAGGCTAAGGCTGGAGAATCGCTTGAACCTGGGAGGCGGAGGTTGCAATGAGCCGAGGTCATGCCACTGCACTCCAGTCCAGCCTGGGAGACAGCGCCAGACCCTGTCTCAAAAAAAAAAAAAAAAAGTTAGACGCATTAAAAAAAAAAAAAAAAAACCTCAAAAGTTATACGCATCACTGGTCAGTAGTATAATCAACTACAGCTTACTGGCAGGCAGGATAGCTGGTTGCCCAATCTGCTCTTTATCTCCATAGCACGGCAGCCAGGCTGGTTACATAAGTGACTGCAGTCATGCGTTGCTTAACCATAGGGTTAGGTTCTAAGAAATGCATTGGTAGGCGATTTCCTTGTGCAAACAGCATAGAATGTACTTACACAAACCTAGATGATATAGCTTACTGTACACCTAGGCTATATGGGATAGCTTATTGCTCCTAGGCTACAAGCCTGTACAGCAGGTTACTATATTGAATACTGCAGGCAACTGTAACACAATGGTAAGTATCTGTGCATCTAAAAATGTGTACATATAAAAAAGGTACAGAAAAAATATGGTATTATAATCTTTGGTATCACCACTGTACATGCAGTCTGTGGTTGACCAAAATGTTGTTATGCGGTGCATGACTATACTTTGTGTTAAGCATAGTCATGATTCTACTACCCAGCCTTTCAAAATTCCAATGTAGTACTCTTGACAATGTGTTAACACATTAAAGCTTTAACACTTTAGTGTGCAAGAATTTTTACAAGTTTTTCTTTGAGAAGTAAACAACTCCGAGAAAATAAACCTTGGGGCAATAATTGGTCCAGAAATGGGCTTAGGAACCACAATCTTTGCCATGGCAAATCCTGATTATACAACCATTTACAAAATTAGGGCCGGGCGTGGTGGCTCACGCCTGTAATCCCAGAACTTTGGGAGGCCAAGGCGGGCAGATCACGAGGCCAGGAGGTTGAGACCATCCTGACTAACACGGTGAAACCCCATCTCTACTAAAAATACAAAAAATTAGCCAGGCGTGGTGGCGGGCACCTGTAGTCCCAGCTACTCGGGAGGCTGAGGCAGGAGAATGGCGTGAACCCAGGAGGCGGAGCTTGCAGTGAGCCAAGATTGCACCACTGCACTCCAGCCTGGGCGACAGAGCGAGACTCTGTCTCAAAAAAAAAATTTAGAACAACCATGTATAATTTATATAAATCTGCAATTCGAAGCTTAAAAGATTACCTTTAACACTGACCTGATAGCCAACAAATATGGATCTTATAGGAACTGTAGACAGAGGGAAATTTCAGAGATTAGGCCCTTTCTTCGAAAAGTGATCTAAGTTTCAATTTCAAAATCCTTAGCAAAGCACATCAATTTGATTAGAATTGCTACCACATCTTTGGCTGTATCTGGAACCAGAAACAGATCCTAGACAACTAGGAACTAACACGTAAGCTTGATAAATCAAATCCTGCATCTTAAATTAACTTGGGGGTCATAAGTGGATAAAGTTCCCTCTGTCAGAGCATAAGCCTTATACTTGAACAGGGAGAACCTCCAGGTGATGCTCAGCAGGTGGTTCTCCTGCAGCAGCTTTAGATTGGATAAAATGGTTGTCAAGGATGGTGAATGATGCCCACTTTTAAAAAGAGAGGGCATAAAAAGAGCAGCACAAGTAAAATGGGATTCTGGGTCCACTACATTAATACTAGTTATTGGCAAATGCCTACAGTGGTCAACTAAAAAATTACTAATGTGATCAGAATGTATTTGGAAGTCCAAGCCTTTAAGCAGGTTTTAAAAAAACATAAGTTCAGTGGATAAAAGGTAAAGCATTCACATTCCACTAGGTACTTACACTGATTTACAGATTGACCCTTTACACAACTTTCACAATAAACAGATGTTTTATGGATTCTAAAATAGCCTGGCTTTTAAGAATTCCAGAATAACTATTGTTAAGATAGGCTTTTTATTTTTCAAAACCTCTATAATCTTCCACTAAGGTAGGTGTTCAAAACACTTACAAATACTTAAGATATTTGTATGTGTATTACTTAATCATATTTTATATACAGTCATCCCTCAATATCCACAGGGGATTGGTTTCAGGACTCCCATGGATACCGAAATCCACGTATGTTCAAGTCTTGTATACGAAATGGCACAGTATTTGCATATAATCTACACACATCCTCCAATATACCTTAAGTCATCTCTGGATCACTTATACTACATAGTACCATGTAAATGCTATGTGAATAGTTGTTATACTGTATTTTAAATTGTGTTATTTTTTACTGTTTTTTCCAAATATTTTGATCCATAGTTGGTTGAATCTGCAGATGCAGAACCCACAAAAACGAGGACTGACTGTTTTGACTGACTTTTTTTTTTTTTTTTCGGTGAGATGGAGTCTGGCTCTGTCGCCAGGCTGGAGTGCAGTGGCATAATCTCGGCTCACTGCAACCTCCAGCTCCCGGATTCAAGCGATTCTTCCACCTCAGCCTCCCAAGTAGCTGGGACTACAGGTGCGCGCCACCATGCCCAGCTAATTTTTGTATTTTTAGTAGAGACGGGGTTTCACCATGTTGGCCAGGATGGTCTCAATCTCTTGACCTCGTGATCCGCCCACCTCAGCCTCCCAAAGTGCTGGGATTACAGGTGTGAACCACCGTGCCCAGCTGTATTTTTTTAATTTATCAAGTTGATATCTATATCAATTACATGGCAGTGTGTGTATAAGAGAGATATCTTTCATACTGTTTTTCTTTCTTACTTTCAAGTTCAACTATGATGCTATGTTTTGCCTTCAAGGCTCATTTTCTGTAAAAGGTAGCATAACCTTGGCCCTTACAGGGGTGGTCTTGACTTCCATAATAATGCTTCTCATCCTTGCTGCCTTTTGTTTTTTTTGGGGGGTTTTTTTGTTTTGGGGTTTTTTTTTTTTTTTTAGATGGAGACTAGTGATTAAATGTTGATGTTCTAAAAGCTGACTCTGGCTGCTGCGTGTTGGTGGATAGCGGGAGTAGAGTCGGATACCAGTTAACAGTGATTGTGATTTGTTGTGGGGCATGTAGACAGTTCTTTTGGGAAGCTTTTCTTAAGGAAAGAAAAGCAGGGCTGGTGAAAGTTTTGTTTATACTGAAAATTTTTTTTTAAAAAATTTTGGAGTCAGGGTCTCACTCTATTGCCTAGGTTGGAGTGTAGCAGCATGATCTCGGCTCACTGCAGCTTCCCACTCCCAGGTTCAAGTGATTCTCCTGCCTCAGCCTCCCTAGTAGCTGATATTATAGGCGAACACTGCCATGCTGGGCTAGTTTTTGTATTTTTACTAGAGACGAGGTTTCACCACGTTGGTCAGGCTGGTCTCAAACTCCTGACCTCAGGTGATCCACCCGCCTCGGCCTCCCAAAATGCTGGGAATACAGGCGTGAGCCACTGCGCCTGGCCCCTTGCTGCCTTTTGATAATTATAACACAAAAGCTTTTGGGGAGGTAGACCTTCCACTTAGAATTATTACCTTGGTACAGATTCCCAGCCAAGATATTGTCTTTGCAGATTATACTACAACTATCAATAAACCCTTCTTATTTTCAAACATAAAACTATCATACTGAATATGCTTTTTCCAACTACATGTGCCACCCTTCACTCCCTCTTCTCAAATCTGAAGAATCACTGTTTTATCCAGTGACACAAAATCATTGAAATATGTTTCACAAACAAAAGCACAAATCTCCAAGCATCCACTATGGAGACAGGTGAACAGAACAATAGTCATAGATGAATGCTGGAGGACAGTTGCAGGCCAAGCTAACCACGGAGGCTGAAAGAGACATCTTTCTCTACAACTCACTTAATCTCAAGTTAACACCAATGAATGGTTTAACAGATAATTTTCTTAAGCTTTTTATGGAAAAGTTCATACCTACACAAAGTTAGACAAAATAGTTCAATGAAGCCCCACATATACATCACCCAGCTTCACTAATTATCAACTCACAGCAAATCTTGCTTCTTCTATACTCTATTTCATCCCCTCCTGTATTATATTATTTTGATGCAAATCTTAAACACCACATTATTTCATCTGTAAATATTTCAATGTTATTTCTAAAAGGCATCTCTAAAAACACACACTACCATTATAGTTAAAAAAACTAACACAAAATTTTTTACATCACCTAATATTCACTTTAAAACTTTTAGGAAAAAATAGGACAAAATCTTGGGACTTAGAGTTGACATCAAAAACATGATCCATAAAAGAAAAAAAACTGATAAAATGGACTTCATCAAAACATAAAACTTTTGCTCTGCAAAAAGACTCTGTTAAGAGGATAAAAAAACTAAGAAATTGGAAAAAAATACTAGTAACTGCATATCTCCCAAAGGACTCATACATAAAAGAACTCTCAAAACAAGCCATTTAGAACGTAGGCAGGCCGGGTGCGATGGCTCACGCCTTTAATCCCAGCACTTTGGGAGGCCAAGGCGGGCGGATCACCTGACGTCAGGAGTTTGAGACCAGCCATGCCAACATGGAGAAACCCCATCTCTACTAAAAAGACAAAATTGGCTGGGCATGGTGGCGCATGCCTGTAATCCCAGCTACTCGGGAGGCTGAGGCAGGAGAATTGCTTGAACCCAGGAGGCCTCTGCGGTGAGCCGAGACCGCGCCACTGCGCTCCAGCCTGGGCAACAAGGCGAAACTCCATCTCAGAAAAAAAAAAAAAAAAAAAGTGGGCAAAAGATATGAACAAATATTTCATCAAAGAGGACAGATACACAGATGGCAAAGAAGCACATGAAAAGATGTTCAACACCATTAGTCAATGCATTGTTCAAACATCATTGCATCAGAGAAATGTAAATAAAAACCACAATGAGATATCACTACGTCTCTATCAGAATGGCTAAAATTTAAAAAGTGATCACCCCAAATGCTGGTGAGAATGAAGGGAAACTGGATTACTCACACATAGCTGGTGGGAATGTAAAATAGTACAGCCACTCTGGAAAAGAGTATGGCAGTTTCTTAAAAAGAAACTAAACATGGACTTACTACATGACTCAGTAACTGCAGTCTTGGGCATTTATTCCAGAGAAATGAAACTTATGTTCATACAAAAACCTGAACATGAATGTTCATAGTAGCTTTATTCGTAATAGCCAAAAACTGGAAGCAGCTTGGATGTTCTTCAACCCATGGTAAACGGTTAAACAAATTGTGATGTATCCATACCATGGAATTCTATTCAACAATTTTGAAAAACCTGCTATCAATACAGGCGACGCCTTGCATGGATCTTAAGGATAGTATGCTGTGTGAAAAAAAGCCAATCTCCAAAGGCTTGTTTTGAGAGTTCTTTATGTATTTTGTGTATTAGTCCTTTGGGAGATATGCAGTTGCTGGTATTTTTTTCCCACGTCTTGGTAGTTTTTTCATTCTCTTAACAGTCTTTTGCAGAGCAAAAGTTTTTCATTTTGATGAAGTCCATTTTGTCAATTTTTTTCTTTTAGAGATCATGCTTTTGATGTCATCTCTATGTCCAAAGATCTTGTCCTTTTTCTAAAAGTTTTATACTGAATATTTGGTGATATAAAAAATTTCAGGCCGGGTGCAGTGGCTCATGCCTGTAATCCCAATACTTTGGGAGGCTGAGGCGGGTGGATCACCTGAGGTCAGGAGTTTGAGACCAGCCTGGCCAACACGGTGAAACCCTATCTCTACTCAAAATACAAAATCAGCTGGGCGTGGTGGCACATGCCTGTAATCCCAGCTACTCAGGAGGCTGAGGCAGGAGAATCCCTTCAACCTAGGAGACAGAGGTTGCAGTGAGCCAAGATCATGCCACTGTACTCCAGCCTGGGTGACAAAGCGAGACTTCGTGTTAAAAAAAAAAAAAAATTTAGATTCACAGTTGCCAAGAGTTAGGAAGAATGGAGAGGAAGGTGTGAATATAAAGAGATAGGTAACACAACAGATAACCTTGTGGCAATAGAATATTTTTATACCACCCTTTTTTTTTTTTTTAAGAGAGTCTTGCTCTGTTGTCCAGGCTTCAGCGCGGCGGTGTAATCACAGGTCACCACACCTTCAACCTCCTGGGCTCAAGCGATCCTCCTGCCTCAGCCCCACAAGTGGCTGGGACTACAGGAGCAAGCCACCACACCTGGCTAATTATTTTTTAATTTTTTTGTAGAGCAGGGGTTTTGCCGTCTCCCTTTGTTGCCCAGGCTGGTCTCCAACTCTGAGGCTCAACCTATCCTCCCACCTCGGCCTCCCAAAGTGCTGAGATTATAGGCATGAGCCAGCATGCCTGGCCACATTTTCATATCTTAATTGAGGTGGTAGTTACACAAATTAATACATATGATTAAACTGCATAGAACTAAACACACACACACACACGAATATATGTAAAACTGATGAAAGCTGAACAATGTCCGTGGATTTTGCCAATATCAATTTCCTAGTTTTGATATTGTACTATAGTTATATAAGATGTTTTCATTGGGGTAAATGGGGTGAAGGGTACATGGGATCTCTTTGTACTGTTTATTTATTTTTATTTTTTATTTTGTAGAGAAGGGATCTTATATTTTGCCCAGGCTGGTCTCAAACTTCTGGGCTCAAGTGATCCTCCTGCCTCAGCCTCCCAAAGCACTGGGATTACAGGCCTGAGTCACCACGCTTGGCCTGTACTATTTTTGCAATTTCCAATGGATCTATAATTACTTCAAAATAAAAGTATAGGCCAGGCACGGTGGCTCACACCTGTAATCTCAGCACTTTGGGTGGCTGAAGAGGGAGGTTCACTTGAGGCCAGGGGTTCGAGACCACCCTGGGCAACGTCTCTACAAAAAAATAGGAAAATAATTAGCTGCCTGTGGTCCCAGCTCCTGGAGGACAGGAAGCATTGGGGAGGGGGGCTGAGGAGGGAGGATCGCTTGAGCCCAGGAGGGTGGAGGCTGCAGTGAGCTATGATTGTGCCACTGCACTCCAGCCTTGGCAACACAGTGAGACCCTGACTCCAAAAATTTTTTAAAAAAACATTTTAAGTATAAACAAAACTTTCACTAGCCCTACTTTTCTTTCCTTAAGAAAAGCTTCCCAAAAGAACTGTCCACATGCCCCATAACAAATCACAATCGCTATTACTGGTATCCCACTCTACTCCCCCTATCCACCAACACGCAGCAGCCAGAGTCAACTTTTAGAACATCAACATTTAATTATTAGCCTCTTCTTTTTTTCTTTTCTTTTCTTTTTTTTTTTTTTTTTTTTTTTGCGAGACAGAGTCTTGCTCTGTCGCCCAGGCTGGAGTGCAATGGTGCGATCTCAGCTTACTGCAATCTCCGCCTCCCAGGTTCAAGCGATTCTCCTAAGGCTCCGGAGTAGTTGGGATTACAGGCGCCCACCACCACGCCAGGCTAATTTTTTTGTATTTTTAGTAGAGACGGGGTTTCACCATGTTGGTTAGGCTGGTCTCCAACTTCTGACCTCAGGCGATCCGCCCGCCTCGGCCTCCTAAAGCGTAGCCTCTTCTTAAAACCCTTTTAAATAGCTTCCCGTGGCTCTTAGAATAAAAGTCAACGTGTGGTTAAAATAAACTAAAAACCTTGCTGTGATGTAGTCCTTCTGGGTCATTCCACACCATATGTCTTCCACTAAACTTCAGTCACACTCATATGGCCCACCTTCTAGTCGTCAAAATAGCCAAAACCTCTCCAAGCCTTACAGCCTTCACACAAACTGTTTCTTCTACAGAGGACAGAGAAAGACAATGGTTTCGAATGTGACGTCCAAACTATAAATCACAGGACACTGAATTCTGCGGGCTTTCATTAGCATAAGAGCTGCCTCCGACGGGGGCAACACTATGCGGGGTGTGCCAGGAACTGATTTAAGACTGTATTCAGATCTTCCAAGCAACGCCAAAGACTCCAGCTTATAAAGAGCATATTTGATTGCTTATACTGTGTGCTAGGTCCTTTTATCCTTCAAATGACCACCTACAGGAGAGACTAAGGTCCAATTCACAACTGAGCCTTTAAGGAGGTTAAGTAACTAGCCCAGAGTTCAACAGAAAGTGGACGGGTTGTTCAAAGCCAGAGCTACTCCCGACCTCTACTCTATACACTGCCTTTCCTCCGGCCCGTAAATACAACGAATGAACCTGCAGGTTGGTAGCTCCTGGGATCCGAGGTTGGAGTGCCACAGGACCCCAACCTGCTCTCACCCCGGGACAGGGAAATACGAACAGGGGCACAGGTCCACCACCAGGTGCCTCCGCGAGGGGCAGCAGCGCAGGCGGCGGGGAGGACCAGCGGCCACTCACCTGGTGCTGGCGCTGCGGCTACCTCCACACAGCGGTCTTGGCCTCCCAGACGCGAACCCGCACGCCCCAGGGGAGCCACCGGCGAAAAGCCCGCGGGCCCGTCCGCAGGCACCAACCAAATAACGCAGCGCTGGCACCATCCCCTACGCACGCTCCCCTCCCTCAGCGCTCAGAAGAAGCCACTTGACCCTCCACGGCCGAGGACCCGCGCTCTTTAGCCCCGCCCCTCACGCGGGGGCCAATGAAGTGGCGCGCCTTCGCCCCATGTGGGAGAGGCTGCGGTGGCCAATAGGCGCGCGCGTCGGAGGGCGAAGGGCCGGCCAGGGTGCCGCAGACGCGGGGACGCTGGCTCGCTCCCTCCCTCCCTCCCTCCGACGCTGTGAGTAGAGAAGCTAGGCCCCGAGCCGGGCGGGACTAGGGTGGTGGTTGTGTTCTGCCCTCGCCCGTCGCCAACGCTGGGCTGACTGAAAACCTGGCCCTTTGGGTCGCGCGTCTTCGACCTTCACCGCCATGCGGACATGGGGCCGTGGGAGAAACTCTGGGCGGGATTACGGTGAAAATTCTTGTTTGGGCGGGCCCTGCGGCTTCTTTCTTCCGGCTCGCCCTCGGCCCCGCCCCCGCCCCGCCCCCGCTCCAGCTCCAGCCGGGTCCTCGCTCGGCCCCGCACGCGGCCCGCGGTAGACGGAGGGCCTGGGCACCCACCGTCTCCATCCCGGCCCCAGCCCAGTCGAGCGTCCACTAGAAGGGCGCTCCCTGTCCGGCCCTAATCCTCGCTCCTCACGGAGGCTCTTTGTCACAGCGAAGACTGACAGCCCGCAGTCTTCTGGACTTCTTTTATGGGGCTCCTGGCGGTGCTATTCATTCAGTCATTGATTCGTCTTGTAAATATGGAGCGCCTGCTCTGTACTCGACCCGGCACTGGGTACCGGAAGAACCAGACAGCTCGGTTTTTGCCACCATTTATAAGTCTGTGTCCTTTTCTTGAGTACTGAACCGAGATACAGTTTTAAATGTGCTGTGCGGTCTCTGAGCAGCGACTCACCTGTGCAGGTCACTTCACCTGATTCCCTTTATGTAAAAATGAGGGCGATGGGCTGTGTAATCTCTAAAGGACCTTCTAACTCTTTAAAATTGTCACTGTGCCGGTGTTGCTAACACTCATTCTGTATGCTTGATGGCAGTTTTTAATTTTTAGGGTTAGGACAGCTGAACATAACAAATAGAATTATACAGATTTATTACCAGAAGGACTTCGTGTGCCTCTAAGAATCTTGGTTCCAGTCTTTGGTCAGGTAGCTCCAGGAAATCACTTCACCTCTTTGCCTCAGACCCTCCTCAGTGAACTAGGAATGATAGCAGTGTCTCCCTAGTCTTAGGGCCGTTGAGCGGATTACACGAGATAAGGTCAGCAGGTGTTTAGCACAGTGAAGCATTTGCTACGTGATGACATTTATTATGGTTAAAGGGTTTTACCACCAGAACAGTGGTACATAGTTTGCTTTATTTGTTAAAACAATGTAGAATATTGCCTGCTTGTTCCATCACAGATGAAAAAAAGAGATGGTTATTCAACTTTGTGAGGTAATTGTGGATTTCCATGCAATTGTAAGAATAGAGATTCTGTGTACCCTTTACCCAGTCTTCCCAGTGGTAGCATCTTGCAAAACTAGTACCATATCACAACCAGGTAATTGACATTCACACAATCCATTGATCTCATTCAGATTCCTCATTTTGTATTAGTGTTCTCTGTGTATATTTAGTTCTATATGGTTATCAGGTGTGTAGATTCTTGTATCCACCACCACAGTCAAGGTACAGCCCAGGTCCATCACCACAAGGGTCCCTCCAGTTGCCCTTTTATAACCACAACTTACCTTTGCAGCCCCACCCAATCTATTCTCTGTTTCTAAAATTTTGTTATATCAAGAATGTTACATAAATGTAATTATTGTAATTATACAGTATGTAACTTTTATTGACTCTTTTTCATTCAGCATAATCCCTTGAGATATATCCAAACTGTTACATGTATCAGTAGTTCCTTCCTTTTTATTACTGAGTGGTATTCCATAATGTAGATGTACTACAGTATTGATATGGTTTGGCTGTGTCCCCACCCAAATCTCATCTTGAATTGTAACTCACCATTCCCATGTGTTGTGGGAGGAACCAGGTGGGAGGTGATTGAATTATGGAGGCAGGTCCTTCCTGTGCTGTTCTCCAGATAGTGAATGAGCCTCACAAGATGTGATGGTTTTAAAAACGGGAGGTTTCCCTGCACAAGTTCTTTCTTTGCATGCTGCCATCCATGTAAGATGTGACTTGCTCCTCCTTGCCTTCCACCATGATTGTGAGGCCTCCCCAGCCATGTGGAACTGTAAGTCCATTAAACCTCTTTTTCTTCTCGGTCTCGGGTATGTCTTTATCAGCAGTGTGAAAATGGACTAATACAAGTACATTCAACTGTTCACTCATTGAAGGACATTTGAGTTGTTTCTAGTTTTTAGCTATTGTGAATCAAGCAGCTGTGAACATGAGTGTACAGCCTTTTGTGTGAACCTGTTTTTGTTTCTCTAGGATAAGTGCCCAAGAGTACAATTGCTGGGTCATATGGTAAGTGCATGTTTATTTTTTATTTTTATTTTTGAGACAGGGTTATGCTCTGTTGCCCAGGCTGGAGTGCAGTGGTGCAATCTCAACTCACTGCGGCCTCTGCCTCCTGGTCTCAAGCAATTCTCCTGCCTCAGCCTCCTGAGTAGCTGGGACTATAGGCACATGCCACCACGCCCGGCAAACTCTCATATTTTTAGTAGAGATGCGGTTTCGCCATGTTGACCGGGCTGGTCTTGAACTCCTGACCTCAAGTGATCTGCCTGCCTCAGCCTCCCAAAGTGCTGGGATTACAGGTGTGAGCCACTGCACCCAGCCTATTGTATCATTCTTTTTTATTTATTTGCTTATTTATTTTTTTGAGACAGAGTCTCGCTCTGTCACCCAGGCTGGAGTGCAGTGGCATGATCTCAGCTCACTGCAAGCTCTGCCTCCCGGGTTCACACCATTCTCCTGCTTCAGCCTCCTGAGTAGCTGGGACTATAGGCACCTGCCACTATGCCCGGCTAATTTTTTATATTTTTAGTAGAGACAGGGTTTCACCGTGTTAGCCAGGATGGTCTCAATCTCCTGGCCTCGTGATCCACCCGCCTCGGCCTCCCAAAGTGTTGGGATTACAGGCATGAGCCACTGCGCCCAGCCTATTATGTCATTCTTATGCCTTTGCATCCTCATAGCTTAGCTCCCACTTTTGAGTAAGAACATACGATGTTTGGTTTTCCATTCCTGAGTTACTTCACTTAGAATAATAAACTCCAGGCCAGGTGCAGTGGCTCACGCCTGTAATCCCAGCACTTTGGGAGGCCAAGGCAGGTGGATCACGAGGTCAGGAGATTGAGACCATCTTGGTCAACATGGTGAAACCCCATCTCTACTAAAATACAAAAAATTAGCTGGGCGTGGTGGCATATGCCTGTAATCCCAGCTACTTGGGAGGCTGAGGCAGGGGAATCACTTGAACCTGGGAGGCGGAGGTTGCAGTGAGCTGAGACTGCGCCACTGCACTCCAGCCTGGCGACAGAGCAAGATTCTGTTTCACAAAAAAAAAAAAAAAAAAAAAAAAAAAGAGTAATAAATTCCAATCCTATTCAGGTTGCTGCGAATGCCATTAATTCATTCCCTTTTATGGCTAACTAGTATTCCATCATATATATATACCACAGCTTCTTTATCCACTCATTGATTGATGGGCATTTGGGTTGGTTCCACATTTTTTGCAATTGCAAATTGTGCTGCTATAAACATGCGTGTGCAAGTATCTTTTTTGTATAATGACTTCCTTTCCTCTGGGTAGCTACCCAGTAGTGGAATTGCTCGATCAAATGGTAGTTCTAATTTTAGTTATTTAAGGAATCTCCACACTGTTTTCCATAGTGGTTGTACTAGTTTACATTCCCACCAGCAGTGTAGAAGTGTTCCCTTTACACCATATCCACGCCAACATCTATTTTTTTTTAATTTTTTGATTATGGCCATTCTTGCGGGGAGTAAGGTGGTATCACATTGTGGTTTTGATTTGCATTTTCCTGATGATTAGTGATGTTGAGCATTTTTTCATATATTTCTTGGCCATTCATATATCTTCTTTTGAGAATTGTCTTCATGTCCTTAGCCCACTTTTTGATGGGATTGTTTTTTTCTGCTAATTTGTTTGAGTTCATTGTAGATTCTAGATGTTAGTCTTCTGTCAGATGTATAGATTGTGAAGATTTTCTCCCACTATGTGGGTTGTCTGTTTACTCTGCTGACTGTTCCTTTTGCCACGCAAAAGCTCTTTAGTCCCAACTATTTATCTTTGTTTTTATTGCATTTGCTTTTGGGTTCTTGGTCATGAAACCCTTGCCTAAGCCAATGTCTAGAAGGGTTTTTCTGATGTTATCTTCTAGAATTTTTATAGTTTCAGGTCTTAGATGTAAGTCCCTGATCCATCTTGAGTTGATTTTTGTATAAGGTGAGAGATGAGGATCCAGTTTCATTCTCCTACATGTGGCTTGCCAGTTATCCTAGTACCATGTGTTGAATAGGATGTCCTTTCCCCACTTTATATGTTTGTTTGTTTTGTTGAAGATCAGTTGGCTATAAGTATTTGGGTTTCTTTCTAGGTTCTCTGTTTTGTTCCATTGGTGTATGTGCCTATTTTTATACCAGTACCATGCTGTTTTGGTGACTATGGCCTTATGGTATAGTTTGAAATCAGGTAATGTTGTGCCTCCAGATTTATCTTTTTGCTTAGTCTTGCTTTGGCTATGTGGGCTCTTTTTTGGTTCTATATGAATTTTAGGATTGTTTTTTCTAGTTCTCTGAAGAATGATGGTATTTTTATGGGAATTGTATTGATGGGAAGACTAATATCCAGAATCTGCAATGAACTTGAAGCAATTTGTAGATTGCTTTTGGCAGTATGATCATTTTCACAATGTTGACTCTATCCATCCATGAGCATGGGATGTGTTTCCATTTGTTTATGTCATCTGTTATTTCTTTCAGCAGTGTTTTGTAGTTTTCCTTTTAGAGGTCATTCACCTCCTTGGTTAGGCATATTCCTAAGTTTTTTTTGTGTGTGTGGCTATTATAAAAGGGGTTGAGTTCTTGGTTTGATTCTCAGCTTGGTCACTGTTGGTGTATACTAAAGGTACTAATTATGTCATTAATTTTGTATTCTGAAACTTTGCTGAATTCATTTATTGGTTCTAGGAGCTTTTTGGAGGAGTCTTTAGGGTTTTCTAGGCATACAATCATATCATTAGCAAATAGCAAGTTTGACTTCCTCTTTACCGATTTGGATGCCTTTTATTTCTTTCTCTTGTCTGATTGCTCTAGCTAGAACTTCCAGTACTATGTTGAATAGAAGTGATGAGAGTGGGGCTGGGTGCCGTGGCTTATGCCTGTAATCCCAGCACTTTGGGAGGCCAAGGCGGGTGGATCACCTGAGGTCAGGAGTTCAAGACCAGCCTGGCCAACATGGTGAAACCCCATCTCTACTAAAAATACAAAAAATTAGCCGGACGTGGTGGTGGGCGCCTGTAATCCCAGCTACTTGGAAGGCTGAGGCAGGACAATCGCTTGAACCCAGGAGGCAGAGGTTGCAGTGAGCTGAGGTCATGCCATTGCACTCCAGTCTGGGCAACAAGAGTGAAACACTATCTCCAAAAAAAAAAAAGGGGGGTGGTGGTGGTGAGAGTCGGCATCCTTATCTTGTTCCAATTCTTGGAGGGAATGCTTTAAACTTTCCCCGTTCATATTATGTTGGCTGTGGGTTTGTCATAGATGGCATTTATTACTTTGAGGTATGTCCCTTGTATGCCAATTTTGCGGAGGATTTTAATCACAAAGGGATGCTGGATTTTGTCAAATGCTTTTTCTGCATCTATTGAGATGATCATGTGATTTTTGTTTTTAATTGTGTTTATGTGGCATATAACATTTATTGACTTGTGTATGTTAAGCCATTTGTGCATCCCTGTATGAAACTCAATCATGGTGGATTATCTATGGCAGCAGTAATTTAGTAGTGGTTATTTTCTAATTTGCGTTTAACTGGGTTCTTTTAATTTATTAGAGCTAGATTCACTAACTTCCCACTAGAGGTCTCCTCTTTCCCTATAGAAAGCGTTCCCAAAGGCAACTGTTTGGACTCAAGTAGGAATAATTTGCAAAATCATTAGCAAAGTTGCAGTTGAAATGTAAAAACCTACCAATTTTTGTTACCTCTATTGCCAAATATAAATTTAATTTTTATGTTTAAAACATTTTAAATCTAATATCTTGTGTTTTTAGAGATTACAGCCTAAGTAAATTTGGCCTTTCGTTTAAGCTAAATTATAAGATGGGCCAAAATGAATCAAGCAAAAATATTCAGTTTTCAAAGACCACTCTAATTCACCTGCTTAATAACAGTTTAACTGGTTTTACCTTTCTCCATGGAAACATGTCAACCGTTGAAGACTATTAATAAACAAATATTTATTAAACTTTTGCATTATGCTGAGAAAAATGGAAATGAATAAGATGCCATCCTTGTTCTTTTACTTTGCATACTCTTTTTTCGTTCTAACTGGAATTTTTTTTTTCATATTCTGCTTCTGCTTCTAGACTAACTGAAAACTCTTAATCATTAAGACCCATTTCAAAAGACACCTCTAGTGTGAAGGCCTTCTTCTCACTCCCTTCTCTAGATTCTCATGGTATTTGTTCACACCTCTATTATCCAACCACGTTGGGTGTTATTTATCTCTTTATATGTTATCTCTCTTTATTAAATTATATGTTCTATGAGGTCAGGAACCTTGTCTTTCTGTGTGTCTCTTTCTCCTTTGTTCTTGTTTTTGTTTGTTTTGTCTTACCATTGTTGCCTTTGCACTAAGTATAGCAGACATTCAATAAACATTTTTTGAGCGAATGAATGAATGGACATGGCATTTGAGTAAGGTCTTGAGGTTGGGTGGGATTTCCACAGATTGATGGTGATGGGGGAGGGAGGCTAAGAGAAAACAGCCTGAGTAGAAGCTGGGAAAGCCCATATTTGTAAATAAGATTGACAACTAATAGAGTTATTCAAGGTGGGCACAGGCAGAGAGCGCTTTAACAAAAAGTTGGAAAGGGTTGAGAACATGATAAGAGGTAGTGGAGCAGAGGCTTGCAGTAATGAAGACGGCTGTAGTGAAAAAGGGATGAAAGGGTAGTTGGTTCTGTCTTCAGTTCACATCTCTCACTGTTCCACGGCCTCAGCATCCTCAATCACTTCCTCAGCTTTAAGGTGTTTCCCTCTCAGGCATCTTTCTAGTCCTCTTCTTTCTCTTGAATTCCAGAACCATGTAATGATTGAGGAAAGGACCCTGGGCTGGTAGAGAACTGGGTTCAGGTTTCAACACTGCCACCAATTAGTCATGAAACATTGAGCAAGTCCCTTTAAACACATGCATTTATTAATACCCCACCTTGTTTCAGAAAGGATTTAGGATGTCAGGAAGTTACTTAATATCAGGGCTTCAGTTTCCTCACCTCTAAATGAGAGATTTCATCCAGGTGATCTAAATTCCTTACAGCTCTAATGTTTTGTGACCTCTGATTCCAATGATTTGTTGGTCATCTGCACTTAGAAATCCTGCTAACACTTAGTATGTAGATTATGAAAAACTAAAAGAAAAAAATCTGAACCTATAACCCTGTTCTCCTAATGTGATTTCTTTTAATGGCATCACCATCCTACTACCAGTGACCCAGGGCCAAAACTTGGTGTCATTTTCAACTCCTCTAGCCCTTGCCCCTACATCTCACTTAACTGAGTCATATGGAACTAACTATGTAATGTCATTCCCATCCTTCCCCAACTAGGCCCTTTCGTATGGCCTCATGTGATTGAAGCCCTTGCTGACTGGCTGTCCCATTCTGTTGACCCTTAATCTTGATGCTGCTGAGTCAATTTCTTGAAGCACAACCGTAACAATGCCAATGCTTTGTTCTATTTTATTTATTTATTTATTTTTGAGATGGAGTCTCACTCTGTTGTCCACGCTGGAGTGCAGTCTGGTACAATCTCAGCTTACTGCAATCTCTGCCTCCCGGGTTCAAGCGATTCTCCTGCCTCAGCCTCCCGAGTAGCTGGGACTACAGGCGCATGCCACCATGCCTGGCTAATTTTTTATTTTTTTATTTTTTGGTATTTTTAGTAGAGACAGAGTTTCACCGTGTTAGCCAGGATCGTCTCGATATCCTGACCTCGTGATCTGCCTGCCTCGGCCTCCCAAAGGGCCAGTGCTTTGTTCAGAAACCTCGGTGACTCCCTGCTACATACAGAATACAGTCCAAATTCCCTGGCTGAGCATGCAAAACACTTCACGACCTGACTGTGCAAGTTGCCTGCCTCTTCTCATGACTCACATGTGCTAGTGAAACTGAAAATAACATGCCTTAAATGTTCCTGCTTCAGCTAATAATCTGGCATAATTTTTCCTGGCACCTTTGTTTGTTGAAATCCTTTCTGTCCTTATTTTAACTCTTTTGAGGCATTTATCAAGTTCTGTCACTTATTTTAACTACTTGATAACGTGTCTTAGCCCACTCCATCCTGCATTAAATTGTCAGATGCTCAAAGCAAACACCATGTTTCATTTATCTTTGTCTCCCCATCTCCTCCTCCCTGCCACATCCAGTCCCCTGCACACACCTAGCATACTACTAGGGAAACTTGAATTGAGGTCAATCAAATCGAAACCTACTCCAGGAATCACTTTCTCAAATTATGGTTATACATTTTGACAGCTGGAAATTAAGCAAATCATCTCATTTTACAAATGAGAAAACCAGAGGTCAGAGAGGTGAAGTTACTTGCCCAGTCTTTCCCAGCTGCCCTTAAAACAGTTTTTTTGTTTACACTGCTCTGGTAACACCACTTGCAGCCTTGTCATAGGTAGATCTATTTTCATGTCTCCTCTTCTTTCCTGGATGCAAGCATCTTAACCTTGACACGTTGCTCTTTCGGTGATTTTAGTCTGTCATTTTGATGCTGGAAATATAGATGGGGAATAGAGGAGCCAGCTTCAGCAAATTCATAGCTACAGCGCCTGAATGGACACTAGATGGCAGTACGACAGGCAGACTCCAATTGAGGTTTCAACAGTGGAACTTAACGTTCTAGCCGGAAGGAGCCTTAGACACCATCCAGTCCAACCCCTCATTTTTTTGCAGCAAACAAATAAAAAACCCCAAGAACAAGAAACAGGAGTGACTTGCTCAGTAATTGTTGAGTGGCAAGTGAGTCATCAGCTTTATCAGTACAAGAGCATTGACTCTGAAGTAAGTTGCTATATGTATGGGACTCGGATGATGATCTAATGTAAGTACTGTTTTGTGTGTCTAGATCAAATGATGCCGTTTGGAAAAATTTCCCAGCAGTTGTGTGGCGTAAAGAAACTCCCATGGTCATGTGACTCCAGATACTTCTGGGGCTGGTTGAATGCAGTGTTTAATAAGTAAGTTACTCTAAATAAAGTGAAGAAATGTGGAGATGGTTACAGCTAAATAAGTTCCCAATAGCTTGTTTGGCTATTTCTCATATTTACAGTTTGTGCAGTGTGATCCTAATTTTGTTTACAAACAAACAAAACCCACACAAACATGGAAAAAACACCAGAAAAACAGATTACAAAATATTAATTGTGGCTGTTTGGGTTGCAGGATTTCGATGATTTTTCTTACTTGTCCTTTTGATATATTTCAAGTTTTCTAAAACATTTTATAATCAGAAAAACTTATTAAATATAATTTTAAAGTATTTTATTTTTATGGCTTTTTAAAGGAATGTAGTTAACCTTTTGAATTCTATCAAAGTAACTTGGGTTTTCAAAAAATTAGTGGGTGGCACACTTAGAAATGTCATTTTGAAACTTGAAACTAACCTTCTAATTACTTAATACAGCATTATGATCACTAGCTAGAGAAAAAAGCATATGTAGAAATTAATAAATATCACTTAATGAGATTAATTTGACCACAGATTCAGAATTATTTTCTCTTTAATCTTTTGTTATTAATACAAATTCTAACCAAGTATAGTCATTCGTAGAATAGTTACTAAGTATCTCTGGTGTCAAGCACTGTACTATATGTGAATCAATGAAACGTTGTGTCTGATAAATTCATATAAAAATAATACGCCTTGACAGCGTTCACGTGGAAACAAAAACAAAACTAAAAAAGTCAGCAGATAGACTGCAGGTTTTTTTGTTTTTGTTTTTGTTTTTTTTGCATGGATCTCACTAATTTATCTTCCTCGTCAGTCACTTGAAATGAAAATTTGTTGCGTTCTGTATTATTTATGTCAGTTAATATAGTTAACAAGCTAGTGATTATTGTAAAAGCAAACTGCTTTTTTTCTCTTGCCAACAGGGTGGATTATGATCGCATCAGGGATGTTGGCCCTGACAGGGCGGCATCCGAGTGGTTGCTGCGCTGTGGGGCCATGGTGCGCTACCATGGCCAGGAGAGGTGGCAGAAGGACTACAACCACCTTCCAACAGGCCCTCTGGACAAATACAAGATTCAGGCGATCGACGCCACCGACTCTTGTATCATGAGCATTGGATTTGATCACATGGGTAACTACCCTATCGTTTTGCTAATAGAAAATGCAGATGATTTGCAGTGACCATTTTGTTGCAGTTGACTCACGATTATAGTCATAGGTATGTCCTTTTTGCCCATTTCATTATAGTCAAGTTTGTTTCTTCCTGTGTTTGATATTTATTTTCAAATTAAATTGAGGTTACAGACACCTTCCTCTCCTTCCTCCTCTCACTAAGCTTGTTTCTGTATGTCTCTAGTCTTTGGTTTATTGACTTAAAATCCAGGGCCTTGTTTGTCAAACTATCTTTGTCAAACTTCTGTCATTGAGAAGCCCTCAATAATGCAGGAATAATTATATCCACACAGCTTCTGCTTACGTGGGCATTTTTTTTTCTTTCTTTCTTTTTTTTTTTTTTGAGACAGAGTCTTGCTCTGTCGCCTAGGCTGGAGTGCAGTGGCGCGATCTCAGCTCACTGCAAGCTCTGCCTCCCAGGTTCACGCCATTCTCCTGCCTCAGCCTCCTGAGTAGCTGGGACTATAGGCGCCCGCCACCATGCCCGGCTAATTTTGTTTTTGTATTTTTAGTAGAGATGGGGTTTCACCGTGTTAGCCAGGATGGTCTCGATCTCCTGACCTCATGATCCGCCTGCCTCGGCCTCCCAAAGTGCTGGGATTACAGGTGTGAGCCACTGCACCCGGCCTCTTTTTTTTTTTTTTTTTTTTTGAGACAGAGTCTCACTCTGTCACCAAGGCTAGAGTGCAGTGGCGTGATCTTGGCTCACTGCAACCTCTACCTCCTGGGTTCAAGTGATTCTCCTGCCTCAGCCTCCCAAGTAGCTGGGACTACAGGTGTGCACTACCACGCCAGGGTAATTTTTCTATTTTTAGTAGAGACAAGGTTTTGCCGTGTTGACCAGGCTGGTCTTGAATTCCCGACCTCAGGTGATCCACCCGCCTCAGCCTCCCAAAGTGCTGGGATTACAGGTGTGAGCCACTGGGCCTGGCCCTATGTGGGCATTTCTTTCCTCCAGTGTGTGGGCATCTGACTGCGGAATGGTCCTGTCCATCAGCACAAGCTCTATAGTGAATTCCTTATATGGTTAATAGGGTGAGCAGTCATTCCAGTTTTCATGGAACTAAGAGGTTTCCCAGGACATAGGACTTTCAGTCCTAAAACCAAGTCAGTCGTGGGCAAACCAGGACAGTTTGTCATCTTAGTGGTAAAGCAGATTCTTAATCTGTACTTTTTCTCCCCAGAGGGCCTAGAGCATGTTGAAAAAATAAGGCTGTGCAAGTGTCATTATATCGAGGATGACTGTTTGCTGAGACTTAGTCAACTTGAAAATTTACAAAAAACCATATTGGAAATGGAAATAATATCCTGTGGGAATATCACAGACAAAGGCATCATTGCTTTGCGTCATTTAAGGTAGATGATCAAAGCCAAAGTGGAAACTTGATAATGCTGTTAAGGTGAATAGTTAGAATTTAATTGACTGTGAGGGGTGGTGTCTTTTTTTAGTTCTAAAAAAGATAATTTTAAAAAATGACCTCACTTTCATCTGTAATATTTTAAAACAGCTAAAATGATCAACCTTAATACATTAATGTTGTATTGAATTTTTTATAGAGTATATTTTAAAAAATTAAATCTACATTAAGCACCTAGCATGGTGCCTGCCACAGTAAGCCCTCAGTAAGCATCAACGATTATGCTTTCTCTCCTTTTTTTTTAAAGCAGTTTCTCCTATGGTTTTAATATTTTCAAGACATTTGGTATATACCTATTAGCATTTTACTGTGTAATTATTTTGCTTGAGGGGAGAAAAACCTTGAAATATTCACCTTTCTGTCTCTAGAGCCTAGAACACTGCCTGACACTGTAATAATCATCAAAAGCATGCATCCACTGGTTAGGAAAGCTGTTCTACATCCTCTTGTGCCACCAACCAGACCCACGCCATGGCCTGGAGCAAGTCACCTAATCCCAAATGCAAAAACAGATAATACTAGCAAGGAATGTTTAATTCTAAAATTTGTAAGATTCTGAGTCTCATCGGCGTGATGAAAAAAGAATAGAAGTTTTTTTGTTTGTTTGTTTTTTTGAGACGGAGTCTTGCTTTTGTTGCCCAGGTTGGAGTGCAGTGGCATGATCTTGGCTCACTACAACTTCCGCTTCCTGGGTTCAAGCGATTCTCCTGCCTCAGCCTCCTGAGTAGCTGGGATTAAAGGCGTGCACCACCACGCCCGGCTAATGTTTGTATTTTCAGTAGAGATGGGGTTTCGCCATGTTGGCCAAGCTGGTCTCGAACTCCTGAACTCATGATCCGCCCGCCTCGGCCTCCCAAAGTGCTGGGATTACAGGCGTGAGCCACCGTGCCCGGCCTAGAAGTTTGTTTAATCAAATCCCTGTGTTAGAGATCTCAACATTCAAATTATGTATCTAATTAATGTAGTTCTGCTTTAATATATAATGGATCTGCCAGTAACCTCAGTATCACAGGAAGTTTAAGAAATTTTAAACATTAGGACCAAAAGTACTAGATTGTTCATCTCTTACATTACTTGAAGCTTCAAAGCTTCATCTTTTAGTAGAAACTCTAGTATCTAAGAATTTTCCCAGCTTTTGCCCTTTTGGGGTTGAGATTCACATTTCATGTTTCACATGCAAAGAATATCTACATCATTATAAATATATATTTTATTTAGAATGATTCAGCTAGAAATATTGATGTAACCCAAAGTCTGTGTTACTTCCTGGCATGAATTTCATCTCTAAGGCTACTGCTCTAAAAGTAATTTTGAAGGCATAGGGTGATATAGATTCATTTTCTACATAATTTTCTTTCTTTAAGTCAGTAAATTGAATTTATTTTTAATGCTCTTGGCCAAATTGAAGTGACTTTTTTCTTTATTTGCAGAAACCTCAAATATTTGTTGTTAAGTGATCTTCCTGGAGTAAGAGAAAAAGAAAATCTTGTCCAAGCCTTTAAGACAGCACTGCCTTCTCTGGAACTAAAATTACAATTGAAGTAAAATAATGTGTCTTATTTCAGTATAAAGGATCATTTGAAACTGTTGATTCCAAACATCAACTAATATTATATAGTCATCAGTAGAATTATAAGGATGCCATATCATGACATTTTAGAAGTGGAGAGTGCATCATATGTAGAAAATAAATATTCAGACGTGGCTCATTAATGTTACTAAGTTGGAAGTGAGAATTTATGAACATTAATTCATTTTAAGAAAAGTGCAGCCAGGCGCAGTGGCTCATGCCTGTAATCCTAGCACTTTGGGAGGCCAAAGCGGGCAGATCACCTGAGGTCAGGAGTTCAAGACCAACCATGGCCAACATGGTGAAACCCCATCTCTACTAAAAAAACAAAATTAGCTGAATGTGGTGGTGCACGCCTTTAATCCCAGCTACTCTGGAGGCTGAGGCAGGAGAATCACTTGACTTGGGAGGTGGAGGTTGCAGGGACCCGAGATTGTGCCACTGCACTCCAGCCTGGGTGACAGAGCGAGACTGTCTCAAAAAAAAAAAAAAAAGAAAAATGTAAACTAGGTAACATTTTAATTCTAATATATTCATTTAATATGTAAATCTATAGATATCTCTTGATGTAGATATTTAGAATCCTTTAAAGTTATTTGTACAACAGATGTTTTTATTATAACAGTAATTTACATTTAACTTTAAAGTTAGTGAAGCATACTACCATAAATGCACAATTATGAAAAATTAGAAGCTAAATTACAGATTCATTGATGGAGTCAATTATGCAAAGTGGTCAGTGGTTGTTGAAGCATGCATTGCTTCAACAGGATTTGCGTGCATTTCCCATGATCCTGCATTCTTGTGTTCTTGATAGCATACAGACTTACTCAGAATCAACAGTTGCTGCTTAATTTGTCTATTTTGTAAGCTTAGGCTACTATTTTATTAAAACTGGACATAGATACTTGGCTGAATACAAATAGTTTTGCAGATTGCAATATAATAAAGGAAACAGTAAAAACTAGTGGGCTATGCTTAGGTTTTTCTTGAAACCTAACATTGCTTTAGGCTGGGTGCCGTGGCTCGTGCCTGTAATCCCAGTGCTTTGGGAGGCTGAGGTGGGAGGATCACTTGAGACCAGGAGTTTGAGACCAATTTGGGCAACACAGTGAGACCCCATCTCTAAAAAAATTTTAAAAATTAGGCAGGCATGGTGGTGCATACCTGTAATCTCAGATACTTGGGAGGTTGAGGTGGTAGGATTGCTTGAGCTCAGGAGTTTGAGGCTGCAGTAAGCTATGATCACGGCCACTGCACACCAGCCTGGTAGCCTGGGTGAAAGGGGGAGACCCTGTCTCTTAAAAAAAAGGGCTGGCCTGTAATCCCAGCACTTTTGAAGGCCAAGGCAGGCAGATCATTTGAGCCCAGGAGTTCAGGACGAGCCTGGGCAACATGGCAAAACCCTGTCTCTACCAAAAAATTAAAAAATAAAAAATAGCTGGGTGTAGTGGCACATGCCTGTAGTCCCAACTACTCAGGAGTCTGAGGTAGGAGGATCAGTTGAGCCCGGGAAGTCGAGGCTGCAGTGAGCCATGTTGGCACCACTGCACTCCAGCCTGGGCAACAGATTAAGACCCTGTCTCAAAAAAAAAAAAAAAAGTGAAAAATAGATAAAACAGGTCTTCATTGTTACCTGTGAGAAATGGCCCTGATTCTATTACTCTTATATGCCAGTTTGTTTATAGATTTCTGTGTGTTTGATTTGAACTTTTTTTTTTTTTTTTTTTTTTTTGAGACAGACTCTCACTCTGTTGCCCAGGTTGGAGTGCAGTGGTGTGATCTCAGTTCACTGCAACCTCTGCCTCCCGGGTTCAAGCAGTTCTCTGTCGCAGCGTCCCAGGTAGCTGGGATTACAGGCGCCCACCACCACGCCCAGCTAATTTTTGTACTTTTAGTAGAGACAGGGTTTCACCATCTTGGCCAGACTGGTCTTGAACTCCTAACCTCAGGATCCACCCGCCTCGGCCTCCCAAAGTGCTGGGAGCCACCGCGCCCAGCCTGGTTTGAACATTATTAAGCTGTTGAATATAAACTTGAAAATAATTTTCTATGATACAGCTTTCAGGTAGAAAAATGAATTTTCGTTGTGTTTAACAATGTTGTGTTTAACAGCTTATACAAATAACACAGTATAAATGGTAATTGCCACTGTCATTTTAAAAATCAGAAAATAGTAAATAAAAGGATGTGGAAGAGTCTCATGTGATACAGTGGAGATTTCATACCGAATAAAAGCATTATAAATATGGTTAAATTGAACATAAGCATAAATTTAACGGAACTCATTAGAAAAAAATAAGCCTTTTTTCTCAGGTTTGTTTCATTACTGTATGGTGAGACAACTGATTCACCACGATTTAGTCTAGAGCTACTTTTCTATTCTGAATAGTTTTTGGTAAAACTATTGGCTGAATTATTAGGCTGTTATAGTAATCTGCCTCCGTCAAGTGTATTTTCTTGGGTTAAGGAAAAAAAAATTTTTTTTTAACTATTCACGGAAGCTGGATGTTCTTCCTTGTCATTTGAATCAAGGCCGTCTAACAGGAATTGAATAATTCAGGGACTAGCATTTAACCCATATCAGGTCTAGGCAAGAAAAGACATACATTAGGAAGCCTTAGGATATCATTAAACTGCCTAGGGTAGTCAAAATTATTGAGTAGACACCAGACCTCAGTGGATTACTTAAGTAAATGGGGTCAGATGTCATCATGAAGAAAATTAACAGGAAGAAAATGAGAGTACAGAAGAAATGTTTTGAAAATAGAGTGAAATACAACTTTGAAGACCATGGCTGAGAAGTGCTAGGAATAGTGGCAGCACATCAACCAGAAATGGTGTTGAGCTGTAAGAAACAGACGTCAGGCTTCATATTGCCCTTGTGTCCAGGGGACAAGGATGAAAAAGCTTTTTGATTAAGAGCAGTAGACCAAATCAAAGCTAATTATGTCATTTTGGCCAGGCGCAGTGGCTCATGCCTGTAATGCCAGCACTTTGGAAGGCCAAGGCGCTCAGATCACGTGAGCCCAGGAGTTCAAGACCAGCCTGGGGAACATGGCAAAACCCTGCCTCTACCAAAAAATACAAAAAAATTAGCCAGTATAGTGGCACATGCCTGCAGTCCCAGCTACTTGGGAGGCTGAGGTGGCAGGTTTTATATATATATATAAAAAACACATATATATATATGTGTGTGTGTGTCATCATTTTAAGTCTCACTGTGCAAAGCTATGAGTCCTCAATACTTTGGACTACTTAGTGTAATATATTAGTTGTTAGAATAGCATATATATATATATATATATATATATACATACACATACATACACATACAAACATAGTGCAAAAAGATGTTTCAGGGAAAACATCAGTTTACAACATAATGTCTTTCATGACTCAAGTAAAAGCTCACAAGTAATTTCTTCTGAAACCCAGATCACTGAATTACAGGTTTGCCTATAGATGTACCAGGTCAAAGGCTGTGCCAGAGAGAATGAAATACTAATTATTTTCAGGCTGATAGGTTCAGTTCCTGCAAAGCCTGTAGGTCTTGCTCTACCCTTTGACTGCCTTAATCAGCTGCCGAGCTTCATGCCATTGTTTACAAGGGGAATTGGGTGAATAAATGTAGACAGATTACAGTAAATCCACGTTGCCTGCAAAAGTGACTAAGGTGTATCCTTTACTGATAAAGTAAGGATGAAATGTGGAAACATATAATTAAATTATAAATTACCAAGCTTTTGTGATAATTCATATGCTTTTAAATATTTTGAACCTAAGTGTTACCCTCAAAATGTTTTAAAATATAAAAATCAAGAAATAGAGCAAGCAGGAAATGGGATTTTAAACATTTTGATTTCAAGAAATAGAACTATCTTAAATATGATGCTGAAACAATCTGAGAGGCAGGAGATAGGACTCAGGCAACAGAGATCCGAGGAAATATATATGGGCATTTTGTGGTTCATTTTTCTTGTGTGGCATGTGGTACAACTGAAGCATAAATCTTTTTGATATCATCTAGTTTTGCCAGAGGTATGGGACAGTTCATATTCTGTCCATAAGTTCGGCTACTTACATAAACTGAAATACAAGTGCAACTCCAAACAGGTTTTTTCTTTTCTGGACACCATCATCAAGCATGGAAGACTGGATCTGGAATTTCCCTTCATATCTTGCCAGTTGGCCTCCCAGTTTCTTGCTTATGTTTTCTCCTGGTGTGTTTTCAACATTGTAATTGTTTTCAATCAACTGTATAAGTTTTATTTTCTTCAAAGCATCTATTGATTCCTTTTTTAAAATCATGTCTCCTAGCTCCTTTAAATGTTTGGAAAACGGTAGTTAAGTTTCTTGGTATCACAGTAGTACTTCTTATTATCCAAAGCTGGAAGGATGCTGCTGCCAGTTAGCTGGGGTAGGTACTGCAACTAAAAATGCAAAACACAGAATTAGGTTCAAAACTGTGCCATGCATTTTTTTCATTATTTAGAATATATCACAAAAGAGGTAATTAAGCTTTTTAGTATAGAAGTACTTTTTTTGCACACAATCCAGGACTTGAGAGAGGATTAAATGTTTCAATTTCGTCTTGGCTTTTCCTTTTAAATGTTTATATTAAAAAGGAAAAACATTCACATTAAAGAAGATTTAGAGAATATGAAAAGGGGAAAATCTACATGTTAACATTATTGGGAAGAAAACATAGATTTACAGGAGTTGAGAGCTTGCTGAGATCTTAGGGATCATTTAAGCCAATGCCTTGTCTTATAGCGGAGAAAACTGATAAACAGAGCACCTAGGCAATTTGCCTACTCACTCTCTTCCCTTAGTTAAAAAGGCAAATCAAGCATGGCACAGTGTACACTTGTAGTTCCAGCTACAAGGGAGGCTGAGTGGGAGCATCCCTTGAGCCCAGGAGAGCAGCCTGGGCAACATAGCAAGATCCCCATCTCTAAAGAAAAAAGACAAACTGCTTCCTTCAAGCTTCCTGAAAATGTTTGAATTTATTGTCAATGTCAAATGAAAGAACACACCTGTATTTTTTGTATTGCACTATATGTCCTTCGGTATCCCTAAAAAGGGAACTGTTTAGTACTTTTACTTTCTAGAAAAAAATTTTTCAGCCATTGTCCTCAGAAAAGTGCTTTTTAGTACTTTTAAATCAGTTGATTCTTTCAGGATTTAAAAGCAGTACACCAGGCCAGGTGCGGTGGCTCATGCCTGTAATCCCAGCACTTTGGGAGGCCAAGGCGGATGGATCACCTGAGGTCAGGAGTCGAGACCAGCCTGCCAACATGGCGAAACCCTGTCTCTACTAAAAATATAGAAATTAGTTAGGCATACTGGCACATGCCTGTAATCCCAGCTACTGGGGAGGCTGAGGCAGGAGACTCACTTGAACCTGGGAGGCAGAGGTTGCAGTGAGCCAAGATCATACCACTGCACTCTAGCCTGAGCGACAGAGTGAGACTCAGTCTCAAAAAAAATCAATACACCAAATAGTGGAGTTTCCCTATTTTTTCAAATAGAAATATTTCCATCAAAACCTTTTGCTCTCGAATACAAACTAATACTGAGATAAGGAATAATTCTGGCGTGGGGGTGGAGGAGTCTGTTTCTGGCCTGTTGTGCTACCTGGGTCACATATGATGGAGAATAAAACATTAATTTTGTAACTGTGATCTACATTAGGGCCCTGGAGTTCATGCTGTACTTGTTCCTCATGGACCTTTTTCACCCTTTTCCCTCCTCCCAGCCTCATACACAACACACCCTGGTACCATTCAGCATGCTGGGCAGTGGAAGCTGCAAAGAGAAAGACTAAGGCAAGATAATGTATAGCTTAAGGAGTACCTAGGTAGATCCTGAGGTTACCCAGGATCAGTTGTGGTTCCAACTACAGTTCATTCTAAATTATTACAGCTTTTGGCTTATCACAAGATGCTTAATGTAAGGCCATTTTATACCAATCAGGATTCTTCACAGTCTCCCAGTGTGCAGTTTGGATGCTGTTCTCTGGTTAAATGTATTCAGCTGATACCACCAAAAGCACTCATCACTGTATTTGCCCTAGCCAACTCTGACAAAGGATCAGGGAGGAAAACAGCTCCTTTTTTGGACAAACCTGGAGTGTTAGTTTTAATACTAAAAGTGTACATGATGACACAGAACTGCATGGGGAAAATCTGATTTCATTTTCCAAAGCCCAAAAAGTCTCCTTAGCTGGACTCATACTCATGTACCTTGTTGAGACCTGTGCTCATGCAGGCTGGAAACCCTGGCCCCTGTGTGGCATCAGGAAGCAGCAGGACAAGGGCACCTTTAGGATTCAGGGAGAGGGGGCTTCAGGAGACAGATGTCCCTGGGGCCCTGGTTGATAGATCCTATGACCTGTCTCCTAGTGCTGGAATGAGGATGCTGGAGCTGAAAGCCACAACTGCCATCCTCAAGTCTAGATTCCAACTCTCTGTACCAGGTGGCAGGTAGGAGATCATTTCAAATTATAACCTTGGATGTTTCTGTAAAGCAGTGGTGCTTTCGGCTCTTTCTTAGGGTCTTCCTTGTTGGTTTGTTGTGTTCTTTTGCCAAATCCTCTATTTCTCTGATGTTTTCAAAATATGGGTGATGCAACAGCTGTTCACATGTCAGCCTTTGAGTAGGGTCCATGTGGAGACAGCCCTAAAAGAACAGAAAATTCCTTCTTCTTACTTCTTCAAAATTGTATTAACTTATTAATGTCATTTTTTTCTTCTTTGAAAGATGAAACTTCAGTTGCAATAAGAAGGGGGAAAAGGCAGGAAAACACACCAGTCATGATTTTAGTTCCTTCCAGTCATTCCTAAATGGCACTCACATATTAAATAAATAGTTTCTAGAAGTAGTAATGAAAAATCATTTTCTCCACCTTATTCTGTTCTTGAAGCAATTGGTACTCTGCCCTGGGAGAGTAAGATATAATTTTAGAGTTTACCTCAGTGGCCAAATGGGGTAATCCATTTAGCCAGTTTGGTCCCTTGCATGTACTTTGTAAAAACTAGTGTTTTTATTTTAAAAATGATATTTACACATGATAACAAATACAGTTAATACAGCATACAGCAAAGTCTCCACCACTGTAGGTGTTCCCTTCACCCTTCTAAAATCAGCTACTTTTTTTTTTTTTTTTTTTTGGTGTATCCCTCCAGAAATAGTTGATGCATTATAAGTATATATGATCATGTATATAAGGAGAGGCATAACGTACATGCCTTTATATTACATCATTCTTAACTATTTTTGTTGCAACTAAGTAGGCCATGGAGCTCATTCTTGGATAGATTAGATTAAATTTCACAACTACATACTCCAAGGAATTGACTCAGTTTTTGTTGGTTATGTCAGAGGTGTTGAAACCACAGCAACACCATCTTGAATAGGGGCTGGGTAAAATAAGGCTGAGACCTACTGGGCTGCATTCCCAGGAGGTTTGGCATTGTTACTCACAGGATGAGATAGCAGGTCGGCACAAAATATAGGTCACAATGACCTGATGATAAAACAGGATGCAGTAAAGAAGCCGGCCAAAACCAAGATGGTGATGAAAGTGATGTCTGGTTGTCCTCACTCCTCGTTGTACACTAATTATAATGTGTTAGCATGCTAAAAGACACTTTCACCAGCACCATGACAGTCTACAAATACCCATAGCAATGCCCAGAAGTTACCCTAAATAGTCTAAAAAGGGGAGGAACCCTCAGTTCCAGAAAATCCCTGCCCTCTCCTGGAAAACTCATAAACCACCCCTTGTTTAGCATATAATCAAGAAATAACTGTAAGTATACTCAGTTGAGCAGCCCACAGCACTGCTGCCTATAGAGTAGCCATTCTTTTATTCCTTTACTTTGTTAATAAATTTGCTTCCACTTTACTGTGTGGACACGCCCTGAATTCTTTCTTGCATGAGGTCCAAGAACCTTCCTTTGGGGTCCGGATTGGGACCCCTTTCAGGTAACAGTTACATTATCATTTATATTAACTCATTATTTAATACATCAGTAAATAAATAATTTTTAAACCATGTGGGACATTGACTGTAACTTGCAAACATTTTAGTTGATACCATACCTCATTTTACATAAGAGCTATATTTCTAAATATATATATATATAAATATATATATCAAGTTTTTAAATGTACTTCAAATGTACCAGGGAGTTAGCTATTTAAAAGGATCCTGCAGCTAAGGATTTTCTGAAGAAAAAGTTCCCTTTGTAAAACAATCACCACCCCCCTGAAATTTCTGTTTTGTGTAAATTTAGACTTCAAATATAATGTTAGGTTTATTTAAAGTGGAAAATACTTGCAAATGTTTTCTTAATAGGATGTGATCCATTTAAAAAAATTGAAAATATACTTTTCCAAGGAGAATTTTTTTTTTTTTTGAGACGGAGTCTTACTCTGTCACCCAAGCTGGAGTGCAGTCGTGCAATCTCAACTCACTGCAACCTCCGCCTCCCAGGCTCAAGCAATTCTCCCGCCTCACCCTCCTGAGTAGTCGGGATTACAGGCGAGCGCCACCACGCCTAATTTTTTTTATTTTTAGTAGAGACGGTTTCACCATGTTGACCAGGCTGGTTTTGAACTGACCTCAGGTGATCTGCCTGCCTTGGCCTCCCAAAGTGCTAGGATTACAGGTGTGAGCCACTGCCCAGCCAGGAGAAGAATTCTAAAAGGAACACTTTTCATTGCATGGATTGACATAAGTAATTCAGATTCCCCAGTGATGACAACTGCTGTGTGCTTCCTGGTCTGTTGGAAGCCATGATTTTTACCTTTAGGAGCCCCAGGGCAGGATAAGAGATGTTTGGGAATTTTAATTCAAGTGGTTCCTGTTGAAAAGAAAAGAGGTTTTTAATTTACAGCATGTATTCAAATTAAGGTTACCTCAAATTAAATCTTTTGATAGAAACATTTTCCTGGCACCTTCCTCACGTCCTCCACCCTTTGCCCACCCAACCTCCTGCCCAAAACAGTCTCCCTTTGCCTTTTTCACAAGCTTTCTCTCCCCACCTCCAAATCGCTTTTCCAAATTTGCTTCGTAACTACTCCCTTAACTTCCTGCTCTGATACCAATGGAGATAGCAAATTATAAATAAAAATACTAATGAAAAAAAACTTTTCTGAGCAGTTTTTTTTTTGAGGGGGTGGGGGGGCTCAAGTTATATAACTTGCCTTTCCTGAGAATAATTTTTGGCATTTATAGTGTGATTTATAAAAAGGTAGCTGGCTGGGTGCGGTGGCTCATGCCTATAATCCACTCAGGCCAAGTCTGATGGCTTGAGCCCAGGAATTTGAGACCAGCCTGGGCAACATGATGAAACCCTGTCTGTCTCTCTAAAAAAAATACCAAAAAACTAGCTGGGGGTGGTGGTGTGCGCCTCTAGTACTAGCTACTTGGGAGGCTAAGGCGGGAGGATGGCGTGGGTTTGGGAGATTGAGGCTGCAGTAAGCCATAAATGTGCCACTGCACTCCAGCATGGGCGACAGAGCAAGACCCTGTCTCAAAAAAAAAAAAAAAAAAAAAAAAAGGCAGCTCTAATTCTAATTATATAAAGGGAGCTGCAAAATAGATGTTTTTCCCCTACCCAGGTGAACAGATGCTTCTTGATTTTCTGGAATAAACACTGTTGTCTCCTCCCACTAGGGCCTGCTGCTTCCCTTCTCAGCCTGCTGTTTAAACAGTCTCCTGTGGGGCATTCGTCAATCTCCTTTTGGCCGTATAAGGCGATTTTGCGCCAGTCACGTGCTGGAGACAATCAGGAATAACACTATAAATGGGAGGAATGCCGAATGTCAGGCAGACAAACAGGCCAGTTAAAGAGACATACCACTGACAAAGGCTAATTGAGCAGAGAGGCTGAGAAAATAAGAGCCAGCCAAGCTGAGCAAAATAAGTGACTGCAGTGCATTGTGTGTATAAAAGTGGCAGTGTGTGAGCTGCCGACTGGAGTGACTGGCCAGGCTCATCTAATCAAACAGTCCTGGTGCTGTGGCCAGCTTTCACAGTACAGTATTATTTTGGACAGGCAACCAGCTCCCAATAACCAATTCTGGATTGTACACATACTAATCATTGATAAGAGTAGGAGAGAAGAGCCTCTGTTTCAGAGTTCCCTATGTCAACAGGAGAAAAAAAAAATCCTAAAGTAGGTTTGTATTAGCCCTTGACAGTAGCCCCTGTTGCACCCTCATACTTCCACTCATGCTCCATAGCTTAAATATTTCTCTTGTTCTTTCTGTCGGTTGAATCTGAGCATCACTGGGGTTTGACGTGCCATTGCTATATCATCGAGCTCTGCTGTCTCAGCAACAATGTCTGGATGAGGCCAACTGGTTGCCTGTGATACGCTGGAGCCCATCTGTGAGCGTTTCACAGCCCCAGAAGCAAGCAGGCCTCCCTCTGTCAGGGTTACTGACAGGCAGAGGGACTGGGGCACAGATGTTCAACCAGTGCAGCCCCCGCACTGCCTCTTCCTGTGTTTCTGTCAACAGGAAATCTGCAGGACAATCTCTGGGAAGCCATGGGAAGCTTCTTACATTTATGAAACCTGGGTTATTTCTGAGGCTTCACCAACAGACAAGTGAACAGGAAATCACTAGGGATATTTAGTGCACAACTGGGAATGTCCAGATCACAAGGAAGCCAGATGGGTCACCTCCCATATGTCAGGTGTCATTCCTGCCCCTCCGTCCCAGCAAGACCCACTTTGAATGCTAGTGCTACAGGAGGAAGAGGCAGTGGAGAAGCAGAAACCTTCATTGTGGGACAAGCCAAGAGGTTAGGGAACAAACAAAACACAAGTGGTAGAGACAGAACTTCCATCTGAAAACTGAAGGGTTTAGTGAGAAACTGGAGGGTTAGTTTCATTTTTAAGATACCTTCCTCAGTAGAAACTCAAGATTTCACAGACCTTAATTATGCTCTGAAATGTTTTTGATTACAATACAGGCTCATTAGAAGACATTCAAAAATATAAAAAATCATAAAGTTACCCCAAAATCCCACCCAAAAGAGATATCCACTCTTAGTATTTTGATATATATCCTTGCAGCCATTTATTTCACAAATGTAAAAAAAAAAAGCTTTGTGATTTCCCAGATGTTGTCACATTATTTTGTATTTATATATGTAAATATATGTATATATGCATTGTGTGCATATTACATTTTTATTAAAACTTTGTCAAATTATACATACTGGTTTTTTTGTTTGTTTTGTTTTTGTTTTTGTTTTGAGACGGAATCTGGCCCTGTTGCCCAGGCTGGAGTGTACTGACGTGATCTCGGCTCACTGCAACCTCCACCTCCCAAGGTCAAGCCGTCTTCCCACCTCAGCCTCCCAAGTAGCTGGGACTACAGGTGTGTGCCACCGTGCCTGGCTAATTTTTGTATTTTTAGTAGAGACAGGGTTTCATCATGTTGCCTAGGCTGGTCTCGAACTCCTGGGCTCAAGCGATCCACCTGCCTCGGCCTCCCAAAGTGCTGGGATTACAGGCGTGAGCCACCATGCCCAGCCTACACTGTTTTATAACCGTCTTTTTTTTTTTTTTTTAACTACATGGTATTTCTTATTTTTAGAGACAGAGTTTTGCTCTGTCACCCAGGTTGGAATGCAGTGGCATGATCATAGTTTACTGTAACCTCAAACTCCTGGGCTCAAGTGATTCTCCTGCCTCAGCCTCCCAAGTAGCTGGAGCTATAGGCATGTGTCTCCAACCCCAGTTAGTTTTAAAAATATTTTGTAGAGACAGGGTCTTGCTATGTTGCCCAGGCTGGTCTAGACCTCCTGTGCTCAAGCAATATTTCACCTCAGTTGTCTCCTGAGTTGCTAGAATTATAGGTGTGGGCCACCGCACCTGGCTCTGTATGGTATTTCTTTTTTTTCTTTCTTTTTTTTTTTTTTTGGTTCGGAGACAGGGTCTTACTCCTGTCGCCCAGGCTAGAGTGCAGCGATCTCAGGTCACTGCGGCCTCAACTTCCTAAGCTCAGGTGATCCTCTCACCTCAGCCTCCTGAGTAGCTGTGACTACAGGTGCGTGCCACCATGCTAGGCCAACTTTTTGTATTTTAGTAGAGACAGAGTTTTGTCTTGTTGCCCGTGCTGGTCTCGAGCCCCTGATCCACCTGCCTCAGCCTCCCAAAATGCTGGGATTACAGGCATGAGCACACCTGGCCTGATGAGGTATTTCTATTGTAAGGATGTACCATACATAATCCCCTACTGATGGAATACTAAAGGAAATAATTTCTATTAAATAATGCCACATCTTTATGCTCTTGGATTATGGTTTCACAGGAATAAATTGTTGGAAGTGGATTAGGGGTATAAACATTTCAAATTTTTCTGCTTTTAAAAAATGGGCTTCCCCCATTTGGGTTGGCCATAATAGAGGGTAAGCACCAGAGTAAGGCTGGCTAAGGAAGTTTTTATTTATTTATTTATTTTGGAAAGAGTCTTGCTCTGTCGCCCACCCAGGCTGGAGTACAGTGGTGTGGTGCAATATCGGCTCACTGCAACCTCCACCTCCTGGGCTCAAGCAATTCTCCTGCCTCAGCCTCCTGAGTAGCTGGGATTACAGTCATGTGCCACCATGCCTGGCTAATTTTTGTAATTTTAGTAGAGACAGTGTTTCATCATGTTGGCCAGGCTGGTCTGGAACTCCTGACCTCAGGTGAGGTCTCCTGCCCATCTCGGCCTCCCCAAAGTACCAGGATTATAGCGTGAACCATTGCACCCAGCCCAAGGAAGTTCATTATGATTTTTCCCATGGTCTGGAGACCATGGGCATAGTAGAGTAGGGAATTTGGACAATGCTGGGGAAAAACTAGTTAACTTTACCTTGATAGGTCTAGGTCTAAAAGTTGGTTGGCTCTAAGCTACCTAGGTTCAACTGCTAAGAAATGATAAAGGACAGGTGTGGCTCCAGCAGGCAGGCAGCGCTGCCTTCCTATGCAACAGGCTGGCTAGACTCTGTTATCAGCAGCCTCTAAATGAGCAGTAAGGCTAAAGTCTCGCTAGCCAATTTGCTCCAATTTTCTTTTTCTCTGTTAGACTGACCTCCAATGCAGGGTGAGCCATGGGGCTCAGGAGGTGAATAACAACCAAAGCCTAGCTAGCCTGGCCTACAGAGCTCTCTCCAAAATGGGTAACTCACCATATCTTCAGGGTCTGGAATTTTCACTCCACTGAAGTACTGATTCGTGCTAAACACTTGCTGGTGCCTAGGAATGAGATCCCCTTTGGACAAGAAAAGAAAAAGGTAAGTGAAATTGGTTAGCAAACACTGATCTATGGTTTTCTTCCATCAATGCTGTGTTTGTCTGTGCCCATATGCATGGACACTGCAGTGTTCTTGGGCAATCAGAAGGAGAGGCATTCAGGCAACCCACAGCAACCTGTATTGATCCCTACGGTGGACAGCACACTGTGTTAGGCACAGAGGAGGCAAGCAACAGAAACTGAGGGCTACAAGCTTCTTGCTCTCAGGTTCTTGTTCTCAGAGCCTACAGTGTACTGAAGGAACCCAAACCAAACAACTCAGAAGCACATGCACACAAATAAAATAATGCCTTTTAAAAAACAGCAAAACGGCAACAACCACAAATCAAAATCATATTAACTGAATCCTGATAGGTGAAGATAAAATTTTATTGCCCTAGCACTTATAACAGTGTCTAACATAGAGCAAGCACTCAATAAATATTTGAAGAAGGAAGAGAGGGAGGGAGGAAGAGAGGGAGGGAGGGAGGGGAGGGGAGGGGAAGGGAAGGAAGGAAGAAATCACGGATTTTCTAGCTAGAAGGAATACATTTCCACATTGGGACCATCTTTTCTTATTTCACCAGTTAGCAATCACATGGAAATCCCATTTCATCTACTGTTTAGAAGCACTTACAATGTGACATAATGAAACAAGAAGAGTATTTCTATATTTTAGGGGACTCTAGGAAGCTCCTCCTGCCCACATTTCCATCACATCAGCTAAAATCCCCTTTATGTAAAATTCTATATTACACTTGAAGAGGGATTTTGTTCAGAGAATATAGGGAGATACTCAAAGGTGTTCTCCTGGGGCACAACCAGGCCCATTTCCCAGAGCACTGTGGGAGTTCCTACTCCAGGGTATCAAATTATTACTGATGCATCCTAGAAATTTACCTCTCACTCAAATGCAAAAACTGCTGCCTCGCCTCATTTTGGGTGAGCAACCAAGATATACCCTCAATGCCTTGTCCCAGATCTCAGTGAGCAGCATCATGAGCACAATTCCTTGCACCTTAATAACCTTCTTCCTCCAGTGCCAGAGGGGTGACATGGGGAGGCTGTCCTAAAATCACTAGAGGAAACACAGCCAAGAAAGGCTGAGTGCCCCTGGAAGGCCTACAAAGCGCCTTCCATGTCACCCAACAAAGTCAAGCTATCAGCAAACATTTATTGCCTACAATGTGCAGACACTGGTGGAGGGTAAGTAGAAATATAAGACGTGGTCTCACCATCAGGAAGTTTACAGTATCTTTGGGAAGATAAGATTACAAGGGAAGGCATGGCGATGGCAGTTCCTACAAGAGTTTAGAGGAGGAAAAGTTTACCTTAAACTGCGATACTCAGGCGAGTAGTGTCTAAACTCCCTGACTTTGGAAGAGGGCAATCACTACTGATGGGTTTTTTTTTCTCATCTTCCCTCCCTTCTCCCCTGCCCTTCCCCTCCGCCTCCAAGGGTAGAGAGAAAGGAAAGGGCACTGGGGTGGGAAAGCAAGACGGACTGAGTGACATTACAACTAGCTTTCCTCCTGACACTTAGAAGGTTGGGAATCATTCTCCATAGAGTCTGAATAATCCAAACTAGTCAGGCAGGCTGGGATTAAGGACATCCAAATGGATTACCCCATCGTCATAAACAAGGTAAACCATGAAAGCATTCTGTAAACTGCTAAGCCCTTACAGAAATGTGAGTTTTTATTGTTGTTATTGTCATTATTAATGTTTTAACTTGATCCAAACTGCTCAAGAATCTTGGGTTGTTTTTGGACAATGAGTAAGTACTCAATAATTGTTAACTATTTTAATTAAAACAAATATGGCCACCTTTAATGGAGTCATTTAAATGAGGCTTCGAGTTTTCCTCTTTCCTAACTAATGCCTTAAAGGGCATTAGGTGAGACTGAGAACTTGGCTCTGCCCTGCCCCAACCTGGGGAAATATCCAGTTTTCCAAAAGGTGGGACAAAAACACCACTTACCCAAGGTCTTCCTAATCAGATACAGCTGATCCACATCCGATTTTCCTGGCCACAGAGGCACTCCTGACAGCAGCTCAGCAAAGACACAGCCAATTGCCCAAACATCCACCGGGGGGCCGTACTGCGTGTCCCCCACCAGCAGCTCAGGGGAGCGGTACCACCTGGTAGCCACGTAGTCTGTATAGTAGTCACTCGGTCCAGCTAGCCAGTGATGGAACATGGAAAACAAACAGCAGCGGAAGGCTGGAATCAAAACTGAGGGGGAGATCTCAGAAGTCAAGCCTGTGCCCAATTTTGTGGCCTTTCTATATCGCTGGTTCTCAATTCTAGTTGCACATTCAAATCACTTAAATAAATATTTTGTAAATTACTGATGCTCAAGCCACACTCCAGTCCAATTAAAACAGAATCCCTGGGGAGGGTCTGGGGGGGGGGGGGGGGTTATTTGGCTTAGAATTTAAAGTTCCCTGGGCACAGCGGCTCACACTTGTAATCCCAGCACTTTGGGAGGCCGAGGTAGGTGGTTTGCTTCAGCCCAGGAGTTCGAGACCAGCCTGGGCAATGTGGTGAAACCCCGTCTCTACAAAAAAAATACAAAACTTAGCCAGGTGTGGTGGCTCATGCCTGTAGTCCCAGCAATTCAGGAGGCTGAGGTGGGAGGATCACCTGAACTGGGGAGGTCGAGACTGTGGTGGGCTGTGACTGTGCCACTGCACTCCAGCCTGGGCAACAGAGTGAGACCCTGTCTCAAAAAAAAAAAAAAAAAGTTCCCCAGGTGATTCTAATCTGCCTCCAAGGTTGAAAGCCACTATTCTAAAGTAGCACTTCTGAAAAGTATTTTAGCAAGAAATGGTAGAAATCAGGGAGGTAAGATACTTTTTAATAACTACTTTACTGTGGTATAATTTATGGATAGCATACATAGGTAAACCATTGTATTATCTACACATTTTCGGTAATTACAAAATTATAATTTATAGCACACTTATGCCCTAAATATACAAGTACTATCTTGTATACTTCTAGAGCATTTAGATCCTTTGTTGTATCAAGAACTTTTTCATTTTTTATACTTAACAAAAGAAAATGTCAATACTCACTCAAAAGCCGAGCAAATCCAAAGTCACAAAGCTTAATCACGGAATGTTTCGTGATGAGGATATTTTCTGGCTTCACGTCTCTATGTATGCACTAGTGTAACAAATCAAAACAAAAACAATATTAAGGCTGAACTATATATGGGATAAATGAAACACATGACTATTTAGCAAATATTGGATAAATCATTTAAATCTCTCCTTGGCCTGTTGGACAACAGCAAAAGAGCAGCCTAAAATAAATCTAGTACCATGCCTGTCAGAGCCTGAATCATCCCAAATTCCTAAAAGGCCCAAAAGAGCCAAGAAGAGTGAAAGGAAAATGAAAGTAGGGTAGCCGGTCTTAGCAGAGAAAAATACAGGACACCCAGTTAAATTTGAATTTCAGATAAACAAATAATTTTTTTAGGATAATACATCCCATGAAGCACTTGGGATGTACTTATACTAAAAGTTATGCTTGTTTATCTGAAATTCAAATTTAACAGGGTGTCCTGTATTTAATCTGACAGTTTTAGGTGAAAGGGAAAATGTTGAAAGGTCCGGGTGAGGCTGCATCATGGTTGCAGGAGCTGCAAATTGGTGCATAAGCAGAATTCACAATTCAGTTGTTTAACTGTGAACAGAACACAGTCAGCCTCGTAAACAGGACAAGCCCTGGGCCTGCTGAGATAAGCTGGGAAGAGAAGGGTGGCAACCACAGCTTGCCAAGAGATTTCCCTTCCAGCTCTGACATTCATCCGGACAAGATAAACAAGAGTAGGCAGCAGCCCTCACCCTCTGGGGAGAGTCGCTAGATGTCAGCTCTGTCCCACACACAAGTGCTCTGAGAGCTGCAGCCACCCCTCGAGATGCGGCCCCCCCTCCAGAATTTAGACTCAAATCACCTGTGGTTTCCAGCCCACAGCCAACATTCTTAAACAGGGTGATCTTAGAGAAAAGAACGTTTGAGAATCTTCACATGATTTTCTCATTAAATGACAATTTCTTTGGCAAAGAACAAATCAACAACCTAATTAAGAGTTACTTTTTTTTTTTTTTTTTTTGAGTTGGGTCAAAATACTGCTCAGGGTCCCTAATAATCTTCCTCTTTCCCAAGTGTTTTCCTCTTAGGAGGAGAATGCTAGATCGTTTGCAACCTGAGAGACCCTCTTTGGCCTGCAGCCTGAAACCCTGGGGTTATTCTTAAGAATCTGGAGAGGACTTGGGTTCTTCTTGGGCATGACCAGTTCTCACTCCAAAGGACCTTCAGGATGAGAGATCAGTGTCAATGTTTCCCCATGGGTATTTATTATTCTGGAAAATTTGGGGTAAATAAAACAACTTTGGGATTTTATTATAATCGATCTGGTTCTTAGCAATTAACATCCTGAGATCTCTATTCTTTTTACCACTGGCTTCACATATTGCTATAAATGGGTACACCATGAATATCATGATGACATATGGTCAGAAGTACTTGTAAGCAAGCATGTGCTCCTATTCTGTTCTGGGAATTCTTTACAAGTTTCTGCACCCACCCCCATCAGCACATGGAGCCAAACAGGGTGTCTGGGGCTCTCCAGGGAACTGTGGTATGCATTATATTTGTTTTTAGCATCCCAGATCTGCCCTACCAGGGTCTTGGTGCAGTCTCTCTTGCTCCCCCATCCTAAAACCTGCTCTTGAAAGAGTGGTAAGTCATAGTAACTAACAATATGGGTGTCCACTCTCCCCTGTGTATTACAAGGATTATAGCCTTTAGCTAGTTGGAGGCTCCTCAGGGAGAAGTGCTGTCTACTCTCATACTTCCTCCTTCCGGGAATGCAGCATCAGGAAAAATCATTTGGAACAATATAAAGAAGGAGATTTAGCCCTACCACCTAAATTGACCCTGGCAGTTGAGTAAGATAAAACATTGCAGTGAAATTGCACTCATGGCCAAAACGAAGCTCTAACTTTGGAATCTGGTTTCTATGCACAGTGGGCAGTATTGTATTGGATGGGGCAGCAGGCTTCCCAGCATCTGTGAAGTCACGTCACCTGGGCAATAGTCTACTATGCCTCTACCAGCCGCCTGTGGCCAGGAGTGTCACAGGCTTTCGATAGGTTGCTTGGTTCGAGACTCGACACTCATATCTCACCAAAGCAGACACTGGCACTTTGCACTGGGTTTGGGGTTCCACCTACTGCAACTGACATACTGCAGCTAAGCAGGCATGAATCACCTGGGGTTTTCCCCAATTTCATAGCCTTTTGGGAGTACAAGACCACATAGACTCCAAGTGAATGGGGTTCTACCTTAAATCTGAGTAGTTTCTAAGCAGTATAAATGTATGACTAATTTTTTGTTCTTTGTGGTTTTTTTTTTTTTTTTTTTGAGACAGGGTCTCATTCTGTCATCCAGGTTGGAGTACAGTGGCATGATCTTGACTCACTGCAGCCTCGACCTCCCCAGCTCAAGTGATCCTTCCACCTCAGCCTCCTGAGTAGCCAGGACCACAGGCACACACCACCGCACCCAGTTCATTTTTTTTTATTTTCTGTAGAGACAGGGTTTTGCCATGTTGTCCAGGCTGGTCTTGAACTCCTGGGCTCAAGTGATCTGCCTACCTTGGCCTCCCAAAGTCCTGGGATTACATGCAGGAGCCACCATGCCTGGCACTAGTTTCTTAAAATCATAAAAATGCATGTTTTATATAACCTGAGCAAGAAGGAATAGCTAGGTTGGCATTTTTAGCCTATACTTACCCAACCAGGCTTATGAAGATTTGGGTAAAAAATTTTACCCACAGAAGTGTGACATAAACTTTGTACAAGGCTCCACCTCAGCTTAAGGGGAGCCTTGTTGCTTTTCAAAAGAGATCATGAGACTTACATTGTGTTTATGGCAAAAATTTACAGCTTGCAGTGTCTGCCAAGTTATGCTCTTCACGAGATGTTCTGGTACCCTAATAAAAATAAAGCAGCACAAACACATTCTTTAGTGTAGCCATGGAATTCAGCTCAAGAAAAGAAAAAATAAACGAAGATAGGCTTTAGTAGTGAAAAATCTTAGGTGACACATAGTCATCTTACTCATCAATCATTCCATGAATCCAAAATGTAAAAATATGCGACCAGCACACCGCTGAAGTCTAGGGAGAACAGGTTAACAAAAATGCAAACATCTACTTCTTTGGTAAGGACATGAAAACCTACAGGGATTTCAACAAGTATTTATAACCACCTATCTCAAACATCTGTGACACCACTGGGAAACTGCCTGGTAACTTAAGCTCCATTTTCACAAGGAATTTTTTATTGATGTAAAGTTAAGTTACTATTCAGCACAAAAGATGCTGTTTATTTTCTCAAGTTGCCCCAAACAGACAGCCTTGAAGCAGGACTCATCTTCCATGTGTGGGCATGTGGTCTCTCAGAGCAGCATTGCTGTTGTTTGTTTGGTTTTTTAGATAATGAAGACTTTACTGATTATAGCAAAGAGCTTTACATTGCAAACCATTCTATTTGTTTTTTAGCATCCCAGATCTGCCCTACCAGGGTCTTGATGCAGTCTCTCTTGCTCCCCCATCGTAAATTGTTATTAAATGTTAATAATAATTTAAAAACCTGAGGCATCCTGGTTCTTTCCCTATGCTGCCATGGCAGCCAGCTGCAGCCCAGGTACATCTTTCTACTCTCTCCTCCATCACCACAGCTAAACTTCAAGCCACTGCTCCCAGTACTTCTTCCCTGACTCACATCTTTTATTACCAGGGCAACCAGTAGTTCCAGCAGGTACTTTGTGTGAATTAGAAAGAGGCATCTCGCCTGGAAACATTTAAAACAACAACAAACCAAGGCAGGGAGTGTAAGAAACGAACCACAGAGAGAGTGCATTTATTTTCTGAGACCCCAACCCACTGGCTGGACTTACTGTTTTGATAAACATTCCACAGTGTTGCTGTGGTCCTCAGCCAAAACGAATAAGTAAATCAGGGAGGAAGCTCTTGAGTAGCTGTGTTAAGGGGACTACAAAAAGTCACTTGTAGCCTCTGAGAGAGGCTACAAGGCCACTGTTGTCACAGGCCAGACGTTCAGGAAATCCTTTCAAGCAGATCAGGGGGTGTTTGAACAGAGAGTGGGATCACATGAAGGAAAGGAAGAGGCCACTTCCAGGAAGGCTAGTTGGGACATTGCTGGACCAGGTCTATGTCCCTGTGTTTGAAGTTGCTTCTCTCCAAATTCTCTTTTCCTTGTTTGAGCGGCATATAGGCATAGATGCTAGAAAAAGTCACTGTCGAGAAAAAAGGCTTAGAAAAATGCAACTAAGATGAGACATTAGGGGGAATGCTTTTCCCCAGCCTCCACTTTTAATTTTTTTTTTTTAGGGTCAGGGTCTTGCTGTGCTGCCCAGGCTGGAGGCAGTGGTGCTATCATAGCTCACTGAACTTTGGACTCCTGGACTTAAGGGATCCTCCTGCCTCAGCCTTCCCAGTAGCCTCTACATTTTGTCCAGAAAAATGGAATATATTTTGATTATTCAATAAATTAAATTTTTGGTTTTTTTTTTTTTTTTGAGATGGAGTCTTGCTCTGTCACCCAGGCTAAAGTGCAGTGGTACAATCTCAGCTCACTGCAAACTCTGCCTCCCAGGTTCAAGCGATTCTCCTGCCTCAGCCTCCAGTAGCTGGGATTACAGGTGTGTGCCACCACACTCAGCTAATTTTTGTATTTTTAGTAGAGACAGAGTTTCACCATGTTGACCAGGCTGGTCTCAAACCCCAGACCTCAAGTGATACGCCCACCTCAGCCTCCCAAAGTGCTGGGATTACAGGTGTGAACCACCATGCCCGGCCTGCAAATTAAGTATTAATATAGGGTTACCAGTACCAGGCAACTTTAGTTCCTACAAACATTTCCCCAAATAAATTATATAAAAGGAGCATATAAAAGTAAATTATAGTTGCATATCATTATTGCTCCTTTAATCCCCAGCACAGCTAATCCCCAGAATTACAAAACTCTCAAATGTAAAAACTCTGTACAAACTACTTAGTGCCATCTTGAACTGGCTACTCACTTCACTTCTTTACTCAGTTTCTTTTCTGTAATGCAGAGGCCTCAGACTCTGAGATCCCTTTTAGCTGAAACACTCATAATAAGAGGGGCCAGTTTTTCACTGTTGGAGAAGGGAGTTACAACTATAAAAAGGGGAAAAATAGATAGAATATATTCTGTGGTGTTGGATTTAGAGAGAGAGAGAGAGAGACAGCGTGAGAGTGCTGTGCTAGAAGGGGTTGATCACCTTATATAGGATGGCCCAGAAAGGTTCTCTGGTTAAGGGAACATCTAAAATAGTGGTTAAGTGGTGAGAAGTGGCCAGATTTGGGCTATATTTTTAAAATAGAGCTTCCAGGATTTTCTGAGGGATTGGATGTGGGAGAAAGAGAAGAATCAAGGAATGACATCAGGTTTTTAGCTTGAGTAACTGGTACACAGTGGTGCCTTTTACTCAGGAGAACACTGGAGGGGAAACTGGTTTGGGGGAAGGGAATGCTTACTGGACACCCAAAGGAAGACTGTGAGTCAGCAATTCTACATTCAGAAGGAAGGTCAGGCTGGAAATATGAGTTTGAGAAGCATAGCATATGGGTGGTATTTGGGGCCTAGGACTGAATGAAGCCAATTAAGGAGTGAATCCAGCTAAAGAAGAGGAGCTCGGAAGGAAGCTGTGAGACCCTTCCCCACAGAGGAGCAGAAAGAGGAAGGGGACCCCACAAGGGCACCTGAGTTGAGAGCATCAAGTGAATAAGACAACACTCAGGAGAATACAGTATCACAGGACCAACTGAAGAAAGTGTGTCAAAGGACTTCTGAATTAAGATGATGGATTAAGCAAGCCCAGCTAATTTTGTTCCCTCCTGAAACCTGACTAGAACTACGCTGAAGACTTCTAAAGACAAAACCTCACAAGGTCAGAGAGGACAGGAGAAGAGATAACAGCAACACAATGTGGAATCCAGAAAGCAACTGAATGAAAGATAATTAACTTAACAATCCTAGAAAGCGAAAATCTAAGCCAGGAGAGGGAAGGTGGAGAACCAACCAATTCATCCAGAAAGAATCCTCAAAAGGCTCGGGAAGTAGCAGCCAAAGTCTCTATGGAACTAGGAGCTAAGGAGTATGGAAAAAACTGTTTAGAAAATAATTAAATCCCTAGATCCCCTCCTCTATCATTTGCCCATAGGGAAACACTCTCCACTACTGGGCAGAAGGCTGGAGCTTTGTTTCTGGAAAGGATAAAGCAGAGGACATTTGGCATACGTGAGATTGTGGATACCGTTCTGAAAATGTGGATACTGTTCTGAAAACAGGGGATTAAAGGACTGTACACATACAAAATGCTGAATGCTGGGATTCCCCACCCCTCTTCCCTCACTAGACTCTGGGAAACCCGGCAGGCAGACTTCACTCTCCAGGCACAATATTCAAAGACTTTTTTGGGAGAAGCTCAGAGGGAAAGCTCTGAAGATTCTGACACTGGGGTTCCACCAGCAAATGGCCCAGCTAGAAAACCATAGTGAAGCTCAGAGCTTCCAGTAGTTCCTTGTTCTTAACTATGAGCATATAACCAGAGACTATATGATGCCCAAGAAAAGCCTCTAATAAGAAAGTAGAAGACCAGAACAAACAGAAAAAAGCAACTTAAAAGAAACAGAAATTATGGAGGATGAAGAGAACATTTTTAAATACCATTAATATCCTCAGAGAGAACAGGAAAGCTGTTGTATCCATGAAATAAGAACAGGATACTACAAGAAAATGGGAGGACCAGTTCAAGAGTCCACATCCCAATAATAGAGGGTACAGAAAAAGAAAATAGGTAAAACAATGAACAGGAAGTCAATAACAAAACAATTCAAAAATTTTTTTCTGAGGCAGAAAAGGCCCAGCAAGTGCCAGGATAATGGATGAAAATCAAGACACACTCATGAGTTTCATAATCAAAAACACTGAGCACAAAGAGAATCTCCTACAAGTTTCTGGAAAAAGAAACAGGACTTCACAAGAGAGCAGAAAATAGAATGGCATCAGGCTTCTTGGCACTAGAAGATAGAAGACACTAAAATAATGACTTCAAAAATTTGAAGGAATATTATCTTCAACCAAAAACCAATAAACAAGCCTATATCCAAACAAAATACCAAACCAGTGTGAGGATAGAATAAAGCATGTGAGGGCAAGGTCTCAACCTCTTATTTGTTCCTGTACCTCTCATCTGCTCTTTCTCAGGAAGCCCCTCATGGATGCAGTCCACCAGAAAGGAGCAGTCCATTATCAAAGAAGATTATGTGGGCTGGAGACCCAATGCAGGAGGGAAGCAGCAGGAGTTTCTGGGAGGATGGCAGAGGGAGATGACGGGATAACTGCACTCCAGGTGGCAAAAGCAACCCATCCTGACAGGACAGTGTGACCCAAGAGCCATGCACAGTAAGGGGTATCATCGCCATGCCCTCTGCCTCATGCAATCTTAAATAAATATGAATATATTCAACAAACTTAACAGCTCTGGAAGAGTCTGGGTGACTGGCTGGACCCTTCAGGCTAAGGCAGATGTTTTGATGTTCTTTGTTCTTCTCTCTTGTCTTTTTGTTGTTGTTGTTGTTGTTGTTTGTTTTTTGTTTTGTTTTTTTGAGACGTTGTCTCCCTCTGTCACCCAGGCTGGAGTGCAGTGGTGCTATCTTGGCTCACTGCAACTTTCTCCTTCTGGGTTCAAGCAATTCTCCTGCCTCAGCCGCCCAAGTAGCTGGGATTACAGGCACACACCACCACACCCAGCTAATTTTTGTATTTTTAGTAGAGATGGGGTTTCGCCACGTTGGCCATGGTTGGCCAGGCTGGGCTCGAACGCCTGACCTCAGGTAATCTGCCTGCCTTGGCCTCCCAAAGTGCTGGGATTACAGGTGTGAGCCACCGTGCTTGGCCAATACTTTTTTTGCAGAAATGGGGGTCTTGCTGTGTTGCCCAGGCTGGTCATGAACTCCTGGGTTCAAGTGATTCTCCTGCCTTGGCCTCCCAAAACACTGGGATTATAGACATGAGCCACTATGCCTGGCCTAAGGAAGATGTTCTTAAAATTGTAGCCCGTGCTAGCAAGGCTAGGGAACTCATTCCACCTTAAGATATTTGTTTCCACATTGGTGGTAAATAGTGGTTGTGGCTGAGCTCTAGGGCAGAGTGGGGAAGGGCTAGAACAGGTATGAAGAAAAGGGGCTCAATTCCTTCTCATTCTTTACTCCCTTTAATAGCTCTTCTAGCTCAAAAGCAAGCTCTCCTTTCAGAGCAATCATACATAAGCTCAACCTTAATCTATGAGAGAAGAAGGGGCTTGAGCTTTTCTCCTGGGCCTGGTTCTTCTCTGCCATGGGATTAGGTGATTGAACTTTAGACGAGCCATATATATCCCCAGCTTTTCTTCCTAGTAAATAGTACTCCAAGGGAGCTGGACAGGATCCAACTTGGGCCTTTTGGACTCCCAGCCAGCTGGGCCTGGTCTGGTGGGCTTTAAAATCCTGAAGATATCAGCTCCCCCGACCTAGAAATGAGAGTCGGGCAAGGTATGAGAAAATCAAGCAAGGATCCTCCCTTTCTTTTCTGTCCCACACCAAGATGGAAGGGGCTCAAGAAGGCACTTCCATAGGTAGTCAGGTGGTCTTCCTTGAGGCCTTCAGTTCAGTTGCCTTGTTGAGAGCTCCAGTTGTTCCTCCAGAGCCCACTGGGCTGTTGCCCAGCTCCCCAGAGGCACTCCTTCTGGGGAGGGCAGAATGGAATCCATCTTTCGCTAGTGGGAAGATGTGGAGAATGGGCACACTGCTGAGCTCTCCACTGGTGTGACCTCATGGCATTCTTCCTGCCTGCTTTGTGAATTTTGTTTCACCCCCCAGGAACATAAAGGGTTCCCAACTGCTTGATTCTAAGGAAGGGTGTGGGCGGGAGAGGGGGGTGTCATTTGAAATCCCTGGAGTCTAGATTTCTGTGTGATTATATCATCTTTTTAACCAGTTAGAGATGGATGTACTTGGTCAAAATAAGCAAGTAAACCCAGAAAGAGGAAGACAAATCCAGGAAGTAATGAATCTGACCACAGAGAAATGCGGCAGGAATTACAAGGATGATGGCAAAGGGAAATCCAAGGGATACAGCTGGACAGCAGGTCTTGAGTACAACAAGCCAGACAGAAGGAAAAGGAGGTTTAAAGGCCAGACATTACCAAGAAAAAAAAATGGAACTGATGGATTACCTGATGTAACTATCCTGTGAAAATGTACATTGAGAGGCTATTAAAATGAGTTGGGGTGGGGCGCAGTGAGTGGCTCATGCCTGTAATCCCAGCACTTTGGGAGGCTGAGGTGGGCAGATTGCTTGAGCCCAAAAGTTTGAGACCAGCCTGGGCAACATGGTGATATCCCATCTCTACAAAAAATACAAAAAATTAGCCAAGCGTGGTGGCAGGCACCTGTAGTCCCAGCTACTTAGAAGGCTGAGGTGGGAGGATTATTTGAGCCTGGGAGGCGGAGGTTGCAGTGAGCTATGATTGGGCCACTGCACTCCAGCCTGGGTGACAGAGTGAGGCCTTGTCTCAAAAAAAAAAAAAAAAAGGTCAGGGGAGGGAATTAGCAACAAGATTAAAGAATGTCAAGCAAATTTTAAAACAAGGCAAGTGTTAATTTGAGGAAAAAGTACAAAAGGAAGCCATAGTATGGTACAATGCTCAGCTATAAGTAATATTTACATAGGCACAATAATGGGAACAGTGAACATTAATGTAACTATTTTGGAGGATTAGAACAGGAAGCAGAGGAGATAGTGATTTCAGGGAGCTAAATTTTCATCTCTCACAATAGAAAGGCTTTGATGTCTAAAAATTGATATTTTGAGATATATTAATCACTCTTTTACATTACATTATACTGCTGGATTTGATTTGCTAATAATTTTGCTAAGGATTTTTTACCTAAATTCTTGAGGAATATTCATCTGTCATTTTCTTTTCTAGAAATGTCTGTCTGGTTTTGGCATCAGCATATAGTGGCCTCATAAAATGATTTGGGAAATGTTCCTTCTCATATTTTCTGAAAGAGTTTGGGTAGGGTTACTATTATTTCTTCCTTATATGTTTGATAGAATTCATACATCAAATATTTTAATAATAGAGCCTAAGGTAGCACAATTATAAGAAAAAATATATATATATAAATCCATATCTTTGGTGAGAAAGTAAATTGGTTCTGTCTGGCAAAATTTACAACTCAAAAGTACCAATTTGAGAACTTCTAAAGGAAAATTACAAAAGAAGAAAAATCTATTTGTAGGAAAATTTTATACCAGAATCATTATCAAACCAAACACTGAAAATGACCTCAGTATTCAACCAGAGAGGAATGGTGAGACATAATAAACTTAATGTAATATTTTACAGTCATTGACAATAGATCTAAAAATTATAATGCAACATATATAGAAAATACATAGAAAAGAATATTAAGCGAAGAATAGAGTTGAGGGGAAAAACAGCCATCTCATCACAGAACACAGAGAATGTGGTGCTTCGTTTGGAAAAGCTTGGCTGCCTTTGCCGTCTTCAGGCTTGCAGACACAGACACTCAATTTTGTCAGCATACCAAGACAGTATCCATTTCAAAGGGGCAAGTGAACATTAAACAAATTAACTAGCCTGTCATATAAAACTAGAGTGCCAACGTATTCACCCATACCCAAATTCTGAGTACTAGCTCATGCTTTCTTTGTAGACAATTTCATAAAGAAAGTCAAGTTATAATCAGAATGATGAGCAAAGAATTTGGATGAGGGAAAGTAGGCAATTTGACTCTTCATTGCTGTTAAACTGAGATTGCTTAACTGCATCCATCTCGACTTTAGGAATAATTTATCATTAGATAAAACATAGAGTCAGTCAAATCTAACAAGCCTAGAAGCCATTCTGTCTAAGGTTGCTTTACATACCTCCGCCCTGATGCATTATGTGTTCGTTTCACAAAATAACTTTCAGAAAGCAATCTCTGTCTCTCCAAGTTTTTAGGGGAGGCTGTATTGTGACCCTAATGTCCTAATAACAAAATCAGACAGACAGAAATGTAAACGACTACCATATGAAAGTGAAGACATCAAACCGATTTTTAAAAATTCTTCAGAAATGTGAAATTCTTCGGAGATGATGAAGAAATAACATGTATCCCTTTCCAGCATTCTCAATTACAGAAGTCATCCTTTCCACTGCTGCTTGTCTAACATTTGTGACACAGATCATCAAACAGTTGGCATTCATTAAGACTTCATTTCTACACAAGGCTATCACAAAGATGGGAAGGGCTGGGGGTCTGGCCAAACTCTTGTAAAAAAAGAATATATTACTAAGAATTTATCCTAAAGAAATATTTACGAAAATGGTTTTTCACTGTAGCATGGTTAGTAATAGAAAATAACTGGAAACAATCTAAATATTTATCAATAGGAGATTGAACTAAGAAATCATGGTATATTCATACAATGGAATTCTATACAGCCATTTTTAAAATATAAAGGTAGATATGTATAGATAGGGAGAAAGCTCCAGAGTACATTTAAAAAAAAATGCAGCCTGGTGTGGTTGGGCACACCTGTAGTCCCAGCTACTCAGGAGGCTGGAACAGGAGGATCGCTTGAGCCCAGGAGTTCAAGTTTAGCCTGAGCAGCATAGCAACAAGACCCTGTTTCTAATATTAACTAATTTATTTAACTAAATAAAAACAAAATAAATGCAGAACAGTATGTAAAGCTATTGATTTTATTTATTTCAATTTTTTCTTTTTTTTTTTTTTGAGATGGAGTTTTGCTCTTGTCACCCAGGCTGGACTGCAGTGGCACTATCTCAGCTTACTGCCACCTCCGCCTCCCGGGTGCAAGTGATTCTCCTGCCTCAGCCTCCCGAGTAGCTGGGATTACAGGCGCCCACCACAATGCCCGGCTAATTTTTGTATTTTTAGTAGAGACGGGGTTTCACCATGTTGGCCAGGCTGGTCTTGAACTCCTGACCTTAAGTGATCCGCCTACCTCGGCCTCCCAAAGTGCTGGGATTGCAGGTGTGAGCAACCACCCCCAGCCCTTCATTTCAATGTCTGTGTTGCTTTAAAAATTTGCAACAAACAACATATCATTTTTAATCTAAAAAAGAGAGAGAACATTTCTGGAATTTCACTGTCAGAAACTGAAAACTTGCAGTAATGTACATTACCCAGGAGATGTTCTTTGAACAAACTATGTTATTCAGAGAAGGAACTGGTGGTAATTAAATCTGTGCAGGAAAGAATCAATGAAGTCTTATGTCTGGCTGAACATATAGGTAGGCAGAAAAATGAGGAGAAAACATCCAAACCAGTTATTTGTAAAACTTTGACACAGGGAGACCAATCATCTATAGAATAATAGATACAAAGTTTTTTAAATTCTGTATAAGACAAGGAATGGTTGTGATTGGGGACAATTATAAAAACATAAACCTAAGCACTGGGAATTATAATTGACATGTATTCATGTTACTGTAACAGGATACATATCTCGTGGTATAAACTTGCTTGTGTTAGTAGCAACATGAAGTTGGATCTTCTCCAAAAGCTTTCCAAGGGAGTACCAGAAGTTACAAGCATGTTAATAAGAAGATGAATTAGTGTCCATTTCAGGTTCAAATGAGAAGTCTTTGAGTCTGATTTGGCAAGAATTATTTTTAATAATTAAACATTAAAACATTACTATAATAATAAACATGAAAAATATAAAAGCACAAATAAAATGAAAAATATCAATAACAATCATAACTCATCACTAGTAATATTCAGATTACTTGTCTTTTTTCCCATCTATATATAAATTCTATGAAAATGAAATAATATGTATTTTTATTATAGTATAATTTTTTTTCATTTGACAACTATTCATGAACTTTTTCCTATGTCAATATATGTTTTATCTGTTAACATAAGCTTTATTCTTAATGGGTCCACTGTATTCTATCATAAAACTTTATTATAATTTACGTAACTAATTATCTATTGTTGGATATTTCAGTTGATTGCAATTTTTTCTTTATAAACAATACTTAAAAATATCCCATAACAATAAATACTTTTGTAATTAAGTTTTTGCACATATATTCAAATATTTTCTTATGGTAAATTGTTCAAAGTAGACTTGCTGGGTTTAAGATAATGCCTCTAAGACTTTTAATTCCACACACTGATTGCCAAATTGCCTTCTGGACAGGTTGCTCCAGCAGAGTACTTCATAATCTCTTTTGACAATATTAGGCTTTAGAAATTTTAAATCAAAGTAACCTTTAAATTGAAAATCCAAACCTTGTTATGATTATTCTTCTTTAAAATCATTTTGTAACTATCAATTTATTGGTTTGCTAATTCAGTCATTCTACAAGTACTGAGTATGTACCAAGTGCCAAATATGCAGCTAGAAGACACTGAGAATCCACAGGTGAGGAAGGCCCAGCTCTTGCCCTTGAGGATTGTGCATTTTACTGGGCAAATGGGATATGTAAATAAACAATCCCAGAAGATGTTATAGAGGCCAGGGTGCTGGCAGGCATCATAAAGGAGTCATATGTGAGATGTAGGAAGGACAGCAGGAGTCTTCCAGGTACAATAGAGAAAGTAAGGAAACCCACGTTTGCTGAGCAAACAGCATGTCCTGAACCTAGAATGCAAGGAATTTGGTAGGATGGGTCATGTATTATGGGCAAACTGGTGGGGAGTGGGGTGGTAGAGTGAGTAAGATCTTGTATCTCATGCTGGGGGGATTTCCCCATACCAGTAAGCTTTGGGGAGCTATTAAAGGATTCTATGTAGAGGGTGGCATGCTCAACTTTGTATTTTAAGAAATCTGTACTTAGAAATATAAGAAGTGATCACAGGACATTCTGAGGGTAAGTATACTAACCTAAGGGGACCCCACCTGGCACCAAGCAGGCTGGTAACCCAACCTGGCAACACCAGCATCAGTAGCTTATGCTTTGTTGATATTGTCTAATAGATCAAATATGAAACTGAAAGATAACCGAAGTCTTCTGACCCCTAAGGTACTTGATTATCAATTCATAGCATTATACAGCTAGAAGTCCCCTGAAACTTTACCTAGTCCTAAACTCTCATTTTTACAGGTGAAGACACCTGTAAGCAATTTGCCCAAGGTCACACAGATAATGCTAACTCACCTTTACTGTGAATGTGCTTACAAAATTTTATTTTATAGTATGATGTCTCTAAATTAAAAAGTTTTCATACGATGATAGACTGGAAAAAGAAAATGTGGTATATACACACCATGGAATACTATGCAGCCATAAAAATGAATGAGATCATGTCCTTTGCAGGGACAGGATGGAGCTGGAAGCTGTTATCCTCAGCAATCTAACGCAGGAACAGAAAACCAAACACCACATGTTCTCACTTATAAGTGGGAGCTGAACAATGAGAACACATGGACACAGGAAGGGGAACAACACATACTGAGGCCTGTCGGGGGCTGATTTCCTTAAGTAAATCTTATATTTGATTTCCTTAAGATTTCCTTAATAAATCTTATATTTGGCAAATCATAGCATTTTACCATTTGGAAATGAGGTTGCTTGTAATTAATCACACATTTATCTACAGGTCTTTCTGTTTTCTGCAACTCCCATATTAAAGCATTTTCTGTTTCCTGGAACATATATAACATATTTTGGCCAGTGGAGTTTTTAAAAATCTGCTTTCAAACTGTAATCACCCTTTTTATTCTGTTCAAACTATATGCCAAAAAAAGAGCTGACTTTCATTGCTTTTGACTCCCACAAATCAGTGTTCCCAAGCCACTCAACATGATTAATCAAATTCCCTGTAACATCCCTCTGGTACCACATAGCCATGAGTAACTTATATTAACAAGTTTAATTGAAGTGTCACTTGCAAGCTGTCAAAAGATCAAATATCAACATACGAAATGTTTTCTCCTTTGAAAACATAATTTCTCTGTATCGATGACTTTCTGAAGGGAGGTGTCTGTCCTCTTGGCTCTCTCTGGCTATGTAAATTAACATTCTGAAATATGAAAAGTCTGTGCTGTGGTCACTAACAAACCACAAGCCGCTTCCATTCCATTTGCCTGGAGGTCACGGCAGATCATATATAACCATCACCACGTGGCAGAGCAAGCCCCTGGCAAAGACTTGAAAGAGTTGTTGGAGGAGCCTCAGCCTCCAGCCACTGAAGTGTGAATGGGAGCCATTCACAGTCCATGGGATGGGACACCATTCTGTGGCTCTAATCTATAATCCACTCTTCATATTGTCCCCAGCCAAAGTTGGGCTCCCGAGAACACAGCCAAAAAAGGAAAGGATGGGATATTTTTCATCCCTGGTCAACTTATCTAAAGTCTCCTCCCCTTTCAACTCCAAGGCCACCTTCACCATGAAGCTCTCTTTGAATAATATCTCCCAGGACCTGCTAATCATTCCGTCCTCTTTCTCTAGCAACAGTAATAGGCCCCAGGGATAGTTGCGTCACCTGAGCTGAGCCAATCGGAGTTCCACTAGACTTAATGTGCAGATGCTACCTTCTTCTAGAATTCCTTTCTTCTAGAACAGCTATATAGATTGATATAAGCCTGTGGCCATGCTTTCTATTTTGTACTTTTCCCTTCCAAACTTCCAGCCCATGCCACCCACATGCCCTCCCAAATCCACCATATAAGGGAAGCTTATTTGCAAGGCACAATGAAGAAGAATTAGGGCTGGGAGAGAGTGAGAAAGAACAGCCACTACCTACGTTGCCCTGCCTGAAAACACCCAGCTGAGGAGTGGGTGGGAGCTGGAATCCAGTCCTCTCACCCTGCAAGAGGCTGCCCTCAACTTCAGGAAGGGACCCCCTCCTCCTTTTTTCTTTTTCTTGGACAAGGCCTCTGTGTGCTCACCAAGTCTTCTTCCAGTGCACACAAAGATGTTGCATATGCTAGAGAGAGCTGTGTGGTAAGATCAGCGGAGCCCCCGGAGTCACTCCCACCCTTCTCAGTTACAGCCACAACACAATTGTTTTTCACCTATGCTTGCTTCAGTTGGGTTTTTGTCACTTGAAACCAAAGAAATCCTGAGTAATACAGCAGAGTAGACACCCGGATTGCTTCCAGTGAAATACCATGTTTGTTTTAGTCTCAAACTTCCTAGTAGCCATTGCCTTTGGAATCTTCCTTTCAATCTCCAAGCCCTTCTACCTCCCTGGTCAGGCATAGACTAACTAATATCCTTCCTTTTCTTAGAGACTGAGATCACTTCTATGCAGAGATAAAGTACCAAAGAAATCAAGTTCAATCTAATGATGCTTCTGCTGGTTTCTTCATTAAAGTGACTATTTTTTTTATCCTTTTGTAACATTTTTTGTAATCTTTCTGCTGTCCACCTTGGCAGCAGAGTATGTTGTACAAACACTGGCTGTTTTTAACTAGTCTTTTTTTTTTTTTTTTTTTTTGAGACAGAGTCTCACCCTGTTGCCCAGGCTGGAGTGCAATGGTGCAATCTTGGCTCACTGCAACCTCCGCCTCCCAAGTTCAAGCGATTCTCCTGCCTCAGCCTCCCGACTGGCTGAGATTACAGGCACCCGCCACCACGCCCAGCTAATTTTTGTATTTTTAGTAGAGATGGGGTTTCACTATGTTGGCCAGGCTGGTCTTGAAGTCCTGACCTCAGATGATCCACCCGTCTAGGCCTCCCAAAGTGCTGGGATTACTGGCATGAGCCACTGCACCCGGCCTTACCTAGTCTTAAAAAGAGTCATTGCCACTTTTCGCTCACAAATCCCAGTGTGTCTTTGTTTTGCTTGTAAGGGATGGATCACTCACCCTCTTTGGTATCTGTCCAACTCATGGAGAACTGTGTGGTCACAATATTCAAACACCAGGTGAAGCCTCCGTTTCCTCCTGAAGACTTCCAGGAGGTTAACAAGGTTGGGATGCTTGAGTTGCTGAAAACACAAAAAAACAAGTTACTAAATTTGACTTGTGAAAGACAGCTTTCTCTAATCTTGATCCAATAAAAAGTAAGTTGTTTGTCCTTTAAGAATTTCATTCTTAGATTGAAGGAGGCTGTAAACAGTATCATCTTACCCCTCTTAACAAGCTATTTGTCAGTAGCTTGTAAGTCAAAGATGATTATAACACAGGTGGTTGGTGAGGGCAAAGAGAGGTATAAGAAGGCCAGAAAATAAAAAAGAATGAAGAGAGAGGGGAGATGGTAATACAAACTCAGCTTTCAAGATTCAGATCAAATGTCCCTTCCTAGGGTCTCCATTAATCTCCTCACACTGGTTCAGTGCCTTGTATGTCTAAAAGGCCCCCTGAAGTATGACTCTTTCAGAATTACTGAGTAATTAATAAATAATATGTAATTCTTACTTAGTAATTATTGTTCAGTTAATTGTTTGAAGTCTTCTGGTATCAATAGCTACAATAGATAAATTCAATAGAATATACGAACGACGGCATCAGGGTCTGTGTTCTTTTGTTTATCAAAATTGTGTTGTTGTACTTCTAGCACCAGGCCGTGTACATAACAGGCATTCCATCGTTATTTACTCTCCAATCTGATATGCCTGAAAATGTGTGTCTAGATTAAAAAAAAAAAAAAAAAAAGCCCAGGACTGAATGTTAGCTTTGGCAGAGATAAATCTTGTACCTAGCTTCCTGGCCCTTTCTGGACATAATGCTATCAGAAGCACTACAGCTAGGCACTGGTCTCTTTTTTTCTGCAGAAGAAAATAAGAGACTTACACTAAGAAAGACAAAAAAAAGTCACAGGAAAACATATCAATCATGGAGTCCCTTCTGCAGTGCCCATTCACTATCAGATCACAATTACAGTCCCTTTTACCTACTGTTGTACGATTTAACACTTGGCAGATCGCTCCTCTTTTTCCAAATATTCTTTGATAGTGCCACCAGATAATTTTCCATAAGAATTTTACAATCAAATGTTGTTTTATCGCATTAACTTTCCGCCCTGATTTTTAGAACTGTGGTGAAATACATACAACACAAAATATATCATCTTAATCATTTTAAGTGTACAGCTCAGTGCTATTAAGTGAAATCATATTGTGCAACCATCACCACCACCTATCACCAGAACTCTTTTCACTTGCAAAACTGAAAGTCTATGCCCATTAACTCCCCAATCCTTCCTCCCCCCAGTCCCTGCCAAATACCATTCCACTTTTTATTTATTTATTTTATTTATTTTTTGAGACGGAGTCTCACTCTATTGCCCAGGCTGGAGTGCAGTGGTGAGATCTCAGCTCACTGCAACCTCCACCTCCCAGATTCAAGTGATTCTCTTGCCTCAGCTTCCTGAATAGCTGAGACTACAGGTGCACACCACCATGCCCAGCTAATTTTTGTACTTTGAGTAGAGACAGGGTTTCGCCATGTTGGTCAGGCTGGTCTCGAACTCCTGACCTCAGGTGATCCACCTGCCTCTCCTCCCAAAGTGCTGGAATTATAGGCTTGAGCCATGAACCCGGCCATGAGCCACCGCGCCCAGCCTCCACTTTCAGATTTTTGACTAGGTACCTCCTACAGGTGGAATGATAGACGTGTGTGTGTTTGTGTGTGTGTGTGTGTGTGTGTGTGTGTGTGTGTGTGTGATTGGCTTAGTTCACTTAACGTTATGTCCTCAAGGCTCACCCAAGTGGTAGCAAGGTTGAGCATGAATAATATCGCATTGTATGAATATACCACATTTTGTTTATCCATTCATCTTTTGATCTATGGACATGGCTTGCTTCCACCTTTTAGCTATCGTGAATAATGCTGCTGTGAGCATGAATGTACAAATATGTTTTTGAGACTCTACTTTCAATTCTTTTGGTTGTAGGAATGAGCCAGGCATATGTTTTGTTTTGTTTCACCTACATTCCCCAGGTGATTCACTGTGTATCCAGAGGTATTAATCATAGACAAGCAGGCTACTCCATCAGTGATAAAAGGTAAAAGGAGGAAAATTGAAGTTCTTGAACTGCATGCTACAGCACATTTGTATGGGCAGTGACAAAATAAAAGCAGCCCACAAGGAGATACTAAAGAAGAAAGTTCTTTTTTCTTTCCTCATTTTCTCTGTAAAATCCCTCTGTATTTTCAAGATGTGAAATTCCTGCTCCAGATATTATACTTGATGAACAAGTATAAAAAATTCAAGATATTTCTAAAGCTCATGTCTTATTAGTCCATTTGTGCTGCTATAACAAAATACCTGAGACTGGGTAATTTATAAAGAACAGAACTTTTTTTCTTACAGTTCCGCATGCTGGGAAATCCAAGATCAAGGTGCTGGCACTGGTGTCTGCGGAGGCATGCTCTCTGCTTCCAAAATGGCACCTTGTTGCTGTGTCCTCACATGGCAAAAGGCAGAAGGGCAAGAGAGCACCCCCCTCAACCTTGAGCTCTTTATACGGGTGCTAATCCCATTCATGAGGGCTCTGCCTCCCAGCGGCCACACCTCTTAATACAGTTGCACTGGGGGTGAAGTTTCAACATGAATTTTGGAGGACGCACCACCATCATTGAAACAGAGCAGCCCATTAATCACCTTTGTGAGAGGTGACAGCATGCTGGCAGCCCTGGCAGTCCTCGCTCGCTCTCGGCGCCTTCTCTATCTGGGCTCCCACTTTGGCGGCACTTGAGGAGCCCTTCAGCCCGCCGCTGCACTGTGGGAGCCCCTTTCTGGGCAGGCCAAGGCCGGAGCCGGCTCCCTCAGCTTGCAGGGAGGTGTGGAGGGAGAGGCGCAGGCGGGAACCGGCGAGTTCCGGGTGGGCATGGGCTTGGGGGGCCCGGCACTCTAGCGGCCCCCTGGCCCACAAGCCCCGGGCAGTGAGGGGCTTAGCACCTGGGCCAGCAGCTGCTGTGCTCGACTTCTGGCCGGGCCTTAGGTGCCTCCCTGCAGGGCAGGGCTCAGGACCTGCAGCCTGCCATGCCTGAGCCTCCCCTCCCCACCCCCCCACCCCCACCGTGGGCTCCTGCGCGGCCGAGCCTCCACGATCAGAACCGCCCCCTGCTCCGCAGCACCCGGTCCCATCGACCACCCAAGGACTGAGGAGTGCGGGCGCACGGCATGGGACTGGCAGGCAGCTCCACCTGTGGCCTGGTGTGGGATCCACTGGGTGAGGCCAGCTGGGCTCCTGAGTCTGGTGGGGACTTGGAGAACCTTTATGTCTAGCTAAGGGATTGTAAATACACCAATCGGCACTCTGTATCTTGTTCAAGGTTTGTAAACACACCAATCAGCACCCTGGGTCTAGCTCAGGGTTTGTGAATGCACCAACTGGCACTCTGTAACTAGTTACTCTGGTGGGGACTTGGAGAACCTTTATGTGTAGCTAAGGGATTGTAAATACACCAATCAGCACCCTGTGTCTAGCTCAGGGTTTGTGAATGCACCAATCGACACTCTGTATCTAGCTACTCTGGTTAGGACTTAGAGAACATTTGTGTCCACACTCTGTATCTGGCTAATCTAGTGGGGACGTGGAGAACTTTTGTGTCTAGCTCAGGGATTGTAAATGCACCAATCAGCACCCTGTCAAAACGGACCAATCACCTCTCTGTAAAACAGACCAATTGGCTCTCTGTAAAATGGACCAATCAGCAGGATGTGGGTAGGGCCAGATAAGAGAATAAAAGCAGGCTGCCCGACCCAGCAGTGGCAACCTACCCTGGGCACCATTCACACTGTGGAAGCTTTGTTCTTTCACTCTTTGCAATAAATCTTGCTGCTGCTCACGCTTTGGGTCCGCACTGCTGTAACACTTATGGCAAAGGGCTGCAGCTTCACTCTTGAAGCCAGGGAGACCACGAACCCACTGGGAGGAAAGAACAACTCCAAACACACTGCCTTAAGAGCTGTAACACTCACTGCGAAGGTCTGCAGCTTCACTCTTGAGCCAGGGAGACCACAAACCCACCAGAAGGAAGAAACTCAACACATCCGAACATCAGAAGGAACAAACTCCGGACACGCCGCCTTTAAGAAGTGTAACACTCACCGCGAGAGTCTGTGGCTTCATTCTTGAAGTCAGTGAGACCAAGAACCCACCAATTCCAGACACGTTTGGATCTTAGAACTGAGGGCACTCCAAGCTATAAAATGCCACATTTGTTATCATACCTGAAAACCCTTAGCCTGAACTAACATTCTCCAAACATAGTAGGATAGAACTGACTACTGTCTTAAACCTCTGAATTGGATTGACTAAGATGTCTCAACCAGAGAGTAAACAACCAGGTTAAAAGGGGCTAAATACTAACTTTATGATAGAATTCGCAGAAAGCAGAAGTTTTCTTTCAGACTGAAAAATAATCATCCTTAGGCTTTACTTTCATTTTCACACTATTTGCTCCCTTGACAGGATGTGACATTGAGGCCAAGACTTTGAATCTTAGAATTCTCTTTCCATTTTCCACATTCCATATTTAGTCCTCATGTCTCCAGCTGGCTCTTCTAACAAAAGTAGAAATGCATCAATTCTACCCAAACAAATCCCCCGACCTTCTCTGGATGCCAAGCCTGGTGCCTCCCACTTGCCACGTCCAAACGTGCAGTGATCACAGCAGGACACTGCTGCCCCAGGACAAGGCCCAAAGGTCCTCTCCATTTGGCCTCTGCTTACCTCTCCAGCCCCAACACTTATAACTTCCTTCTGGACCCACTGAATTTCTCTCACTTCCTAGAAGGCTCACACTCCCTTTCATTTCAGGATGTGTTCAGTTTCCTGTCTCTAAAGCATGCCCCACCTCCAGATGTTACTTTCTCTATTCAGCTTCCTCTGCTCCACCCTGACACAGCTGGTATGTACCGCAAGAGCTATGATCTGGGCACCCAAGCAAGGAGTAGCACTGTGCCAGTAAAGGACACTGTCACAGCCATATCCATTTGTCTGAATGGGACCAGTAACTGTTATATTGCACCCACCTTGCTACGTTACTATACATCTTTTGAAAACCAAAGTTCTTAGCTGGGCGTGGTGACTCATGCCTGTAATCCCAGCACTTTGGGAGGCCAAGGCAGGCGGATGCCTGAGTTTAGGAGTTCAAGACCAGCCTGGGCAACATTGTGAAACTCTGTCTCTACTAAAACTACAAAAATTAGCTGGGCGTGGCGGCACGCACCTGTAATCCCAGCTACTCGGGAGACTGAGGCATGAGAATCACTTGAACCCAGGAGGCAGAGGTTGCAGTGAGCCCAGATTGTGCCACTGCACTCCAGCCAGGGCAACAGAGCAAAACTCTGTCTCTAAATAAATAAATAAATTTATTTTAAAAAAGGAAACAAAACTGAGGTTCTGATAACTGCATGTATTAAATATTCAAATAACATGTAGGTTCTTTCCAATTTTTTGCTATTATAAATAAGATTTTGATAAGCAACTTATTAGCTGGTTGCCTCACTTGGACCAAATTAGGTAAGTTCTGTAGGCCTCAGTTTTCCATCTGTAAGAGTAAGAAGCGCAAGGGCTGTACTGCCAATTACACACAGGCACATACAACAGGGTCAGGTAAATATTAACCTCTCTGTAAAGGTTAATTATTGATATTGTTACCTTTGGGTTAAATCTATTTTTATTTAGAATGATTTTTCTCTATTCATTTTATTCAACAATTATTTATATATCTTAAGGTGCATATGGCACTGTGTTAGCCCTAAGGATATAGAGACAAATAAAGCAAGTACTGCCCCTACCGGCCTGGAGCTTAGAACCTAGGAAAGGAGACAGATGTTGGAGAAGTAATTATAGCTATGATAAATGTTATAAAAATGAGGTAAAGTGTACCTGGTTTGAGGGTGAGGTGTGGTTCAGGGAAAATCTCTTTGAGGAAGTGGCCATTAAGTTAATGATTCATTAACTGAGAATGACCTGAAGTTAACTGGGCACCATCTAGAGCCCCAGAAATGTGGCTCTAACTAGATAGAGTCAAATTGCTTTCCAAAAGGATTGTGAATATTTACCCCTTGGCCAGGAGTATGACAGTATTTTTACCATATTATGGCCAGCTTTAAGGAGCCTATAGACAATTTAAGGCTTGTGATATATATTGCCAAATTGCTTCCTTTGAGGGCTTACAGTGCCTCTGGCAACACAGGAAGGTGTAACTTGTCTCTCCCATCTTCCTCCATGAGATGATCTTCAAATAATTGCAAATAGCTGATAACTTATCTCTCAACCTGTTTTTAGAATAATTTTAATATAGAAAGATGATCATTAATACTAAATCCTAATGAGGGGTTATAAATATTAAATTATCAATATTTTAAAATAAATTATTAACTTTCACTGGGTTGCCAGGATTCCAGGTGACCCGAAAATACTCCAGAGCAGCAGATATGTGGTCTGGCATAGCACCCTTATGAAGCCAGTCCCCGTCTAGCTGTGTTCATATATTCAACAAATATCCCTAGAGCCCTGTGATAGTTAATACTGAGTGCCAACTTGATTGGATTGAAGGATGCAAAGTACTGTTTCTGGCTGTGTCTGTGAGGGTGTTGCCAAAGGAGATTAACATTTGAGTCAGAGGACTAGGAGAGACAGACCCACCCTCAATCTGGACGGGCACCATCTAATCAGCTGCCAGCACAGCTAGAATAATGCAGGCACTTGATTTGCTGAGTCTTCCGGCCTTCATCTTTCTCCCGTGCTGGATGCTTCCTGCCCTCGAACATTAGACTCCAAGTTCTTCAGCTTTTGGACTCTTGGACTTACACAGTGGTTTGCCACGGGCTCTCCGGCCTTCAGCCACAGACAGAAGGCTACACTGATGGCTTCCCTACTTTTGAGGTTTTGGGACTCAGCTTGCAGACGGCCTGTTGTGGGACTTCATCTTGTGATCATGTGAGCCAATTCTCCTAATAAGCTCCCCTTCATATATACATCTATCCTATTGGTTCTGTCCCTCTAGAGAACCCTGACTAATATAAGCACCTACTCTGCATCAGGTATTGGTGAAAGAGACAGAGGACTCAGGCATTAAACAAAGAAGTGCCAAAAATAATCTATGAAATTAGGCTGTCTCAGAGAAACTGGCCCTGAGGAAGTGACCTTGAGCCGAGTCTAGAGGGTAAAGGTCTGACCAAACCAAGGGCAGGGGTGGTGGTAAAGGCAAAGATGGCAGCTTTCCAGGCAGTGACTGGCCCTGAGTCAGGAGAGAACTTGGGTCACTTCAGCAACTGAAAGACAGTGTGGCTGGTGGGTGAAGCTCGTGGAATCAAGGCCAGCCAGTCAGAAGGCAGATCCTACAGGGCCTTGCAGGCCACGCTAAGCAATTCACTCTATCCTAGTGCAATGGGAAGCCACTGGAAGGATTTCAGCAAGACGTGATATGATACCATGGGGCTCTTAAAAGCTCACTACAGCAACAGGATATAGAATGGCTTGGAGGACGCAAAATGGATGAAGTGGCTGTTGATAGCTGACATTGTGGTGACTTGGAGCAGAGCAGAGGCAGGGTAGTCGGTGAGAAGCATTGTCTTGAGATGTATTTTGTTATCAGAATAGTCCGGATGTGGTGATCGGCTGGAGGTGAGGGACAGGGGAGAAGGAAGTGTCAAAAATGACACAAAGGTTTACACACTGGAACTGTCAAAAATGACACAAAGGTTTACACACTGGGGCAGATGGTGATGCCATCACAGAGAGGGGGAGTAAGACTGGGAGAAAGAAGTCACTAGCTTTGTCTCATTGAATTGGTGGGGATCTGAGACACCAAAGTGGAGTTGTTATGTCAGCCAGAGTCTGAGCTGAAGATAAAAGCCAGGGAGTCCGCATGTGTGTAAGCGAAGCCATAGACAGAGAGAGGAGATTGCCCCGAAGGAGCGAGAGTGAGATGAGAAAGCTGTCTAAAGAACCCTCCCACCCAGATGTGTGGTTGATGAGGAGGAAACACGAAAGGGGAAAGGGAAGAAAGCCCCTTAAGATGAGAGAGAAGACAGCAGAGCAGGCGCCATGGGGGCATCATGGGAGGAGGAAGTGGTCAGTGTTGACAGATGCTGCTGAAAGGTCAGATGGAAACAGAGGGCTGAGAGATGCCTGGTGGGCTTCCCTGGGTTGGGGTCGAGTGACCTTATTGGAAACGGTATCGGTGCAGTGGTGAGACCAGAAGCCAGATTATGTGGACTTAACATCTCAAACTACCTTACTCCTCTCTCTCTATTGACTCCACTGACCTCAGGGGTAGAACTCAAAGGGACACCTCTGATCCTCAAACCAGTCTGCAGCGAATAGCTGGAGGTGTCCATCATAGCCCCAACATTGTGAATGTTTGCATTCACAAGGGTTTGGATGTTTCTGCTTCAATGCTGAATGGAGTTCTTTCGGGACGTACAAACGAATTAGATGAGAAGAACTAAGCAACATGATGGACAAACTGTTACAGGCTTACCCAACATGTTCACGGTACATACAAGTAAACTTAATAGACAGAACAGGTTAAATTACCATATATACCACAAAGATGTTTGGGGCTCATTTAATGACAATTCCTTCCTATATACAAGTCTGTGAAGCCAAAGCCTCAGGTCTGGGGCGTCTGTGCTGGGCTAATCTTGAAGCTCTTGGTGCTCCTTACCAGGCCAGTATCACCGTCCTTCAGTTAATGCTCTATCTAGAAGCACGGGCCTGCTCGGACTCAGATTTACTTTCTCTTGTACAAAAGTTTCCACTTTTGCTGCTGCTATTTTATTTTAGTCTTCCTTTTATTTTCTCTTTGTGTTTTTTAAAATTTTCATTTTCAAATTATTATTACTTTTTTGAAACAGGGTCTCACTCTGTCACCCAGGTGGGAATGCAGTGGTGCAATCACAGCTCACAGCAGCCACGAACTCCCAGGCACAAGTGATCCTCCTGCCTCAGCCTCTCAAGTAGCTGGGACTACAAATGTGTACAACCATGCCCAGCTAATTTTTAAAATTTTGTGTAGTGACAGGGTTTCGCTACGTTGCCCTGTCCGATCTTGAAATCCTGGGCTCAAGCCAACCGCCCACCTCGTCCTCCCAAAATGCTGGGATTACAGGCGTGAGACACTGTGCCTAGTCTATTTTTTATTTTTTGAGACAGGGTCTTTCTCTGTTACCCAGGCTGGAGTGCAGTGGCATGATCATGGCTCACTGCAGCCTCAAACTCCAGGCTCAAGTGATCCTCTTCCCTCAGCCTCCTCAGTAGCTGGGACTACAGGTGCACACCATCATAACAAGCTAGTTTTTTTATTTTTAAAATTTTTTTAGAGACAGTGTCTCACTATGTTGCCCAGGCTGATCTCAGACTCCTGGGCTCAAGCGATCCTCTCACCCTAGCCTCCCAAATTGCTGGGATTATGGGCGTGAGCCACTGTACCCAGCCTTCTCTCTGTGTTTCAAATACTGATGTTCCATATTATGTTGCCAAGTCAAGTATTTTCTGTGACATTAAAAAAAGGACTTCATTTTTCTGAGGTTGAATTTAGCCAGAGCCCTACCTGGTTTCCCTGCAGAGCTGAGAATGCTACGTATCCTACGTGGGCAGCTGCCTCTCTGTGTCGTCAGCCCTCTGTCTTCATTGGGCACCCATCTGTTCTGATAAGCTCAGACCCTCCATCTACTAAGGTCAATTGCTTGGCCTGTTTAGCCCATGAGATTTTGAAGAATTTTGTGCTAGTTGCCAACCTTTTTTTTTTTTTTTTTTTAGATGGAGTCTCGCTCTGTCACCCAGGCTGGAGTGCAGTGGCACAATCTCGGCTCACCACAACCTCCACCTCCAGGGCTCAAGCGATTCTCATGCCTCAGCCTCCCAAGCAGCTGGGAATACAGGTGTGCACCACCATGCCTGGCTAATTTTTGTATTTTTAGTAGAGACAGGGTTTCACCATGTTGGCCAGGCTGATCTCAAACTCTTGACCTCAAGTTATCTGCCCACCTCGGCCTCCCAAAGTGCTGAGATTATAGGTGTGAGCCACCACGCCCGGCCGCTACCCTTAACCAGGAAATGTTACTTTAAAATCCTGGTTACCAAGAGTCTCTTGCAAATGCTGGGGATCAGCAGGTCTAGGCCTGTAGACTCTGTGGCACTTATGAGCTAGGGCTGAGAGCAGCTGTTCACTTTAGACAAGGCTTGTATGCTTTAGGTCACCGCAGTCACCCACTCCCTATTGCTCCCTGATCATGATGCCAAGTGAGAGTTGCTCTTTATCATCACTCTTGCATTATTGACTTTCTTATACTAGAGTTAAAAGTGAAATATTTAATATGTCCATGTTTCTATCAAAAGTAGAAAAACGTACAAGCAATAGAGGTATATTTAATTTTTTGTTGTTCTTTTAAAGCTTTATTGTAAATTGTAAACTTATTGTAAATATACAATTTATAATTATATATATACATATATTATATATAATATATATACACACATGCACACACACACACACACACACACACACATATATATATAGTTGCTCTATTGCCCAGGCTGGAGTGCAGTGGCACGATCTCAGCTCACTGCAATCTCAGCCTCCTGGGTTCAAGCAATTCTCCTGCCTCAGCCTCCTGAGTAGCTGGGATTACAGGCACCAGCCACCACCCCCAACTAATTTCTGTATTTTTAGTAGAGACAGGGTTTCACCATGTTGGCCAGGCTAGTCTCAAACTCCTGACCTCAAGTGATCCGCCCACCCCAGCCTCCCAAAGTGCTGGGATTACAGGCGTGAGCCACCATGCCTGGCTAATTATATATGTTTATGGGGTTCAAATTAATGTTAGGATTTATGACTATAATATGGAATAATTAAACCTAGCTAATTAACATATATCCATCACTTCAAATACTTACCTTTTTTTTTGTGGTAAGAACATTTGAAATCTACTCTTTTAGCAATTTTTTTTTTTTTCTTTGAGACAGAGTCTTGCTCTGTCACCCAGGCTGGAGTGCAGTGGCACGATCTTGGCTCACTCCAACCTCTGCCTCCTGGGTTCAAGTGATTTTCCTGCCTCAGCCTCCCAAGTAGCTGGGATTACAGGTGCCTGCCACCATGCCTGGCTAGTTTTTGTATTTTTAGTAAAGACAAAATTTCACTATGTTGGCCAGGTTGGCCTCAAGCTCCTGACCTCAGGTGAGCCACCTGCCTCAGCTTCCCACAGTGCTAGGATTACAGGCGTGAGCCCCTGCACTCAGCCTCTCTCAGCAATTTTGAAGTGTACAATACATAATTAACAACTGTATTCACCATGCTGTGCAACAGATCTTGGAAATGAAACTTATTCCTCTTGTCTAAGATTTTGTACCCTTCAACCATCATCTCTCCATTCTCCTCATCCCCTAGCCTCTGTAACCACCATTCTACTCTCTGCTTCTAAGAATGTATTAGGCTGTTCTCACATTGCTATAAATACCTGAGACTGGGTAATTTATAGAGAAAAGAGGTTTAATTAGCTCATGGTTCTGCCGGCTTTACAGGAAACACGGGGCTGGCATCTGCTTAGCTTCTAGGGAGGCCTCAGGAAGCTTACAATCATGGCAAAAGGTGAAGGAGGGGCAGGCATGTCACATGGCAAAACCAAGAACAAGGGAGAGAGAGGGAATTGGCAGTGGGGCATACCTGTTTAAATGACCAGATCTCACGAGAACTCACTATCACGAAGACAACACCAAGTAATGAGGGATCTGCCCCCATGATCTAAACACCTTCCACCAGACCCCATCTCCAGCACTGGGGATTATAATTCAACATGAGATTTGGGTGGAGACAAATATCCAAACTATATCAATGAATTCACTTGTTTCAGATTCCACATATAAGTGAGAACATGTGCATTTTTCTTTCTGTGCCTGGCTTACTCAGCAGCATAATGTTCCCCAATTTCATCCATGTTGTCACAAATGTCAGAATTTTCTCCTTTTTTAAGGCTGAATAGTACTGTATTGTGTATATATACTACATTTTCTTTATATATTCATCCACTGATGGCCACTTAGGTTAATTTTATGACTTTGGCTATTGTGAACAGTATTGCAATGAACATAGGAGGGCAGACATTTCAAATTTCACTTTTGGGTAAATACTCAGAAGTGGGATTGCTGGATCATATGGTAATTCTATTTTTAGTTTTGTGAGGAATCTCCATATATTTTTCCATAATTTACATTCCCATCAACAACTTTAAGGGTTTCTTTTTCTCCACATCCTCGCCAACATTTATCTTACATCTTTTTTATCACAGCCATCCTGACAGGTGTGTGATGATATATCATTGTGGTTTAAATTTGCATTTTCCTAATGATTAGAAATGTTGAGCATTTTTCCATATATCTGTTGGCCATTTGTATGTCCTCTTTTGAGAGATGTCCATTCAGATCCCAGGCTTATTTTTTCCCCCTTTTTTAGAGACAGTGATGGCACCAGTGGCCCATCTGGAGCAGCTGCTGCCATGATGCTGGCTGCAGTGGGGGAGGCGCAGCCATGGCTGTGTGCTCCCTGGAGCTGGCAGGAGCTGGGAACAGATGGGAGCCTCAGGTTGGAGGGGCAGGAGCCCCACCCTCCCAGGCAGCTGCAGACACCCAGTCATGGCTGCAGACCCGGGCATGTCTGCACACTTGGGACCTGGGAGGCCCCCCAACCCCTGCAGGCTCAGAAGTGCCATGCCTGCTCCTACTGCCTGACCTCTCCCCACTCCTGGTGCCCACTCCGATTTCAGAGCAAAGTTATGGCCAAGCCCAGGGACTGTCATGACCCAGCCAGGTGTGCGCATGCTCAGGGACATGCTGACACGCCAGCCCCCTGCTGCCTCGGACCCCTCTGGACTTTGGACACCACTGAGCATAGGAGGGAGGCCAAGGGAGGCCAAGGGAGGCCAAGGAAGGGGAACATCTAGTTTTTGAGCTGTTTGAGTGTATTATATGTTTTGGGTATTTTTGTTTTGTTTTGTTTTGTTTTGTTTTTGAGACGGAGTCTCACTCTGTTGCTCAGGCTGGAGTGCAGTGGAGAGATCTCGGCTCACTGCAACCCTTGCCTCCTGGCTGGGTTCAAACAATTCTTGTGCCTCAGCCTCCTGAATATTTGGGATTACAGGCGTGCACCACCACACCTGGCTAATTTCTGTATTTTTAGTAGAGACAGAGTTTTGCCATGTTGGCCAGACTGGTCTCAAACTCCTGACCTCAGGTGATCTGCCTGCCTCAGCCTCCCAAAGCACTGGGATTACAGGCGTGAGCCACCACACCCGGCCCGAGTTCATTATATATTTTGGATACATATAACCCCTTATCAGGAGTAGGGCTTGCAAATAGTTTCTCCTAATCCATAGGTTGTTTCTTTACAGTGTTGTTTTCTTTACTGTGCAGAAACTTTTTAGTTTCATGTAATCCAAATTGTCCATTTTTGCTTTTGTTGCCTATGCTTTTGGAGTCAAATTTAAAAAAATCACTGCCCAGACCAATGCTGTGTAATTTTCCCCCTATGTTTTCTTCTAGAAGTTTTACAGTTTAAGTCTTTAATCTATTGGGTTGATTTTTGTATATTGTGTGAGATAAGGGTCCAGTTTCATTGTTCTGCATGTGGACATCCAGTTTTCCCAACATCTTTTATTGAAAAGACTATGCTTTTCCCACTGTGTATTCTTGATGCTTCTATCAAAGATCAATTGACCATTCAGGTGTGGGTTCATTTCTGGGCTCTCCATTGTGTTCCACTGGTCAATGTGTCTAATTTTTTTTTTTGCCAGTACCATTGTGTTCTAATTACTATATTTTTATAAAATAGTTTGAAATCAGGTAGTGTGATGGCTCCAGCTTTGTTCATTTTTCTCATGATAGCTTTAGCTATATGGGACATTTTGTGGTTACATATGAATATTAGCATAGTTTTTTCTATTTCAATGGAAAATAACATTGGAATTTTGATCAAGATTGCATTGAACCTGTAGATTGCTTTGGGTAGTATGGACATTTTAACAATATTAATTCACTATGTTAAAAAAACACTATAAACAACGCCAAAAGACAAATAATTGCCTGGGAAATATTTGTTAAAGTTGCAACAAAGGGTTATATTCCTAATATTACAAAGAAGTCTTATTTATGTATTGTTAAGAAAAAGACGACCCAGTGGGAAAATGGGCAAAATATATCAATAGGTAATAGAAGAGGAAATATAAATGATAAAGGGACATATGAAAAGATGCTCAGTCTCACTGGTTGTAAGAGAAAGTCAAATTAGAGAAACAACGTGATGCCATTTATTTCCTAACCAGCAGGCAAACACGCAAGATTGGCAGCATCCAGTGCTGACAAGGGCATAGGGAAAGGGGTGTTCTCACACATGGCCAATTAGAGTGCAAACTGCTATAACTTTTTTGGGAAAGTTACTGGCAATATTTATTACATTAAAACCAAACGGACCAAAAAAATGAGCAAAAGATCTGAGCAGATACCTCACTGAAGAAGATATAATACAGATGGGAAATTTTAAACATATGAAAAGATGATTAACATCTTTTGTCATTAGGAAATTCCAAATTACAACCACAATGAGATACCATTACACACCTATTAGAATGGCTAAAATCCCCCAAAAAGCTGATAATACCAAATGCTGGTGAGGATACTGAGCAACAGAACCTCTCATTCACTGCTGGTCGGTGTGCTAAATCAGACAGCCACTTTGGAAAACAGTTTGGCAGTTTCTTACAAAGCTAAACATATCTATACCATATGAGCCAGTAATCACACTCCTAGGTATTTACCCAAATGGTTGAAAACTATGTCCATATGAAAACCTACAAGCAAATGTTTTTAACAGCTTTATTCATAATCACCAAAAACTAGAAGCAACCAAGTTGTCTTCCTATAGGAAAAAGGATGAAAAAATTGTGCTACATTCATATAACGTGATATCATCCACCGATAAAATAAGCTAACAAGCCATAAAAGACAGGTATAAAGTTTAAATGCATATTGTTAAGTGAGAGAAGCCAGTCTGAAAAGGCTACATATTGTACTATTCCAATTCTATGACATTCTGGAAAGGTAAAGCTACAGAGACAGTAAAAACAATAACAGGTGTCAGGGGTTCAGAGGATGTCGGGAGGGTTGAGTAGGTGAAACACACAGGATTTATTAGGGCAGTGAAACTATTCTATATGATACTGTAATAGTGAATATGTGATATTATGCATTGGGCAAAATGCATAGAACTTTACGACACAATGTGTGAACCTTAAGATATGCAAAGTGTTAAAAAATCATGTAGGAGGTTGGGGAATCCTAGGATAGAACAAAGACTGTGACAAAAAGAATCTAACTATATTACAAATGTATGAAACAACCTCACCAAAGAGGGTAGAGGAAAAGCTGATACAGGTTTCCAGATAAGCAAGGAGACAAGGCTAGAATGACCCATTAGATTTGTGAGCTAATCCCATCTCATTTGTCTACAGATTATAGTTGAAGACATCAGTATGAACTCTTGTTTAGCTTAATAAAGATACAGATGATTACATATAGAAATAACTCTAGATACATGTATGTACACAGGTTGGTATACACACATATATTACCTTGCTCTGTCAGCTGAAAGGGCCTAGAACCAACCACATCCTAGTAGCAATATGTATACCAAGTGCTTAGATCTCGTTTTTTGATACTAGTCTCTAATAGAAGGAACCAGGGATCCATGGAGAAATACTCAACTTGAACAATGAGAACATATGGACACAGGGAGGGGAACATCACACACTGGGTCCTGTTGGGGGTTGGAGGGCAAGAGGAGGGAGAGCATTAGGACAAATACCTAATGTGTGTGGGGCTTAAAACCTAGATGATGGGTTGATAGGTGCAGCAAACCACTGTGGTACATGTATACCTATGGAACAAACCCACACATTCTGCACATGTATCCCGGAACTTATTAAAAAAAATTAAAAAAAGAAATACCCAATTCTAGAACTTGGGCAGGAAATATATAAGATGAACATGGAGCATCTTGCAGTGCCAGAAAATAATAAAGTGTTAAAACCCAAACCAAAGCAAACCCTACATTGATGGAAGTATATCAAAGGGATATAATATCCACAAATCCATACTAATATAAATAAATGATTGACTGGATGAATGAATAAACAAATAAATAAAAGATAAGTCAGTGGGAGAGTAGATACATCTCCTATATTGGAGAATTCCAAATAATTTATGTTGATACTCCACCTTCAGGGACGGGAGCCTAACTTCTCCCTCTGTAGGAGTGCGCTGCACGTAGTGACTTCCTTCCAAACAGCATAGAATAGAATGGCAGAAGAAAAGTCACTTTACAGTGGAGAAACCTGACGACACTACCTCAGCCAGGTGATCAAGGTCAACATCAATAGTGGTAAGTCGCTGAGGCGGGCAGATCACAAGGTCAGGTGTTTGAGACCAGCCTGGCCAACATGGTGAAACCCCGTCTCTACTAAAAATACAAAAATTAGCCGGGTGTGGTGGCAGGCACCTGTAATCCCAGCTACTTGGGAGGCTGAGGCAGGAGAATCGCTTGAACCCGGGAGGCGGAGGTTGTAGTGAGTCGAGATGGTGCCACTGCGCTCCAGCCTGGGCAACAGAGCGAGACTCCATCTCAAAAAAAAAAAATAGCGGTAAGTCATGTTGATAGTATGTACACTTGATGGGATGGGACGTGGTCTTCTAGCCCATAACCCTGGTCTAATCATGAGAAAAAACAGACAAATTCCAACAGAGGGACATTCTACAAAATATGTGACCAGTACTCCTGAAAACTGCCAGAGTCATCAAAAACATGTAAACTCTGAGAAACTGTCACAGCCAAGAGGAGGCTGCGGACACAGCCTCCTCTAAATGATTACTAAATGATTACTAAATGTAATGTAGTTTCCTAGAAGGGATTCTGGAACAGAAACAGGAAATTCAACAAAAAATTAAAGAAATGCAAATAAAGTATAGATGGACTTCAGTTAATGATAATGCATCAGCATTGGTTCATTGATTATAGTAACTATACCATGCTAATATAAGATGTTACTAAAAGATAAAACTGAGAGCAGGGTATATGGGAACTCTACTATCTTCTAGTTTTTCCGTAATCTAAAACTATTCTAAAAATAAAATTTATTGAAAACACACACAGACACGTCCTCTTACTAGCACTCCACTTCTGAGAATATACTTTCCATAAATAAAAGCATCATTGCATAAAAATATCCATACCAGGATTCCAGCACTTCCTGTGGAGGCAAAAAATATGAAACAACATGAACATCCTGTAATAGAGGAGGATGGCTGAATACATTGTGCTATATTCAGACCAGGAAATAATAAATATTATGCAGGTATTAAGAAAGTACAATTAATAGAGGCCTATCTATTGGCTGATGACCATGATGTTATTGCTGAGTGAAGAAGGCAAGCTACTGAGTAATTTTATAAAAAATATATGAAAATAAATGTTCATTAAAATATGTGAAAATAGGAAGTACATGAAAAAATATTTTAAAATCCTTCCATTTTCATATATTCACTTGTCATATATTATTGTTAAGAACACTATATTGAGCCCTCTGCTCTGCTGGACACTACTGTAAGATCTGGGATTATATACTTAACAAAACTGACAAAAATCTCTGCTCTCGTGAGCTTATATTCAAGCACCCAGATGTTGATAAGTCTTATGGAAAGAAACAAGGTCGATAGGGGCATAGCGTGGTGGAATGGTGAAATTTAAATGAGGGAAGCCCTCACTGAGATGATAAATGAAAAAAGATCTGAAGAAGGTAAAGGTCTTAAGGATGTTTGGGAAAACGTTCCAAGCAGTAGGAGCAATCATTCCAAAGGCTTTTATGTGGGATTCTGCCTGGAGTGTTTCTAGAACAGCAAGGAGGTCAGTGTTTTAGTCGCCTCTTTTGTCTTGTTTCCCATTCTTTCAGCCCATCTTTTAATTGAAGATTTGCTGAAACCACTGCAGCAGCTAGCTTTGTGCGCCTGTAGCCTGACAGAGCCTCACCCCAGCTGTCCTTGGTTTTTGCTTTCTGCCCAGGCCTTGTGTGATGCTGAGGTGTGGGATGCTGCTGGGATTCGGTACTTGCAGGAGTTAACACTCCATAGGGGAGCCTTGGACCAATGGGGGACAGGGTGCTTCAGTGTCCTCTCTTCCGTTCCTTGGGCTCCTTAAAGAGGCCTGGCAGGATGAGTCCCCGTTCCTGGTTACATTGGGTTTCCTCCTTCCTTGTTTTCTCCCCTGTCACCTACTCCTGCTCTCTGGTATCACTTCCCAAAATAAACTCCTAACACACAGTTCCTGTCTCAGACTTTACTTTCTGGGAGGTGCACAGTCTAAGACCATTGGTACCTGAAGTGGCCTTAGCTAGCAGGCCTTCAGAATGGAATTCTGGAACTGGATCAATCATGGAGCAGATGGCAACAAGGACCCCACTGCTGATGATAAGTGGGGTGGGAGGAGCCCAGGGAGGTGTAGCAACACAGTCACTAAGCCTTTTGTCAGGGCTGGTTTTGAATGGGGTGTAAGCTTGCTTCGGCACTGCAGTGGCACATGAGTGGTATGCGGCAATGGTCATTATGGGAAGTATTGAATAAGCTGGCTCTTGTTAACACCTATAAATCACTGAAAAAAGAAAAAAGAAAATGACAGGGTCAGGTTAGCCACGAACAGTCATCTGTGGGAGTCAGGAGGCCTTGCTGGCAGTATTCAGAGACATTTATCTCCTACAGACAGGACAGACTGTGCCAAAAAATCAATCTCAGGACTTAAAGGGCAGCAGAGCTACAAAGGGGACAATATCCAGCCTCAACAGGTCTCTCATGTCTAAGTCAGGGCTATGGTGAGAAAAGAGAATCATCCTGAGATCTAGGATAGGGACATCTACGAGAAAGAGCCTGAGAATCTGAAATTCTCAAATTTCCCTGAACCTTCAGGGCTAGGAAAAGCAACTCAGTTCCATTGCTGTAGGTTAGCTGCTTCCTTTACCTGCAGACCTTAAAAATCCCTCACATGATGCAGGTGCCTCCTTAGGAGGGGGATGCCTGTCCTCCTTAGATTCTACCCCACCTCCTTCTAGGGCCCACGGACCTATAATAGGATGAGGTTGTTGCAGTGCCTGAGTAGGGCAATAAGGTTCTTGCTCTGCGAGGAAATAACTGCACTCAAGAATGACAAGACCTGCCTCATAGGTACCAGCAGCCGTCTTGAAGGGGCTGGGCCGTGATAGTAGTAAAATGTAAGGCTGGAAAAGGGGAAATTCATTAATATGAGAGCACTACACTGTCGCATAACTTGGGACTTAATTCTTGACAAGGACACCTGCAGACAGTTCTTTTTTAAATTTTACTTTTATTTTTTATAGAGACAGGGTCATAATCTGTCATCCAGGCTGGAGTGCAGTGGCATGATCATCGCTCCCTGCAGCCTTGAACTCCTAGGCTCAAGTGAGCCTCCTGCCTCAGCCTCCCCAGTGGCTGGGACCACAGGCACACATGACCATGGCTGGATAATTAAAAAAATTTTTTTTGTGGAGACAGGGTCTTACCATCTTGCTCAGGTTGGTCTCAAACTCCTGGCCTCAAGCGATTCTGCCACCTCCGCATCCCAAAGTGTTGGGATTACAGACGTGGGATACTGTGAGACACTGTGCCTGTCAAGACAATCTTTTTTTTTTTTTTTGAGACAGAGTTTCACTCTGTCACCCAGGCTGGAGTGTAGTGGTGTGATCTTGGCTCACTGCAACCTCCGCCTTCTGGGCTTAAGAGATTCTGTCTCCTCAGCCAACCGAGTAGCTGGGACTACAGGTGCGCACCATCACACGCAGCTAATTTTTGTATTTTTGGTAGAGACAGCATTTCGCCATGTTGGCCAGTTTGGTAACAAACTCCTGACCTCAAGTGATCTGCCCGCCTCAGTCTCCAAAAGTGCTGGGATTACAGGTGTGAGCCACAGCACACAGGAGACAGTCTTAAAATGTGCTGCTGGCATAGCTCTTTGAAGGTTGGGCTTTTAGTAGGTAAGGCAGACATGCTGGAAGTGCCTTGGCAGAGTATTGAGGAAGGGGCCTGGGGACTCAAGGAGGGGGAAATATTAGAAAGGATGTGTGATGTGGGACTGCAGGACCTACCACCTGATTATGTTTCCTTGGAAGGCCCAGAGGATACTCCCTCCACTGAAGCAGTAAGGAGCAGAAAGGAGCCCAGTGGCATCTTCAAGAGCTCATCACTGCTGTCCTCTGTGGGTGGGGTAGACAGGCTTGTCCTCAGTAGGCTGGAGATGCTACCACGGAACTAGGCTTTCTGGTTCTGATGAAAGTGATAAGATTCCAGAGTGGCAGAGACCAGGTGCTTACAGTGGCAAGGTACATAAAATTACCATGATGAGAAGCAAGCCAGAACACCTTATTTCACAGAAATCTGTGCTAATAATGCACAGGAATGCCATGGAGTTCCTATAGGTGAGATAGAAGGACAGCTGGCTCATGTGTCACCCGACTTGCATTGCCAGAAGAAACTGAGCAAGCAGAAGGTTGGTGTCAACAGCTAGAGTGGAAACCTGCAGCTCCTCGCCCAGTTTCTAGATCTAAGTCAGTTCCAGTCCAAAGTGTTGCTGACTGAGTCACCTTGAAGGAGGATCCTGCAATGCCACTGTGAGTATTCCTCACTTTTCAAAGGGATCTGTGGCTATTTACCAGAGTAACTGGGAAAGGAAAATACTCAGACCTTTCAAGGGCTGTGGCTACAAGGTCTGAGCTGGCACTGATATGTGGGGACCCCAAATGCTACCATGGCCTCAGGTTAGAGCACCGTTTCATACTGGGCTTAACAGGTCCATGAATCCATTCTTGAGATAACTTCCTCCACTTGAGAAATGCAAAATTGGCATAGGTATGCTTAACAGTCAGCTAAGCATACCCTCACATTGGTTCTATGACCTGTGAAGTAAGAGCCAATATGGCAGAAAGGGCCAAACACAAGCTCCTGAAACTGCTCTTCCTCCCTGGCAACACAACCCTGGTCAAAATAGTAAATCCGAAGCAAAACTGCATCCCAGGAGAAAATGCAGTGATGAGTACCACCATCAAAGACTTAGGAATGCAGAGGTGGTGATGCCCATGCTAACCCCCTCAACTCACCTGGTAGACTCCTATAAACTCAACCCAACTGTACTTCCAATTGCAGCAGCTGGGCCAGATATGGTATCTTTCCTGGAACTGATATACACAGGCTCTGGCACTTGACATGCAACTATTGACTTGAATGTATTCTTTCCAATACCAATCAGTAAGTTAGATCAAAAGCAGTTCACCTTGTGTGGGATGGACAGCAGTTCACACTCACTGTCCTGCCTGAAGCCTAAGTTAACTCTCCAGCACTCTGTCACCATATAATCCACAAGGACCTTAATTGTCTTGACGTTCCACTGAATATCATGCTGCTCCACTGTATTGATGACATCATGTTAACTGGATCTCCTGGTGAACAGAAATGGCAAGTACTCTGGCTGTCCAGTTAAGATATGTGTGTACCACAGAGTGGAAGAAAACCCTCTGGGGAATGGCATATAAGTGGTATTCTAGGAGTCCAATGGCCTGGGGCATGCTGTGACTTCCTTTTTTTTTTGGGACAGAGCCTTGTTCTGTCCTCAAGGCTGGAGTGCAGTGGCTAGAGTGCACTATATAGCTCTCTGTAGCCTTCAACTCCTGAGCTCAAGTGATCCTCCCACCTCAGCCTCCCAAATAGCTGTGACTACAGGTGGGCACCACCATGCCCAGCTGTATCCTCTTTAAAGGACAAATTGTTGCACCTTGTATCCCCTACCATTTAAAAAAGGGCATTGCTCCTGGTGGGTGTCTTTGGATTTTGGAGGCAGCATGTACAGCCCTTGGGCACTGCTCTGCCTAATTTACCAAGTGATTTAGAAGGCTGCTAACACTGAGTAGGACCCAGGACAAGAGGGAACTTTGCACAGCAGGTCAAAGCTGCCCTACTATTCAGGCCATATGACTTGGCATACCCAGTTGTGTACATGTGTCCAGTTCCTGGCATGTCATTGGGACTTGGTAGAGTGAGCACATGAATGTAGGACATCAAGTGACTGAGTAACCCAAAGCTGCCCACTGTGAGCTGGATAATAGAGATATACTGACCACTGTCCTAAGAAAACATCTGGAATCAGGCTCGAGCAGGTCTGGAGGGAACAAGCAAGTGACAAAGAGGTAGCTCCTTTTCCCAACTCATCTGTGTTGCTGCCCTGTTACCTCTCCTTCAGCTTACATGTATGAGGAACAAAGCCTCACACCTGGCTCACGGGTCTCTTCTGCATTCCTCTCAAGACCCAGCACAGGCCAGTGATGTGCACCGTGGATGCTTGACCTGTTTTACTGACTAACACAGTACGTGGAAAGTACTATGAGAGAAGGAATAGTACAATTGTGACAAAAATGAAAAATGGCACTGACACAGCCAAGAATTAATGCAGCAACCCTGTGATAAAGTCAATTATTTCATTGGTTTTTATGTGTGGCCGAAAACATCTGTTGGTTTAGAAATTCTGTGTGGTTTTTTGTTTGTTTGTTTGTTTGTTTGTTTGTTTGTTTAGATAAAGGGTTTCAGTCTGTCACCCTGGCTAAAGGGCAGTGGTGTGATCATAGCTCACTGCAGCCTGGAACTCCTGGGCTCAAGCTATCCTTCTGCTTCAGCCTCCCAAAGCGCTGGAATCACAGGAGTGAGCCACTGTGCCTGGCCAGTTTAGAAATTCTTAACCTTTCATTATTCCAGCAACGACAAAAAAATAGATGGAGTTCAAAGATTTTCAACCAGGCAATTTTACCCAAGAGTGTTTTCACTAGAGGGACTTTAAGGTTAATAAGCAATAAAGAAAGTTAATAATTAGCAAGAAAATATGCTTGTTGAAAGGAAATTTGTGGCCTAAAACACCAATTCTGCCAAGTAAAAAGGTGGATTAAAACATTTTTCAAGGCCGGGCGCGGTGGCTGACGCCTGTAATCCCAGCACTGTGGGAGGCCGAGGCAGGCGGATCACGAGGTCACGAGATCGAGACCATCCTGGCTAACGCGGTGGAACCCCGTCTCTACTAAAAATACAAAAAAATTAGCCAGGCGTGGTAGCGGGCGCCTGTAGTCCCAGCCACTCGGGAGGCTGAGGTAGGAATTGCGTGAACCCGGGAGGTGGAGCTTGCAGTGAGCTGAGATCGTGCCACTGCACTCCAGCCTGGGCGACAGAGCAAGACTCCATCTCAAAAAAAAATTTTTTTTTTTCAAAAATTTAAAGTGAAAGACACAAGCCTTGCCCCTTTAAGAATGTTTCCATTCATTCTGTATAAAAATTACTCCTTCCTTCCTTCCTTCCCTCCCTCCCTCCCTTCCTCCCTCTCTTTCTCTCTCTCTTTTTTTTTATTTTTGGCCAGGGTCTCACTCTGTCACCCAGGTGGGAGTGCAGTGACTCAATCACACTCACTGCAGCCTTGACCTTCCAGGCTTAGGTGATCCTCCCATGTCAGCCTCCTGAATAGCTGGGACCACTGGTGCACACCACCACACCTGGGTAATTTTCACATTTTTTGTAGAGACAAAGTTTCACTTGTTGCCCAGGCTGGTCTTGAACTCCTGAGCTCAAGCGATTTGCCTGCTTTGGCCTCCCAAAGCGTTAGGATTACAGGCGTAAGCCACCATGCCCAGCCAATAATTACTACCTTTTAGTGTGGTTTACAGTTTTTTGTTTTTTTTTTTTTTTGAGACGGAGTCTCGCTCTGTTGCCCAGGCTGGAGTGCAGTGGCACGATCTCTGCTCACTGCAAGCTCCACCTCCCAGGTTCACGCCATTCTCCTGCCTCAGTCTCCAGAGTAGCTGGGACTACAGGCGTGTGCCACCACGCCTGGCTAATTTTTTGTATTTTTTAGTAGAGACGGGGTTTCACCGTGTTAGCCAGGAGGTCTCCATCTCCTGACCTCGTGATCCATCTGCCTCGGCCTCCCAAAGTGCTGGAATTACAGGTGTGAGCCACCATGTCTGGCCGGTTTGGAGTCTTATAATAACGATATGTAATACACACTGTCGGCTGGGCGTGGTGGCTCATGCCTATAATCTCAGCACTTTGGGAGGCCAAGGCGGGCAGATCACTTGAGGTCAGGAGTTCGAGACCAGCCGGGCCAATATGGTGAAACCCTACCTCCACTAAAAATACAAAAATTAGCTGGACATGGTGACGTGTGCCTGTAATCCCAGCTACTCAGGAGGCTGAGACAGGAGAATCGCTTGAACCTGCGGGGAGGAGGAGGTTGCAGTGAGCTGAGATTGTGCCACTACACTCCAGCCTGAGCAACACAGTGAGACTGTCTCAAAAAAAAAAAAAAACAAACAACAACAACAACAACAACAAAATGCTGTCCACCTAGAAATTTTACAGGTTAGAAATAAAAATAATTTAAGGGGCAAAAAAGCAATAGCATAAATTATGTCTTTTATCAATGTGAATTACAAAAATCACTTTTCCTGCCTCCTCTTGCTCTGTGACATTTGTTTTCTAGAGTCTACAGTGTGTGGCAGGGTGTGTGTAGTGGCGGCAGAACACTGACAGATGGTGGTATGTGCTTAATCTCCTTGCAAACTGGGAGTCTTTAAGAAGGTAACGAGCCAGCTTGTTGGTTTCTGCTTCTGTTGTTCTGAAAGTATTTGTGTGGCAGCTTTATCACTTAGGAGTTCACTACACAGCCGGAATATAATCTTTCTAGATAAACACATCAAGAGCTCAACCAAAAATCTTCTAATAAACAAACAAAACAGCCTGTTACTATTTGCAGTTAGTATATTATCTTGTAAAAATAAAATTCAACAGGTCCCCACTTGTTGAACCAATAGGGAGAGATAATGATAAGAGGATTGTTTGGTTTCTATCATTGTGGGCAAGGGAATGCTCTGTTTTGTCTCCTATGCTACTGACAACCAGTTTACATAAACTCCCAGCATCTATCTATACATTAGTAATGAACATCAATGGGCCAGATCTCTGTGAGTCTCTTATGAGAACATGTGCAGAGAATGAAAACTGTCCAATCCCTAAGGCCCCAAACTGGCAGCTTATATGGCAAACATTATCTGCAGATGTGTTTTACTTGGCCTGAATGATGTTTAAAATTTTTAAAAATTATTTGTCAACATTTTAAGGTCAAGAGATCTCATTCTCACTAAAAGGAACCAGGGGTCTCTGGAGAAATGGCTGATACAGGGCTGGGGCAGGATGAGCCTGGGACATTTGGCTGTGCCACACAGTAAGCAAGTGCTCAAAGAAGGATGGACATCTGTCAGGACACAGGAGTTAGATGGAAGGAGCCGCAAATGCTAAATGTGTGATAATTGAGAGTCAGAAAGAATACTGACAGTGATGGTGTGTAACATATTGAATTTTTAAAAATCCATGAATCCACAGTGATATGAAAAGGAGGGGTGGGGGCAGAGGGGAAGAAAATCTTTCTTTTTTTTTTTTTTTACAGAAAAATGATAACTAATGAGTGTAGAAAGAATTGTAGAAAAATAACTATTTTACAATAACTGTTTTACATCACCATTGGTTGATGCCGGCTATGGCGGCTCGGTTCACACCTGTAATCCCAGCACTTTAGGAGGCCGAGGTGGGTGGATCACTTGAGGCCAAGAGTTCGAAACCAGTTTGGCCACCATGATGAAATCCCGTCTCTACTAAAAATGCAAAAATTAGCCAGGCATGATGGCAGGCACCTGTGATTCCAGCCACTCAGGAGACTGACGCAGGAGAATTGCTTCAACCCAGGAGGTGGAGGTTGCAGTGAGCCAAGATCGCACCACTGCACTTAAGCCTGGGTGACAGAGCAAGACTCTGTCTCAAAAAAAAAAAAAAAAAAAAAAAAAAAAAAAAAAAAAAGAACCATTGGGTGAAAGTTGTTGGGGAACAAGGTCGCCACAGTTTCAAAATATCACCCCACAGATTATTAATTATAAAGGAGAAAATCATTTTTACAATTGAGAAATATGGCAGACCCATCTTAACTAAGGAATTAAAACTGATAGTACCAATTAGGGGACAAAAATGACATCATACACTTACTGATGGGAGCTAGTGTGAAGAACACAGCTTCACCCATGCAGTGTTCTTACTGAAAACATTTAACCTGTATCAAATCATTTGGAAACAGCCAGTTAGTCTAAGTCGAGGCACATTCCACAAAACAGATGGCCTGGACTTTTCAAAAATGTCAGTTTCATGAAAGATGAAATAAGAGAATAAAGAAGGTGGAAAACTCTTTCAGATTAAAGGAGACTAAAGAGTCATGGCAATGGGCCAGGCGTGGTGGCTCACACCTGTAATCCCAGCACTTTGGGAGGCCAAGGCGGGTGGATCACAAGGTCAGGAGTTAAAGACCAGCCCGGCCAAGATGGTGAAACCCCATCTCTACTAAAAATACAAACATTAGCCAGGCGCGGTGGCAGGTGCCTGTAATCCCAGCTACTCGGGAGGCTGAAGCACGAGAATCGCTTGAGCCCAAGGGGTGGAGGTTGCAGTGAGTTGAGATTGCGCCACTGCACTCCAACCTAGGCAACAGAGCAAGACTCCGTCCCAAAAAAAAAAAAAAAAAAAAGTCATGGCAATGTACAGTCACTGAATAGATCCTGGATTTAAAAATAACTATACACATTTATATATATAGTTATTTCATTATATATATAGTTCTATAACCATTATTAGAACAATATGAGAAATTTGAACATAGACTATATATTAGATAATAGTATTGAGTCAATGATAAATTTATTGAGTATGGAAATCATAATGTGATTATACAGAAGAACATCTTTGTTTCAGGAGATTATGCTAAATATTTAGGTAGATGGCTCAGCCAAAAAAGTATGTGTGAGAGAGGGGGAAAGAAAGAGAGAGAGAGAGGCAGAAACAGGGATAAAGGAAGTACAGGCACAATGGCTCATACATGTAATCCCAGGGCTTTGGCAGGCTGAGGTGGGAGGATTGCTTGAGGCTGGGAGTTTGAGACCAGCCCGGGCAACATAGTAAAATCCTATCTCTACAAAAAATAAATAAATTAGTCAGGCACTATGGCTCACACGCCTGTAATACCAGCAACTCAGGAGGCTGAGGCAGAAGGATCACTTGAGCCCAGGATTTCAAGAATACAGTGAGCCATGACTGTGCCACTGCACTGCAGCCTGGGCAACAGAGTGAGACTCTGTCGCTAAAAAGAATGAAAAAAAGACAGAAAGGAAATGCAGCAAAATTCTAACAGTTGATGAACTAATCTAGCGAAGGGTATGCAGGTATTCATTGCAGTATTCTCTCCACTTCTGTATATTTTGATTTTTTTCTCAGAATAAAAGGTTGTAGGAAAAATCCCAGGACACTTTACATAAAATTCTGATTTCTGGCTTTTTAAAAAAGACTCTGGCTGGACATGTTGGGGGTCATGCCTGTAAACCCAGTACCTTGGGAGACCGAGGCAGGAGGATTGCTTGAGCACAGGAGTTTGAGACCAGCCTGGGCAACATGGAGAAACCCCATCTCTACAAAGAATACAAAGAATTGGCTGGGCGCAGTGGCTCATGTCTGTAATCCCAGCACTTTGGGAGGCCGAGGTCAGGAGTTTGAGACCAGCCTGGCCATCTCTACTAAAAACACAAAAACCAGCCAGGTGTGGTGGCATGCACCTATAATCCCAGCTGCTCAAGAGACTGAGGCAGGAGAATCACTTGAATCTGGGAGGTGGAGGTTGCAGTAAGCCAAGATCGCGCCACTGTATTCCAGCCTGGAAGACAGAGCGAGACTCCGTCTCAAAAAGAAAAAAAAAAAAAGAATACAAAGAATTAGCCTAGTGTGGTGATGCATGCCTGTAGTCCCAGCTATTCAGGAGGCTGAGGTGGGAGGATCACCTGAGCCCTGGAGATTGAGGCTGCGGTGAGCCATCATTGCCCCACTGCACTCCAGCCTGGGCAACAGACTGAGACCCTGTCTTAAAAAAAAAAAAAAAATGGGGGTGGGGGTGGTGGGCCTGATGCGGTGACTCATGCCTGTAATCCCAGCACTTTGGGAGGCCGAGGCAGGTGGATCACCTGAAGTCAGGAGTTCACAACCAGCCTGTCCAACATGGTGAAACCCCGTCTCTACTAAAAATACAAGAAATTAGTTAGGCATGGTAGTGGGCACCTGTAATCCCAGCTACTCAGGAGGCTGAGGCAGGAGAATCGCTTGAGCCTGGGAGGCAGAGGTTGCAGTGAGCCCAGATCATATCATTACACTCCAGCCTGGGTGACAAGACCAAGACTCCATCTCAAAAAAAAAAAAGACTGAAAACCCAGCACCTTAGGCTTGCAGTCTGTGGCACTGAGCAGTAGCTGTCCACTTTAGATCAGACATGAGGACCCCAGTTTGCCCCAGTCTCCACCTCTCCATCTTGCCCTATATTCAGACTGCTTCCCTCATTTATGTTAACAGTGTGATTCCACAGACATTTGGGTTTGTTAATCCATAATCCATAACAGAAAATGCTGAACTCAGCTAAAACAATTAATAGACATATGTTATTAATTCACCTCAACAAGCCAATTAAACAATTTGAAGAGAGGGAGCCTAGAATGACCCCTATTAGCAAAAGCAGGATGAAATTCTTAAAGATGTCACAGGATTTTCCACTGAGGTGTTTGTTTGTTTGTTTTGTTTTTTTGAGACAGAGTCTTGCCCTGTCGCCCAGGCTGGAGCACAATGGCTCTATCTCGACTCACCGCCACCTCCACCTCCCGGGTTCAAGCGATTCTCCTGCCTCAGCCTCCCAAGTAGCTGTGGTTACAGGTGCCCGCCACCACACCTGGCTAATTTTTTGTATCTTTAGTAGAGACGGGGATGTTGGCCAGGCTGGTCTCAAACTCCTGACCTCGTGATCCACCTGCCTCAGCCTTCCAAAGTGCTGGGATCACAGGCATGAGCCACTGCAGCTGGCTGAGGTTTTTACTGAGTGAGGAAACACTCCTTCAACTAATATTTGAAGAGCAGAAGCCCTTCCAACTATGAAAGTTCTAATTAGATTCTAATGCTAGGGAGCATTTACATGGTACTCTTAGCATTTAGTGGATGTGGCACTGCACAGAGCACATTCAGTTAAGCACTTAATAAATGCTTTGGATAACAGGCAACCTTGACAGTCCTACTTCTTAAAGCATGTGCCTGTCACCATGATGGTAATGTGCCCAGCAGGACTTCTGGTCTGCTCTTTGAAGACAGTGAGCCTCTTGGGGGACTGTGTGAAGAGCTTTTGCCTCCAGCGCCTCCGTTGGCCGTTGGCCACAGCACTATGTTAAAATCCCACCTTCTGCCCTTCTGTCTGTGCTTTCCTCTTCTATGTTTACTCCCTTTGACCCTCTACTTTCCTGCTCTTGCATCCTTGAGGCTGCTTGACCGCTGTTAGATGTTTGGCCCAAGAGCCCTCTGCCCTCCTCAGCAAAAAATCAGCAAAGCAATGCCAAACAGGGACATAAATCATAGCGATAAGGCACGCCAGGCTCCAGGAAGCACCAGAGCTTGCCCAAGGTCACTCCACAGCTTCAAGCATGATCAGAAACTGAAGTTCCATAGCTGGGTGTGGTGGCTCATGCCTGTAATCCCTGTACTTAGGGAGGCCGAGGGAGGCGGATCATGAGATCAGGAGTTTGAGACCAGCCCGGACAACACAGTGAAACCCTGTCTCTACTGAAAATACAAAAATTAGCTGGGTGTGGTGGCACGCCCCTGTAGTCCTATCTACTGGGGGAGGCTAAGGCAGGATAATCGCTTGAACCCAGGAGGCAGAGGTTGCAGTGAGCCGAGATTGCGCTATTGCACTCCAGCCTGGGCAGCAGAGTGAGACTGTCTTCAAAAAAAAAAAAAAAAAAAAAAAAAAGAGAGAGAAAAGAAAACTGAAGTCTCTAACTGTAGCTCCTGTCCCCATGCCCCTGTCCCTTCTATAAGGCTACTGATCAAAGGGGACAGCAGGGAAAAAAGGGATGCTCTGGACATTCTGCAGGTTACTATTCACGATGAATTAAAATCAAATGAGAGCCTACTTCTGGCACCTAGGATACACTCAACAGTGCCACTCGCCCACACCCCATGCACCTTTTTTCATTTCTCTCCCTCAAAGAGTCATTTTACACATTTTTTCTAATCACTTACCAATGAAATTTTAATATCACAAATATACTATATATCTGTATATGAACCATATGTATATCTGTGCTTTAAACAATAAAAAAGTTAGATTTTTTTGCCACCTGCCAAGAACCAATTTTCACCCTTTAGGAGTGACCTTGTTCTCATTATGAATCTCTGCATTACGTTGTGATATTTATAATTAATTTTCAAATGGACATTTCCCCTCACACTTATTCTCATCTTTGTAGGTGGCAAACCTACAAAGGTTTGTACAAAGGTTTAGAAGGCTATTTTAGCCTTCTAAAATAGTCCATAGGGTTATGGAATGAGATATGGAAAGAACGGCTGTTCAGCTACAATCTGCACTCAGGCCTCCACAGAAGCCACAAATCTCACAGCTAAGGCCCTGCGGGAGAACGGGCAGTATAAATTCTGACGACCAGTCATTGGGAGACTTCAGAGTATGGTGTTTGGTATAAAGTGATGGATGGTTCTGGTATGGGGAAACCACATGGCATGAACTTGGGGACAGACAGAACTGTGTCTGCATTCCAGCTTACTGACCGGGAGGCCTTGGCAAATCATTAACCATACTGAATCCATTTGTAAAATGGGATAACAATATCTACCTTCTAAGGTTGTTATTAGTGTAACGATATCTACCTTCTAAGGTTGTTATTAGTGTAATTTGTGCATCCTAAGTAACAATGATACTTGGCAGTTTGTCCAAATTTACTAGGTCCCTTGCCCCTACCTGCCACATAGCAGTAGATGATTCCTTCTCTTTGTCTCACTTGTTTTTCTTGTTTTCTGGAGGGAGACATGTCATAGACAATGTCCCAGCTGCTGCTTTCAGCCCTTGACCAATGCTGGTCTAATATATTTTAACGCCCCCATACCACCTGCCATAGGTAGAACGTCTGCCCAGGGATCCCACAGTGACACTGTCCTGTCCTTGACCTCCAACTCCGCTAGGAGCATCTACTTTTTCTGCCACTGCTGGCAGAAATTCTTTCTTTCCTCTTCTTACCATTTTCATTCCACAGAGAGAAGGTTCAGCAGCATAGGGGCTTGGGGCCTTAGTAATACAATTATTCTATTGTATTACTTTGTATTTGTATGGTTTGTATTTGTTTTGTATTTGTTTGTTTTGGTTTGTATTACTTTGTATTTGTATGGTTTGTATTTGTTTTGTATCTGTTTGTTTTGGTTTGTATTACTTTGTATTTGTATGGTTTGTATTTGTTTTGTATTTGTTTGTTTTGGTTTGTATTACTTTGTATTTGTATGGTTTGTATTTGTTTTGAACCACATAGCCCTTTCCTTGCCCCTTGCCGGACACACAGATATTCCCCTAGGGGCTGCATGGAGTTCAAGTGCATCCAACTGCTTTATGCAGACCACTGCCCACTTTCCACGACAGGGCCTGTGATGCTCCAGCCCATCATGCCTGACTTCTTGATTTTTCTTTTTTTTTGAGACAGTGTCTTACTCTGTTGCCCAGGCTGGAATGCAGTGGCACAAATCACGGCTCACTGCAGCCTTGACTCCCAGAACTCAGGTGATCCTCCCACCTCAGCTTCCTGAGTAGCTGGGACTACAGGTGCATGCCACCATGCCCAGCTAATTTTTCTATTTTTTGTAGAGATGGGGTTTCACCACGTTGCCCCTGCTGGTCTTGAACTCATGGGCTCGAGAGATCAGCACGTTGGCCTCCCAAAATACTGGGATTACAAGCGTGAGCCACCACACCCAGCTCCTGACTTCTTGATTTAACGTGATTTTCTTCCTGTTACCTTGTCTTTCTCTGTAATCTGACTTCTGTTATGACCACCCTACCTCTCATCCAATAAATCCTTAGTATGTTTAAACCTGAGTTACGGAAAGGAGTTGAATTCAGGTAGGGTCCATGTGTCATATGCAAATCAGAAGACGGTGAATACCCTGGTAGAAGAAGTTCCACCCCATAGCTTAGAGCCAGCTGTGGATCCTGTTACAGAAAGATTAAGGAGAGTGTATGTAAAGAATCTAGCAGTCTTGCTCTGTCGCCCAGGCTGGAGCACAGGGGCACGATCTCAGTTCACTGGAGCCTCTGCCTCCCGGGTTCAAGCGATTCTCCTGTCTCAGACTCCCAAGTAGCTGGGATTACAGGTGCCTGACACCACGCTTGCCTAGTTTTTGTATTTTTAATACAGATGGGGTTTCACCATGTTGGCCATGTTGGCCTCAAGCTCCCGACCTCAAGTGATCCGCCCGTCTCAGCCTCCCAAAGTGCTGGGATTACAGGCGTGAGCCACCATGCCTGGCCTAAATTGTCTTTTTTTATGCAATGATATTTATGTTTGGTATGGTTCAGGGCAGTAACTCAAGGTCACGGGTCCAGCAATTCTCTCCCTCCTCCAACATCAAGTTTTTTCTCTACTGGATTTATTTACACCATTAGCATACAAATGTACTTCTCACTCGTATAATAAAAACAACCACAAAAAAAACCTGTCTTCAGCCCACATCTTTACGAACACCTCTGCCCCATTTTTGTCTTCCTTTTGTAATAAAACTCTTCAAAACAGTTGCCCATATCATTATCTCCACTTTGTTCCTCTCGTCTCTCTTAATCCCTTGCTGATGAAGGTTTCATTCCTGCCTCTCCACTCACACAGCTCTTGTCAAGGTCGCCAAAGACCCTCACATGATCAAAGCCAATGGCTAATCCTAAATCTACTAATGGAGACACAGAGCATCCCCTCACTTTTGAACAATCTTCTTCACTAAGCTTTTAAGAACACTATGGCCAGGAGCGGGGGCTCACGCCCATAATCCTAGCACTTTGGGAGGCCAAGGTGGGCGGGTCATTTGAGGTCAGGAGTTTGAGACCAGCCTGACCAACATGGTGAAACCCTCTCTCTACTAAAAATACAAAAAGTGGCCAGGTGTAGTGGCAGGCACCTCTCATCCCAGCTACTTGGGAGGCTGAGGCAGGAGAATCTCTTGAACCTGGGAGGCGGAGGTTGCAGTGAGCTGAGATTGTGCCACTGCACTCCAGCCTGGGTAGCAGAGTGAGACTGTCTCCAAAAAAGAAATAATAATAATAATAATAATAATAATAATAATAATAATGAAAGAACATTGTTCTATGGGGTTTCCTACCATGCAGATCGCCTCTTCTTGCCTCCCTTGCCGGTTCCTTTTCATCTTCCTGACCCCCAAAGGCTGGGTACACCAAGCTTCCACCTTTAGTACCTGTCCCTCCATCCCACATGGTGACCTCCTCCGGTCCCACAGCTTTAAATACCATCGATATGCTTATGTCCCCCAACTCTGTCTCCAACCTGGACTTCCCCTGAATGCCAGACTTGTGTAGTCAACTGCCTACTTTACAAGTCTCCTTGGGTTCACAACTCAAACTTAACCTGTCCAAAACAGAGCTCTTCATCTCCTTTCCCCCACATTTGCACCTGGGTCTCTCTATCACAGTGAACAATCTCCTCATTCTTCCAGTCAATCAGTCAAAAACCTTGAAATTGTTCTTGATTTCTCATCCAATCATTAGATTCCTATGTGCTCTTCTTTCAGAAGAAATCTAGAATATGACTTGATCCTGCCGGACCCTGGCTTCCCCCTTCCTTCTCTCCCTGGCCTGTTAGCACCCACTGGGCATCTTGGCTAAGACACTGGGTTATTACCTGTGTTCCCTCAATATAGGGTGCTTTCTACTTATGCACCTTTTCCTAGGATAGAGTGTCTGCCTGAAATGCCTTATCTCTCATTCCACGTTTCCCTAAACATTTCAAAGTTCAGCTCAAACATGCCTCCAATCACTTTATTTTCACCATTCAACAAGCACCTAAAGAGTTCTTACCAGGCAAGGGTACACATGCCCTGCTCACTGGGAACCCAGTCTATAAGGGGTGAGAGCCAAAGGGCAATTCAACTTACCTCCCTTCCAAGAGCTGAGCTTCTGAAAGACAGGGTGTACAACTTTGCATAAACATCGTTTTAGGCACAACTGGGGCTCTATGAGTATTTACTGAATCCATAAATGGAGAAAATAAAATGTTCATTTACCATACCCTCAATTCACCTACTCAACAAATATTTATTAAGTATCTTTATTTTATAAGTGACAGGGTCTCACTGTCACCCAGGCTAGATAGAATACAGTGGCCTAATCATAGCTCACCATAGCCTTGAACTGCTGGGCTTAAGCCATCCTCTTGCCTTGGCCTCTTTCCTTAGTAGCTAGGACCACAGGCACGCACCACCATGCCCAGCCTAGTACGTATTATGTGTTAGGAATATCACACAACTCTGAAAAGTTACAGCTTTAAAGAACAGACTCTACCTATAATCTAGTCCCACCATTTCATAGAGATCAGTGGTGTCTACATCTGTGCACTTAATTTGGAGAGTGGGGTGCTGCATGCTTTGAAATCAGGCTCATGTGTACACAACCCCATCCTTTGGAGGATATCAATATTCAGATAAGAGAACACATTTGACTTCCCCATTTATTGGCAACATCCACCTTTGTTAAGAGTTTATTTTGTTAACTTTTTTTTCCAATCCAACAATGACATTTTTTGGAGGCCTAGATGTGCCAACTAGTGTGCTTTGGGGATATAGAGCTACAGAGGCAAGGTCTCCATCCCAGAAGAACTCAATGAATTTGGGGAGCTATCACTGTTAATGTAGTATTGATAAAGTGTAGTGAGAGATTTGAAAGGAGCATTCACAAAAGTAATCTTCAGAATCAGAAAAAGAGTATCTTTCTGCAAGAAACAGATTTTCTTTCAGGTAAATGAACCCTTTGAAATGTAATGATCACCTCCTCCCCTGGGAAAGCCTGAGGAAGTGAAAATGCCCAACAGCCTCTCCCTGTGTACAGAGAGGGTAAGGGTAGGGTGACCCGGGCAGGGGGATGGTCAAAACACTGCAGGTCTCACCCCTGCCCATGGGAGCACTCCCCTGCGGGGCTTTGGAAGCATCTCCTCTCAATAGATAATATCCTGTTGGTTAAGAACATTCCAAACCTAAATAGAGAAGTTGCCCTGTTACCCACCCATTCCAATTTATCCAAAGCTTGCTACTTTCCATTTAGGTTCCTTATCTAGAAGTGACCCCACACACTTATCCATGGGCACAAGATTTGTAGAGTGATCTGGAGAAAATGGAGAAGCAAGAATAATAGTAAATCCCCTGGAAGTTTCATTCATCTGTCTCTCATCAAGTAGCTCTTCCCTTGTCACATAGTAGTTATACAGGTCAGAACAGAGAGGCCATAACTGAAACAAAGTTGACCTCCACCATATTCATTACATGTCACCTTTCACATTGCGATTTGGATTTTACCTTCACAGAAGTTCTGTAAAGTAGTCTCTCCATTAGCGAAAAACACACTTTCAGCTTGTAATAAATACCTTTCCCCCCTCTGATATCATGTTATTTTTAGGGTTAACTAATAAACATTTGAAAAGTGATCAGGCCAGGCTCGATGGATCATGCCTGTAATCCCACCACTTTAGGAGGCCAAGGTGGAAGGATCACTTAAGGCCAGGAACTCGAGACCAGCCTGGCCAACATAGCAAGATCCCATCTCTAAAAAATGTTAAAAAAAATTAGAAAGTGATCATTTCACTTCTTTAAGAAAAACGCTTCTTTTTAGAAACGGGACATGATGATGCTCAGCAGTAAATACATATGAGGTGTAATGAGAATCTGTGAGCTTCCTAGCAGTTTGAAAACAGGTAAATGTTAATTCTCTTAATAGACTGAGTATACCAATAGGAAATACCTTAGAAGTTTAAAAATCAACAATGCCAGCAAAATTGAATTGTCTTACATTCCTATACTATCAAATTGTAATGGTCCTTGAAAACCCAGGTCTACAGGTGGGAGAGAAATTATGGGGAAGAAAAATAAATATCCCACAGCATCTCTAAAAGTGAATGCCACCTTACCTGGCACTTTTGTCTCTGCTTTCTAGTTCATTATATAATTAGTGACTTGTGCACAGATATCCCATTTGTGTCACTGAAGTCAAAAGGCTATGAAGTAAGATATAACCATGTCCCATGACATTCTTTTAACATAACATGACTCACTTTATTTCTTTCATCCCTAAAAATTCACTTTAAAGAAAAAGTGGATCCCGGAGCAGTGGCTAGAACCTGTAATCCCAGCTACTCAGGAGGCTGAGGCAGAAGCATGGCTTGAGCCCAGGAGTTCCAGGCTGCTGTGAGCTATGATCACATGGCTGCACTCCAGCCTGGGAGACAGAGTGAAACCCTGTCTCGAAAAAGAAAAAAAAGGAAAAGTGAATCAATTACCTTGAGCATTCGGATTTCCCGAAGGGCAATTTTCTTTATGACAGGGTCATCTTCTGATTCCAGAAACTTCTTGATGGCCACAATCTGACCCGTGTCCCTGTTTCTACATTTGAAAACAACTCCATAGGATCCTTCTCCAATTTTCCCAATTTTTTCATACTTCTCCATCATAGAGGAATAAATCTTCTTAAAATGGATCTTCAGCCGAGAATGGTGGCTCACGCCTGTAATCCCAGCACTTTGGGAGGCTGAGGCGGGCAGATCACCTGAGGTCAGGAGTTCGAGACCAGTCTGGCCAACATACTGAAACTCCGTCTCTACTAAAGATACAAAAAATTAGCCGGGTGTGGTGATGGGCGCCCGTAGTCCCAGCAACTCAGGAGACTGAGGCAGGAGAATCGCGTGAACCTGGGAGGCGCAGGTTGCAGTGAGCCGAGATCGCGCCACTGCACTCCAGCCCGGGCGACAGAGCGAGATTCCGTCTCAAAAAAAAAAAAAAAAAAAAAAAAAAAAGAAAGAAAGAAAAGAAAAGAAAGGATCTTCACATAGTTTGAAAACGTCGCTTATAAAATATTGGCACCAACGGACTGCACTAGAGCCCCACCCAACGATGAGTGTTTGTCACGGTCCTAGAACAGAACAGCACATGTTAAGGAATGAAGAGTGTACCCGTGTCGGCAATGGCAACGCGATCAGGAGTAACAGCCTAGAGTTAGCTGCCTCCAGTAACCCGATTTTAATCGCCCGTTAAATACCCTGTAAGTTAAAATGTAACTTGCCATCCTAAAACGAGCCGAGCTGTAAGATAAGCTATCTTTTTAACGTTATCGTTCATCCGATCTAAGACACCTGAGCTGGCTGGAGTACGGGGAGGGCTAAGGGCTTCCCCGGTTCTAATTTCGGGTCTCATTTCCCTGCGGCAAGAAGACACCTCCCGGCTCCCCGCGGAGGCGGCGGCGAGGCTTGGCCGCAGGAGACCAACCCGCGCCCCGCGCCCCACGCCCCCGGGACTGGGAAAACCCTCCCGCGCCCGGACGTGCACCTCAGCCGCGCCGCGCAGCATGGAGCGGTGCCACGTGTTGGCCAGGGACGGCCCGCGCCTCCTTGCCCGCCCGGGACTCACGGCGCCGCGGCGGTCAGGGACGGGCCTGGCTCCCGCCTCGCCTTCTTCCGCCCAGCTCGGCTCGGCGTGGCTCGGCCCGCGATCCCTATGGGAACCGGCTCCCGCCCCGGGTCTGCCTGGGCGGGGCCGCCGCGCCCCAGCTTCCCACCCCCGGCCCGGCCCAGCCCGGCCGCCCTCCCGGCTGCAGGGAAAGGCCTCGGAGGGCCGCCCTCCGTCCATGGGAGCTGTCCTGACCGCGGGCCGAGTCCTGCTGCCGGGAGAGCAGACCTGCTAGATTTGCAAACTTCCGCAGGCCGTGCAAAGCGCAGCTGTAACCGCGTCTGCGGAGCAAGACGCCTGCGCTAGGAGCCCCTCCTGAGCGGTCCACATTTCCCTGCAACAGCAGTCCCCACACCTCAGAACCGCGGTTATTCCCTTTGGTCCCTTGGAGGCATCTTCTGTGTCTGTGCTGATCAGTGCTGCGGCGTCAGTGAATGAATGAGAGGGAGAAAGGAAAGAAGAGGAAGGCGTGACTGCAGAAATTGCTTAAAGTCAGCACTTTCCTCTACAGTAGGGAAGGTTCCACGGCAGTCTTCTGCTGTGGGACTTTTCTGGTGTGGGAGGTGGAAGCTTACAGAGTCTGCCTTAATTGTTTTTGGTTCCTTTCCCCCATCTTTCTCCCAACGGACTCCTACTGCTCAAATCTGAGCACACTGGCGGGAAGCGGATGGACCTGGGGAAATTATGAAATCATGTCAGTTGCCACTGGGCAGAGTGCCTCACACTTTATCATCCGTCCCGTTCCCAGTGCCAGCATCAATGCGGGTACTTGTCCTGGAAGCAGTACCCGAGGAGAGAAAATTAACACAGTGTCTATGAAACAGGGGCCAATCCCGTGTCAAGCAGCATGCTACTAAATGTAAACCCAGGAAGGGTTCAGAAAGGAGCCTGGAGCTGAGGAGAGAGGGCTGGTGGCTGCCCTGGAAACCCAGTACAAGGATGGCCTAGAGGTGGTCTGTGAACAGAAATTGTTTGCAAATGGCAACCATTGATCTGTTTTCTGTCTCTATAGTTTTGCCTTTTCCAGAATGTCATGAAAATGGAATCAGACCGTATGTAGCCTTTTGAGGATAGAGGATCTCCCCCACCACCCCAACTCCAGTGAGCTTTCAGATGAGATTGTAGCCCCAGATGACAATGTAAGTTCAATCTTGTGAGAGACCTTGAGCCAGGGGCACCCAGCTAAGCCATACTTGGGTTCCTGACCTCTAGAAACTGAAATATGTTTGCTATTATGTTTTGGGGTAATTTGTTATGCAACCATATGTATCTAACACAGAAGCCTTTTATTAATAGGAGGTTGAGAAAGTTCACTTTCATTCCTAGTTTGCTTAGTGTTTTTGTTTGCTTTTTAAAATTATGAATGGATGTTGAATTTTATCAAATGCATTTCTTCATCTAGAGGTGATCATTTCCTTTTCCTTTCTTTTCTTTTTTTTTTTTAATTGAGAGGGAGTCTCGCTCTGTCACCCAGGCTGGAGTGCAGTAGTGTTATCACTGCTCACTGTACCCTTGAACTCCTGGGCCTAAGCAATCCTCCCACTTCTGCCAGGCCTGAGTAGCTAGAATTATAGGTGTGCACCACCTAATTGTTTTTATGTAGTCTGTTGATACGGTGAATTATATTGATTTTTAGATGTTGAACCAACCTTTTGTTCCTGGGATAAACCCAACTTATTTATGATTTTATCATTTTAATGTATTGCTGGATTTGATTAGTAATATTTTATTGGAAATTTTTACATTCATGTTTTGAGAGATATTGATGTATAGTTTTCTTGTAATATCTGCTAATTTTGGCATCAGGATAATGCTGATCTCAGAAAATGAGTTGGGAAGTGTTTATCTTCCCTTTTATTTTCTAGAGATGTTTACATTAAATTGGTATTATTAATTCCTTAAATGTTTGGAAGAATTTTTTTTGTTTTTTTTTTTGAGACAGTCTTGCTCTGTCATCCAGGCTGGAGTGCAGTGGTGTGATCTTGGCTCACTGCAACCTCTGCCTCCCAGGCTCAGGCGATCCTCTTGCCTCAGCCTCCAAAGTAGGTGTGCCACCACGCCTGGCTAATTTTTGTGTTTTTTGTAGAGACAGGGTTTCACCATATTGCCTAGGCTGGTCTCCAACTACTGAGCTCAGATAATCTGCCTGCCTCAACCTCCCAAAGTGCTGGGATTACAGGCATGAGCCACTGCACCCCGCCTTCTAATATAAGCATTTAATGCCATAATTTTTCCTGTAAGCACCACTTTAAATACATCACAGAAATCTTAATATGTTGTATCATCATTTTCATTCAGTTCAAAATATTTTTTTTTTTTTTTTTTTTTTTGAGATGGAGTCTCACTCTGTCACCCAGGCTAGAGTGCAATAGTGTGATCTCGGCTCACTGCAACCTCCGCCTCCCAGGTTCAAGCGATTCTCCCACCTCAGCCTCCCAAGTAGCTGGAACTACAGGCATGCACCATCATGCCCAGCTAATTTTTGTATTTTTAGTACAGACAGGGTTTCATCATGTTGGCCAGGCTGGTCTTGAACTCCTGACCTCAAATGATGCTCCCGCATTGGCTCCCAAAGTGCTGGGATTATAGATGTGAGCCACCATGCCTGGCCCAAAAATATTTTCCTTGTGACTTCCTTTTTGACTCATGGGTTATTTTTGTAGTGTGTTAATTTCCAACTATTTGGTGATTTTTAAAGATATCTGTTATTGATTTCTAGTTTAATTCCATTATTTTCAGAGAACTCAGTTTATATGACTTAAATTCTTTGAAATGTTTTATTTTGTTTTATGACCCAGAAAGAATATGGTCTATGTTCATGAATGTTTCTTTTTGACAATTAAAAAAAATATTTTGAAATGAAGTGAGAAAGTCAGTGTGAATTTCCCCAGAGCTGCATCGTCTGAAGTTCATACCAGGTTAAATCAAGTTTGTCTGGAAAATTAACTTTATGGACTCCACAACGTCAGTACCCAAAGAGCCTGGAACTGTGCCAGGCCTAGTGGTAGTTAAAGTAGGAGCCAGTGTACTGGTTATTTATGCCCAAGTAGGCAGTGAACCAGAAAGCTAGCATGACTTGCAGCTGCAAGTTGTTTTGTTTGGAGGAATTTGAAATAAAATATTAGAGAACAACTTTAAAAGGGAGATGAACAGTCGGCTGTCACCACTTAGCACAAAAGAGAGAAGGTAACGTGGCCTCTAGACTAGTCAAACTGACAGTCCTTTCCCTTGGCAGGTGCGACACTGGTTTTGGTATCAAAGAAGTATATAACTCCTGGAAAGTATAGCTCTTGGGAATCTCAGAAATGGTCTGTTATGTGGGGGCTTTTTCTCAAGCCAGTGCAAAGTGAAACAGCATTATATTCTGCTAATAGTGATCTTTTCTTTGCAGTTTGTATAATTAGCGAGAATACTTCAGTGTTCTTAGAACAGCACAAACCGTACTATGGTATTTTAATCATTTAAGGAAAAATAAACATTCAGTAGGGTAACATATGGTCACAGAAAAAGCCTGGAATTTGGAGTCAGAAGACCAGGATTTCTACCTACTTACTGGTGTTTGATCTTGTGCAAGATAATTACTATTGCCTATATAACAACATTATTTAATGAGTGCTTACTTTGTGGCAGGCATTATGCTATGAATATTTGACCCATGAGCCTCACAATAACCCCAGGAGATAGGCATTAAATATCATCCTGAGCTTTCAGATGACTCTCATTGAGTTGGAGAGGATAAGTAGCTAGCCTAAGGACACCCAGCTAGTGAAGTGTGAAGTCAGTATTGGAATGCAGGTGGTTTGACTCCAGAATCTTTTCTCCTAACCATTTTGCTAATACTACCTAATGCATTGTGGTGGTTGTCAGGATTATTGAGTTAATGTGTAGGACATTGAGAGCTGGCGCAGAGCACTTAAAATGATGCACAGTGTAGCACCTTCCTCCTTTTTTTTAGGCTACCGGGAAGACTCATCTTGTCTATATGCTCCCTTCTCATGGTAGCTCAGCAACTTCATGTGTGTGCAGCTCCAGCACCAGGAGAATGAACTTCCATGAGATTGGGCAGAACACTGAAGCCTCATCTGAGTGCAGAACCCAGGGCCAATGCTTGAAGCCTTTTTTCTTTTTTTTTGAGATGGAGTCTCGCTTTGTTGCCCAGGCTGGAGTGCAATGGTGCGATCTCGGCTGACTGCAAACTCTGCATCCCAGGTTCAAGCCATTCTCCTGCCTCAGCCTCCCGAGTAGCTGGGACTGCAGGCACCCGCCACCACACCTGGCTACTTTTTTGTATTTTTAGTAGAGATGGGGTTTCACTGTGTTGGCCAGGCTGGTCTCGAACTCCTGACCTCGTGATCCGCCCGCCTCAGCCTCCCAAAGTGCTGGGATTACAGGCATGAGCCACCGTGCCCAGCCAGCTTTTTTTTTTTTTTTTCCAATTATGTTGTAAGGAAAGGGGAGTTGAGTCAATGTCATTTTAAAATGACACTCTACAGCAGCTTGAGGAAATACTTGAATTTATTGTCTCTGTTTTAAGTGGAATTGGGAAAGAAATTGATTCCAGAGTCCATACAGACAAAAGCTAATAACTATCATTTAGGGACGCATTTCAGGCTCAGTATCCACATTATCTCTGATCTTTATGACAATCTTACATGGATTTGTTAACTGACTGGGATTATTAACTGGCCTGTTTTATGAAAGAAGAAGCTGAGGCTCTGAGAGATTGATCAGTAGAGACAAAGCCACCCTGCTATCAAGGGCTGAACACAGGTTTCAGGCCCAACTCTGCCTGTTTCCAAAGCCCATGCTCTTGTAGTGGTGAATGGAGTTAGAACAACTAAGAATGCCTTGAGAATGATCCTCTGTCCTTGGATGCCCTAGAGAGCTAACAGCAGGGCAGACCTGCTGGTCCAATCCGAATTCACAACATCCTGAAGAGAAGCCAGGTGTCAGCTGTCAGCCGCATTCTTCTTGACCAATCACTGCTAGAATGTTACAAAGCCAGGCATGCAAATAACTTTCCCTTTACCTGGAGATAGAAAAGAATGCTGAATCAGCTGGGCATGGTGGTTCATGCCTGTAATCCCAGCACTTTGCGAGGCCGAGGCGGGCAGATCACATGAGGTCAGGAGTTCGAGACCAGCCTGGCCAACATGGTGAAACCCCGTCTGTATTAAAAATACAAAATTAGCTAGGCATGGTGGTGCATGCCTGTAGTCCCAGCTACGCGGGAGGCTGAGGGAGGAGAATCACTGCAACCCAGGTGGCAGAGGTTGCAGTGAGCCAAGACTGTGCCACTGTACTCCAGCCTGGGTGACAGAACAAGACTCCATCTCAAAAAAAAAAAAAAAAAAAAAAAGACTGCTGAATCAATGTAAATATATGGGAAAATCAATTTTAAAAGGAGCCTATCATTTCTGATTTTATATATAGGCTCAGCCAATAGTAAAGTAAAATGTCTTCATTCTCTAATTAACCTTAGTTATTCTGTATGTATTTTTTCCTTTTAAATATTTATTGTACTTTTTAATTAATTAATTTATTTATTTTGAGATGGAGTCTCTGTCACCCTGGCTGGAGTGCAGTGGTGCAATATTGGCTCACTGCAACCTCTGCCTCCTAGAGTAGCTGGGATTACAGGCCTACACCACCATGCCTGGCTAATTTTTATATTTTTAGTAGAGATGGGGTTTCACCATGTTGGCAAAGCTGGTCTCAAACTCCTGACTTCAAGTGGTCCACCCGCCTCAGCTTTCCATAGTGCTCAGATTACAGGCGCGAGCCACTGTGCCTGGCCTTTATTGTACTTTATATATGATGAGCTAGTCCTTTTAAAGTACCTTTTCTTCTAAAATCTTTTGTTTCTGAGTCTTTTTTTCTTTTCTTTTCTTTCTTTTTTTTTTTTTTTGATACAGGGTCTCACTCTGTCACCCAGGGTGGAGTGCAGTGGTATAAGTAGCTGGGACTACAGGCATGTGCCACCACACCCAGCTAATTTCTGTGTTTTTCATGGAGACAAGGTTTCACCATGTTGGCCAGGCTGGTCTTGAACTCCTGACCTCAAGTGATCTACCCACCTCGACCTCCCGACATTGGTGGGATTACAGGTGTGAGCCACCACACCTGGCCTCTTTTCTGAGTGTTAACACTGTTTTCACATTTCCAGGTTTTCAAAGAACCACCCAGTACTTTCATCAACAAACCCACATGCCAGGAGAGCTCAGCAATATTAACACTAAAACCCTGGAAGGTTTATGTGGCTAGCCCTGGGCTACCAGTGAGTGAGTCAATGAATATGATCCTCTCCAGGAAATAAGTCTCAAAACCTCAAGTTATACATCTATTTGCCACTTTGGACAGTTGGTTGCTAAACATCCTTAATCATAAGGCCATCTATGAACATTTCTGCACTATCATGACTTTGGCATCATTATATTCTAGAGAAAAGCCCTGCAAAGTGTACATTTTTGAGATCGAATAAATAGGAAAGAACATTAATTACTTTCTGAATTTAGCTTAAAGCTGTAACACAGAATCAGCAGTTTGGAAAGCCAACTTTTCCTGCTGACATGTGTCAGACACCATGCTGGGCACTGGAGACTCAGAAGCCACTTTGTCAAGATGAAACACTGTGTTTCCTTGCAGAGCAAACTCTCCTGCCTCCCCCCAAGAGGGGTTCCTCCATGGAGGAAACTAGATAGGAGGACTTGGAGGGCTGGTGTTTACATTGTACTTTTTGTTTTTCAAAACACTTCACAAGGGTCTGTGAAGGAGAGAAGGCACATCTGGCATTTGAGGAAACAGATACAGAAAATTTAAATGACTCATTCAGAGTCCAAAAGCAAATCTGTGACAACAAACAGGCCTAGAACCTGGGTCTCAATTTCAAGTTGTATTCTTCTCACACTACTGTACTGTTGGCTTCAAATTAGGTAGCTCTAATTATGGTTAAAGAAATATAAATCTACCTTATGGGAACCCAATATTAAAACAGACATAAAATAAAGTATGACAAAATGGGGAAGAAGAGAGGAAAGGGCAAGAAGTATGAATTATTTGCATTTAAAAATATTTCTCGCTTTACATAAAATAGATTTCATACAGATTATCTTAGAAATGCATCCATTTCTTTTTTTTTCTTTGAAATGCTTCCATTATATTTTCTTGTGGTAAAAAACACATAACATTAAATGTACTACCTTTTTTTTTTTTTTAGACATGAAGTCTCACTATGTTGCCCAGGCTGAAGTGCAATGGCTATTCACAGGCATGATCATAGTTCACTACAGTAATTTTTTTTTTTTTTTGAGACAGAGTCTCGCTCTGTTGCCCAGGCTAGAGGGCAGTGACCTGATCTTGGCTCACTGCAACCTTCACCCCCAGGGTTCAAGCGATTCTCCTGCCTCTCAGCCTCTTGAGTAACTGGGATTACAGGCGGCCTCAACCACCGCCCAGCTAATTTTTTGTATTTTTAGTAGAGACGGGATTTCACCATGTTGGCCAGGCTGGTCTCAAACTCCTGACCTCAGGTGATCCACCTGCCTCAGCCTCCCAAAGTGCTGGGATTACAGGCATGAGCCACTGTGTCCGGCTTATGGTCTTGAACTCCTAGGTTCAAGTGATCCTCCCATCTCAGCCCCCTGAATAGTTGGGACTATAGGCACGTACCACTGCACCAGGCACAAAATTTACTGTCTTAACCATTTTTAAGTGTATAGTTTCATAGTTTAAGTACATTCACATTGTTGTACACAGATCTCTAGAACTTTTTCATCTCGCAAGAGTGGAATTCTATCCACTAAATAGGAATTCCCTCTCCCCTTAGCTCTTGGTTACTCTAACCCTAACCTTCATACTTTCTGTTTCTATGATTTTCATGACTTTAGATACTTCATGTGAATGAAATCATATGGTACTTGTCCTTTGGTGACCGGCTTAATTCTCTTAGCATAATGTCCTCAAGGTTCATTCATGTTGCAGCATGTGACAGGATTTCCTTCTTTTTAAGGCTGCTTAATATTCCATTGTGTGTAGACACTGCATTTTCTTTTTTTTTTTTTTTTGAGATGGAGTCTCGCTCTGTCGCCCAGGCTGAAGTACCGTGGCGCGATCTCGGCTCACTGCAAGCTCTGCCTCCCGGGTTCACACCATTCTCCTGCTTCAGCCTCTCGAGTAGCTGGGACTACAGGTGCCCGCCACCACGCCTGGCTAATTTTTTGTATTTTTAGTAGAGACAGGGTTTCACCGTGTTAGCTAGGATGGTCTCGATCTTCTGACCTCATGATCCACCCGCCTCAGCCTCCCAAAGTGCCGGGATTACAGGCGTGAGCCACCACGCCCAGCCACATTTTCTTTCTTCATTCATCTGTGGATGGACATTTGGGTTGCTTCCACCTCTGCAAGGTTTGGCTTTGAATTCTTCTGGGTATATACCCAGAAGTGGACTTGTTGGATGATATGGTGAACATATTTTAAATGTTCTAAGGAACTGCCATACTGTTTTCCACTGTGACTGCACCATTTCACATTCCCACCAACAGTATACAAGGGTTCTAACTTTGCATCCTTGCCACCACTTGTTATTTTTGGTTCTCCTGATAGTGGCCATCCTGATGGATGTGAGGTGATAGTCTATTGAGGTTGTGATTTGCACTTTCCTAATGATTAGTAATGCTGAACATTTTTTCATGTGCTTATTGGCCATTCGTATATCTTCTTTGGAGAAATGTCTATTCAAGTTTGTTGCCCATTTCTTCACTGGGTTATTTGGTTATGTTTTTGTTGTTATTGAGTTGTAGAAGTTCCTAATATACCCTGCACATTAATCTCTTATCAGATATATGGTTTACAATTACTTTCTCCTGTAGGCTGCCTTTTCATTCAGTTGACTGATTCCTTTGACTCACAGATGTTTTTAAGTTTGATGTCCTATTTGTCTATTTTTTCTTTCATTGCCTATGCCTTTGGTATCATATCCAAGAAATCATGGCCAAATCCAATGTCCTGAAGCTTTTCTCCTGTTTTCTTCTGGAAGTTTAATAATTGAAGATCTTACATTAGTGCTTTGTTTGATAATTGGAGATCTTGCATTTAGGTCTTTAGATCTTACATGAAGGGCTTACATGTTGGCCATTTTGGCTTACTTTCTGTATATGATGTAAGATAATGTTCCAACTTTTGCATGTGGATATCCAGTCTTCTTAACACCAGTTGTTGAAGAGCATGTTCTTTCCCCATTTTGTAGTCTTGGCATTATTGTCAAAAATTATTTGTCCAGATGCAAGGGTTTATTTCTGGCTCTCTGTTCTGCTCGCTTGGTCTATTGATGTGGTTTGGCTCTGTGTCTCCACCCAAATCTCATCTTGAATTGTAATCCCCACATGTCGAGGGAGGGACCTGTAATCTCCACGTGTCAAGGGAGGGAGGTGATTGGGATCATGGGGGTGATTCCCCCATGCTGTTCCTCTGATAGTGAGTGAGTTCTCACAAAATCTGATGGTTTTATAAGGGGCTCTTTCCCCTTCTCTCTCTTCTGTCTCCTGCCACCTTGTGAAGAAGGTCCCTGCTTCCCCTTTGCCTTCCACCATGATTGTGAGTTTCCTGAGGCCTCGCCAGCCATGTGGAACCGTAAGTCAATTAAACATTCTTTGTTTATAAAGAAAGCCTATATCCAGTCTTGGGTAGTTTTTTGTTTGTTTGTTTGTTTTTGTTTTTTTTGAGACGGAGTCTCGCTCACTCTGTCGCCAGGCTGGAGTGCAATGGTGCGATCTTGGCTGACTGCAACCTCTGCCTCCTGGGTTCAAGCGATTCTCCTGCCTCAGCCTCCCGAGTAGCTGGGATTACAGGCGCCTGCCACCACGCCTGGCTAATTTTTGTATTTTTAGTAGAGACGGAGTTTCACCATGTTGGCCAGCCTGGTCTCGAACTCCTGACCTCAGGTGATCCACCCACCTCGGCCTCCCAAAGTGCTGGGATTATAGGCGTGAGCCACTGCGCCCGGTCTCGGGTAGTTTATACTTAGTCTCAGGTAGTATCTTTATAGCAGTATGAGAATGAACTAATGCATCTATCTTTATGCCAGTACTACACCTTCTTAATTACTGTTCTTTGTAGTTATAAAATCAGGAAGTGTGGGGCTTCCAACTTTGTTCTTCTTTTTCAAGATTGTTTTGGCTACTTAGGGCCCCTTGAGACTCCCTGGGAATTTTAGGATGATTTTTTTTTTCTAAGAAATGCATCTGTTTTTTAAATGGAGTTAATACTGTAAGTCCTATCAGCTTTCTCCTCCCTTTCAGAAACTCTGTGATGCTTATTCATTAGCGTCTATATAGCTAGTTGTACAAACAGAAACCTCTGGCACCCAAGATACATTTTCCATGACAACCATTGAATTTTTAGTCATGTATTGATCAAAAAAGTTTACATAGTTCCATAAGATTATCTCTAAACTGCATGCATGCCAAGGATTGTGTGAAGATCATAGTTAAAACCACATGTGAAAGTTCTATTATTGTAAATAGCTTTCACAGGAATGGCTCATTGTCAAATATTAGGAGTGAGGTATTTATTGTGAGGCATCGAAAGTGAATCCACATGTCGGTCCTTGTAAAAAATATGCATTTAAACAGTATTCCTCCAAAATAATAAAATAAATCCTTCACCTTAAACAACAACCTATTCATTTTTCTACAATATCATCTGACCTGATTTCCCCAATAAGAGTGTGAACTCTGGAGCCAGACTGTCTGGGATCAAATCCAGCTCTGCTAGTAACTGTCTGTGAGAACTTGGGCAAGTTCCTTAACCTCCTGATGTTTCATATGTGTCGTCTGCAACATTGAAATGAACTACCTCTTCACGTTGTGAGGATTGAGTGCTAAATCCATGCTAGCTTTTGTTTTTTTTTTTCAGATGGAGTCTTGCCCTGTTGCCCAGGCTGGAGTGCGGTGGTGCCATCTCGGCTCATTGCAACCTCTGCCTCCCAGGTTCAAGCGATTCTCCTGCCTCACCCTCCCGAGTAGCTGGGATTACAGGTATGTGCCACCACGCCCAACTAATTTTTGTATTTTTAGTAGAGACGGGGTTTCACGTGTTGGCCAGGCTGGTCTCGAACTGCTGAGCTCAGGTGATCCACCCGCCTCTGCCTCCCAAAGTGCTGGGATTACAGGCGTGAGCCACCGTGCCCGGCCCCATGTTAGCTTTTATCATCATGACGATGATAATCCCTGTGTATTATTTTCTGTTTGGATGAGAAATTTATTTACTACTAAAATGTATTCCCTACTCCACTGAAAACAATTTAAAGTTTAGGGATTCATTTCGGGCTTAGCAATCAAGGAAAAACATTTATTTAGTCATTCAGAGTCCTAATCCACACTCCCAGGGTTTCTATTGGAGAAACCCAATGTTTCCCACTGCCAGAGCAGCACTCTTGCCACCACATCGTGCATCTGCTCATGGGGGAATCTCTAGAAAGGAGACAGCACATGGTGGAGGAGCAAGGGCCAGAGAGCCCACCAGACCTGGGCTCGGATCTGGGTTCTACCCTTTCTTGGCTGAGTGAAACCAGGAAAGTTACTTTGTGTGTTGGTCAAGAATATGTCTAAAATTTTGTTGTTTTTTAGAGATAGGATCTTGCTGTGGTTGCCCAGGCTGGAGTACAGTGACGTGATCACAGCTCACTGCAGCCTTGAATTCCTTGGGCTCAAACAATCCTCCTGCCTCAGCCTCCCAAGTAGCTAGTACTACATGTGTGTGCTGCCACACCTGGCTTTTAAGGTTTTTGTTTTTGTTTTTAATTAAGCTTTTATTTTGAGATAATTGTAAACATCCAGTTGTAAGTAATCACACATAGAGGGCCAGGCATAGTCTCACGCCTGTAATCGCAGCATTTTGGGAGGCTGAGGCAGGCGGATCATCTGAGGTCAGGAATTTGAGACCAGCCTGGCCAACATGGTGAATGGTGAAACTCTGTCTCTACTAAAGACACAAAAATTAGTCAGGTGTGGTCACGTGCCCTGTAGTCCCAGCTACTAGGGAGGCTGAGGCAGGAGAATTGAACCTGGGAGGCAGAGGTTGCTGTGAGCTGAGATCGCGCCACTGCGCTCCAGCCTGGGCTACAGTGAGAGACTTTGTTTCGAAAAACAAAAAACAACAACAAAAAAGGAAATCACACATAGAGATCTTGTATACTATTTACCCAGTTTCCCCTAGTAATAACATCTTGCAAGACTGGAGTACGGTATTACAACTGGATATTCACATTGATAAAGTCAAGATGTAGAACCATTCCCTCATAAGCATACCACAAGTTGCCGTGTCCCCCATCCCTGACCCCTGGTTATTGAAGAAGTCTTTCTGTAGGTATATGTGTTTTTTCTCTTGGGTAAATACCAAGAATTGAAATGGCTAGATTGTATGGTGAATAGATACTTAATTTTCTAAGGTACTGCTATAGGCTTTTTCAAAATTGCTGTGTCATTTTGCATTCCCATCAACAACATATGAGAGTTTCAGTTGCTCCACATCCTTGCAAGCATTTGGTACTGTCAACCTTTATTTAAAAAAAAAATATGGTAAATACACATAATATGAAATTTGCCATCTTTACCATTTTTAAGTGTACGGTTCAGTGGTATTAAATGCTTTCGCATTATCATGCAACCAATGCTATCCATCTCCAGATCTCTTATCATCTTGCAAAACCAAGTCTCTGTACCCATTAAAGAAAATTCTCCATTCTCCTGACCCCTGGGAACCAGCATTCTATTTTCTGTGTCTATGAATTTGACTACTATAGGTACCTCTTGTAAGTAGCATCATACAGTATTTGTCCTTTTGTCACTGGCTTATTTCATTTAGCCTAATGTCTTCAAGGTCAACTGTGTTCGTCCAAGGTGTACACAGGTAGCATATGATTTCCTTAGTTTTTAAGAGTGCATAATATTCCATTGCATGTATGTACATTTTCTTTATCCATTCATTTTCCAGTGGACACTTGGGTTGCTTCCACCCAAGCTTCCACCCATTTTGATTAATGCTGCTATAAACACAAGTGTACAAATGTCTTTGTGACCCTGCTTTCAATTCTTTTGGGTATATACCTGAAGTAGGATTGCTGGATCATATGGTAATTCCATTTTTAATTTTTAAAGGAACTGCTGCTGTTTTATGCAGCAGCTGCACCATTTTGCATTCCCACCAAAAGTGTATACAAGGATTCTAATTCCCGCACATCTTCACCAACATTTGTTTTCTGTTTGTTTTGATAGTAGCCATCCTAGTGGTTGTGAATTGGTATCTCAATGTGGTTTTCATTTGTATTCTGGGATCTTAGCTGACAACTGCAGAAGTCTCTTCAGCTTGTTTAAGCAGAAAGGGATTTATTCAAGGATATTAAATAGCTTGAGGAATCTCCAGAAGGGTCAGAAAGCCAGATCTGGAGACTACACAGTTAGAAACATAACAAAACTGTTCTGCAGGACTGCCTCAGCCAGACTTTAGAGCTGCCGCTGCTGCTGCTGGCACTATACTTGGCTCTGCTAATGCTGGATGCTATACCCACGACTCTGCATCATTCCTACCCACAAAGGCCAGACTCCTCTCCACCATCCAAGCCAGAACAATGGTTCAGGACAGCACGTACTTCCTTGTGCTGCTCTCTTTCAGACTGAGACTTGTGTGCGTAAGTCTGGTTGGAGGAGTCTGCACCGTAGCTGCTAGGTGTTGGGAAAGGGAGTTGGGCTTCTTCTTTGGAGACACGAGAGTCACAAGGCGGGAAATTACTCTAATATTGGAAGGGTCTTCAAAGACAAACATAAAGCATGAGAAGTATCTGCTGTATTTTTCTATTCTACTTATAAATAGGGATAATTATAGCTGCCTCACTGACTCATTTTGAAGATGAGATGCGATCTCTCATGTAAAATGTTTAACACAGTGCCTGGCCCAGAGCAGGTGCCAATAATGTTGTTTTTCTCTTTTCTCTCAATAAAATGTAAGCATCACTTCCTGATATGACATAGGCTATTAGTGTAGGCAGCTGTATAATACGATTTTAGGAACCTCAAGGAAACTCTATGACCCCCCTAATACTCTATCTAACATAAAATTCCATGTTAGTACTTTAGCTTCTGATCTTTAGAAGTTGCAAAGCCACAATTCACAATTCAAGATGAGATCTGGTTGGGGATACAGCCAAACCATATCAAGGTTGTGAAATCCTGGAGGAGATTTGCGAACTGGACTTTAAGGAATTTAAATGGACATTGTTATTCACTGTGGGTTTTCAGAAACCACAAACTGAGAAGTAATTATGGACTTGAAAGTTTGACCCAGAGTCAGTGCTTTATGTAGACCATTTACATGTCAAATGGCCAGGATGCCCTGGCACCCTGGCAGGTACTCCATGATCAACAGAAATCTCTGGATTCTCTTGTGTCTTTTATTCATTGTAAGATAATCATGGTGGTAACTAATCCAGGAAGACTTAGCTTTAAGAAACATGACCAGGATAAAGTCAGATACCCAAAATCAAATGTCACATTTACAGTGTGCTAAATATTACACTTAGCAAAATTACTGAGGAAAGAATATGTGGTTGAATATCATGATGATTTAATGAACCATTTCACTCAAATGCGGTGAGTGGTTTTGCTTTTTTTAAGCTTCACCAAGTGGTTGTTTATGGTATACAGGACATCTGGTGTTTTTAGCAGTCCAGCATCCATTTGAAGGGAGCATTTATCTGATAACCAATTAAGCTGAATACATTTTCACATATTTATTGATTACTTGGATGCTATCTTTTGTGGAATGCCTGCTCGAAATCTTTTGCTCTTTTTTCTACCGGGTTGTCCGCCTTTTCCTTATTGATTGTAGTTCTTAATGTCTTCTGGGAGATCTTCTGTGGCTATATGTAATACAAGCCTCTTTTTCCATTCTGTGGCTTGTCTTCATTTTTATAAAATGAAGATTTTCTCTACTCGTCTTGAGTAGAGAAAGTATTTTACCAACTTTTATTTATTTATTTATTTTTTGAGACGGAGCCTCACTCTTGTTGCCCGGGCTGGAGTGCAGTGGCGCGATCTTGGCTCACTGCAACCTCCACCTCCCAGGTTCAAGCAATTATCCTGCCTCAGCCTCCTGAATAGCTGGGATTACAGGTGTCCACCACCACGCCCAGCTAATTTTTGTAGTTTTCGTAGAGACGGGGTTTCACCATGTTGGCCAGGCTGGTCTTGAACTCCTGACCTCAAGTGATCTGCCCACCTCGGCCTCCCAAAGTGCTGGGATTACAGGTGTGAGCCGCCATACCAACCTTTTTATAGTCAAAACTTAATGTTCTGTTCAAAAAAATCTTTGCAGACCTCAAGTTCATGAAGATATTTTCTTTTAAAAATGCTATAGTTGGTATCTCAATGTGGTTTTGATTTGCATTTCTCTAATGACCAGCGATGATGAGCTTTTTTTCATGTTTGTTGGCTGCATAAATGTCTTCTTTTGAGAACTGTCTGTTCCTATCCTTTGCCCACTTTTTGATGGGGTTGTTTTTTTCTTGCAAATTTAACTTCTTTGTAGATCTGGATATTAGCCCTTTGTCAGATGGATAGATTGCAATAATTTTCTCCCATTCTGTAGATTGCCTGTTCACTCTGATGGTAGTTTCTTTTGCTGTGCAGAAGCTCTTTAGTTTAATTGGATCCCATTTGTCAGTTTTGGCTTCTGTTGCCATTGCCCTTGGTGTTTTAGTCATGAAGTCTTTGCCCACGCCTATGTCCTGAATGGTATTGTCTAGGTTTTCTTCTAGGGTTTTTATGGTTTTAGGTCTAACATGTAAGTCTTTAATCCATCTTCAGTTAATTTTTGTATAAGGTGTAAGGAAGGGATCCAGTTTCAGCTTTCTACATATGGCTAGCCAGTTTTCCCAGCACCATTTATTAAATAGGGAGTCCTTTCCCCATTTAGACCAGTTAGAATGGCGATCATTAAAAAATCAGGAAACAACAGATGCTGGAGAGGATGTGGAGAAATAGGAACACTTTTACACTGTTGGTGGGAGTGTAAATTAGTTCAACCACTGTGGAAGTCAGTGTAGCGAATCCTGAAGGATCTAGAACCAGAAATACCATTTGACCCAGCAATCCCATTACTGAATATATACCCAAAGGAATTAGAAAAAAAATTTAAAAGCCCCATGCTAAGTCCACCAATATGTGACATACTGAAAGGAACAGTTAAAGAATGAAAACATACCTATGCCCTTAGTGAACTTCTTGGTGAAAAATAAATAAGTCAACTTTTTTTGTTTTTCTTGAGTTACTGCTATGAGCGGGAAACTAATCCACATTATGTCCTTTAATCCTCCTAACAACCAATGAAGGGGCCATTATTTCCAATCAACAGAGAAAAAGATGGAGGCCTAGACAGGTTGAATAAGTTGTCTAAGGTAAGTGCTAAGTGGTTTGGCTAGTAGGTAACAATTGAATGTTACACTGAAATGTACAATCCATATGTGCTGTAGAAATTCTGAGAAACAGAAAACGATTTGGATTTGGATTAAGTGGTCAGAGCTGTCATAGAAAAGTTATGGCTTGAACTGAGTATCATTAAGGTAAAGGATTTAAGGTTTGATAAAATAAATCAGAACTGTAGGATGGAAGAGCCATTATGAGCCCAGCAATGAAACTGGAGTGATCATGGCCTCTATGTGGCCAGTATCCCAGGGTGCTTGGCAGAATAGTGGGAGAGAAGGCTGGAGAGGAGGCTTAGCCAAAGAAAAGAAGTTTGATGAAACTGCTTTTTCTCACAAGACCTTATGGGATTTACTTCACCTAGCTTTTTGTCTCCAGCTACTTTTGCCTCCTTCCACATGACGCATACATTAGCTACGCTCAATTGATATTTATTGAATGCCTACTGTGTACAAAGTACAGTGTAAGAAACTGGCTTTGTCACACTGTTCTGGTCATGCAGGGGTTCATGCTTTTATTTAAAGTTACATTTTTCTTTAACATGAAAAAAATCAAATGTATGCATGCACATAAAGAATCAAATAGACCTGTAAAAGTTTGTTATCACAAAGCATGCCCTTCCATCTCTCTCCTCAAAAACAACTTTTCATTATTTTGGCAGATTATATTATCCCCATGCCACGAAATAATGTTCTTGATTAAAAAAACTTCCTGGCCGGGCGCAGTGGCTCACACCTGTAATCCCAGCACTTTGGGAGGCTGAGGCGGGCGGATCACAAAGTCAGGAGATCGAGACCATCCTGGCTAACATGGTGAAACCCCATCTCTACTAAAAATACAAAAAAATTAGCTGGGCATTGTGGCGGGTGCCTGTAGTCCCAGCTACTCGGGAGGCTGAGGCAGGAGAATGGCGTGAACCAGGAGGCGGAGCTCGCAGTGAGCCGAGATCGCGCCACTGCACTCCAGCCTGGGCGACAGAGCAAAAGACTCCGTCTCAAAAAAAAAAAAAAAAAAAAAAAACCCAAAGCCTCCTAAGTGAAATTTTGTATCCTTTAACCAACATCTCCCCATCCCCAAACTAAGATCCCCCAGCACAGCTCCAGGCCCTGGTAACCACACTTCTACTCTCTACTTCCATGAGTTCTGCTTTTTCAGATTCCACATGTCAGTGAAATCATGTGGTATTTGTTGGTCAGTGCCTTGCTTATTTCACTTAACATGATGTCCTCTAGGTTTATCCATGTAGTCACAAATGACAGGATTTCCTTCTCTTTTTCAAAGCTGAATGGTATTCCATTGTGTGTATATACCCTATTTTTTTTTTTTTATCCATTCATCCACTGATGGACACTTAGGTTGATTTATTTGGTTACTGTGAATAATGCTGTGATGAACTTGGGTGCGCAGGTAACTCTTCAACATACTTATTTCATTTCCTTTGGACACATACCCAGTAGTGGGATTGCTGGATCACAGAGTTCTATTTTTAATTTTTTTTGACGACCCTCCATACTGTTTTCCTTAATTGCTGCACTAATTTATATTCCTACCAACAGTGTACAAGGGTTTCCTTCTCCAGCATTTTTTTTTTAGACAGTGCCTTGATCTGGTGTCTAGGCAGGAGTACAGTGGTGCGACCATAGCTCACTGCAGCCTCTAACTCCCAGGCTCAAAGGATCCTCCCACTTCAGCCCCCCAAGTAGCTGGGACTGCAGGCATGCCCACCACACCCAGGTAATTTTTCTTAAATTTTTTTTTTTTTTTTTAATAGAGACAGGGTCTTGCTATGTTTGCCCAGGCTGGTCTCGAATTCCTGGCCTCAAGCGATCCTCCCGCCTCAGCCCCACAAAGCACTGGGATTACAGGCATATGCCACCACAGCCTCTTTCATTTTTTTGATAATAACAGTGTGAGGTGATATCTCATTAATTTGCATTTCCCTGATTAGTGACATTGAGTATTTTTTCATGTATCTGTTGGCCATTTGTTTTTTTTTAGACGGAGTCTTGCTCTGTTGCCAGGCTGGAGTGCAATGGCACAATCTTGGCTTACTGTAACCTCTGCCTCCCAGGTTCAAGCGATCCTCCTGCCTCAGCCTCCCGAGTAGCTGGGACTACAGGCGTGCGGCCATCACGCCCAGCTAATTTGTTTGTATTTTTAGTAGAGACGGGGTTTCACCATGTTGGCCAGGACAGTCTCAATCTCTTGACGTCATGATCCACCCGCCTCGGCCTCCCAAAGTGCTGGGATTACAGGCGTGAGCCACAGCGCCTGGCCCTGTTGGCTATTTGTATGTCTTCTTTTGAGAAATGTCTATTCAGGTTCAGGTCCTTTGCTTTTTTTTTTTTTTTTTTTTTTTTTTTTTTGGAGACAGGGTCTTCATGCTCTATTGCCCAGGCTTCAGTGCAGTGGCACAATCACAGCTCACTGAACCTCGAACTCCTGGGCTTAAGTGATTCTCCTGCCTCAGACTCCTGGGTAGCTAGGATTGCATGTGTGCACCACCTCACCCAACTAATTAAAAAATTTTCTGTAGAGATGGGGTCTCGCTATGTTGCCCAGACTGGTCTCAACAGATCCTTCTGCCTTGGCCTTCCAAAGTGTTGTGATTACATGTGTGAGCCGTGCAACCTGGCCTTGCCATTTTAAAATTGGGATGTTTCCTTGCTATGAGTTATTTCACTATGTATTTTGGATGTTAACCCCTTAAGAGATGTATGGTTTGCAAATATTTTCTCCCACTCTGTTGATTGCTTCCTTTGCTGTGCAGATTTTGTTTGATGTAATCCCTTGATTTTCAGTTTTTAGGTATTATCCACTGATTTTCTACTGTGGAAAATGAGAATTTGATAACTTTTCTAACCTCCACAATACCATGTCCTCTCCCAATATAGTTGCTGCAATTTTGATTAGATGAATATTTTGTTAACAAACATTGTTATGCCATTCATCCAGTGGTCATTTTTTTTTGCCCATTTTGCTTTCCTGGAGTTAACTGCCAGTTTTTTGTTTGGCTTGGTTGGTTTTTCTCCAGAATCACTGTCACCTCTGATTGAACCCTGGAGCCTTGAAAAGCATCTCCTCCACCCACCTTCTGATTCCAGCCAGTATCAGTGGACAGCTCCATGGGAACTGAAGACCCATTTCCTACTCTTTCAGCTTTCTGTCTCAGGGTCTTCTTTGACACTTAAGGAGCCTACTGTGCCCATGTGCAAACTGCCCCATGTGCAAGGAGATGATGCCCTTGGCAGCAACTTGATGAGTGAAAAATGACAGCGTACGGTTAAATGCTCCAGCCACTTGTCTTTCAGGAGGCAATTCAGGGAGCTATCACATAGCTTCTTTGAGGACCTGGTGGAATCAAGCTCCCACTGTCTACACAGAAATGACCTCAATAATACACCATGTTTTATACTGACTTTCCCCTTTCTCCTTCGCAATATCACAAGTCCCTCACTCCTAGTTTCTGGGATCTCTAAAATAAACTAACCCACGTTCTTGACTCAGGCTTTGTTTCAGGAAGAACCTCGTAGTTTGCTGGTTGCCTCACTCTTAAGATACTGAGATACATTGGATATTTTATTAATCTTTCTAAAAACATGTGGCCAGGATCTTCTGATATGCTTCAATATACTCTCTATGCCTGGTGTAGTGGTCATCCTTGGATATTCCATCCTCATCATCTGGGGATTTCTTTCATTTCTCTCCTGTGCTAAATCCCATTTCCTGCATCCTATGTCATTTTGTTTGGTTTATGCCCTTTTTATGAAGCACATCCTTTAGTAGCTTCTTGAGAAAGGATATATAGGAGGCAAATTTTTTTATACTCTTCATTTGACTTTTATGTTACATTTAGTCAGATACAGAATTTTAGGTTGGAAATTTCTTTCACAAGTTTGAAGGCATTGCTTCTGTTGAAATTTAAAGCTATTCGGGTCTGGATGCAGTGGCTTACGCCTGCACTCCCAGCACTTTGGGAGACTGAGGTGGGCAGACAGGAGTTTGAGACCAGCCTAGGCAACATGGTGAAACCCTATAAAAAATACAAAAAAATTTAGCTGGGCATGGTGGTGGGCGCCTGTAGTCCCAGCTTATCAGGAGGTTGAGGCAGGAGGATGGCTTGAGCCTGGGAGGCGGAGGTTGCAGTGAGTCGAGACTGTGCCACTGCACTCCAGCTTGGGTGACAGAGCAAGACCCTGTCTCAAAAAATAAAAATAAAGGTATCCTGAGTCTTATTCCTTGGTATCTGACCTGACCTTTTTCTCTGGAAATGTAGATCTTCTTTTTGACTCCGGTGTCCTTGAAATTTCGTAATGATGTGCTTTGGTAAAGGTCTTTTTCATCCACTGTGTTCTTTCAATCTAGACTCTGATATTCTTTAATACTGGAAAAATTATTGAAACACTCTAATGGTTTCTTCTGTTTTCTTTTTGGAACTCTGGGAGATTACATATTAGACCTCCTGGGCTGTCAATTTTCTTAACTTTTTTCAACATTTTCCATTTAAAAATTTTTTTTGAGAAATTTCAACTTTATATTCTAAGCCATCTAGTTGAATTATTCAGCTATGCTGTCATATTATTTTCTAAGAGCTCTTTTTGTTTTTTTGAAACCCAACTTTTTAAAAGTACCCTGCCCTTGACTCACTCATGGTTGCAACATCCTTCTGAAAATACTTTTTCTTTTGATGTTCTCCTTACCCTTCATAGCCTGTTTCCTCTGTTTTCCCCAGACTGTTTTTTCTCTTTCATTTATTTGTAATCCTTGGTTGTTTGCTCATTTTTAAGAGCACAGGACTAAAAGACTAACTGCAAGGTCTAGACATAATGCGTGGGATGGTGGGATTGCCAACTATGATTTTCACTGTAGTGTCATCTAGCTGGGCAGTTTAGCCGGGACATGTCTGACATCAAGATCTTAATGAGGCCTTTTCACTTGCATTGGTCAGATTTCACAGAGAAGACTCTTCGGTATTCCACCATGGGATGGTAAAGATCTGGCTGCCAGGATTCAGTAAGAAAAGGAGGATTCTGGCTTTCTTATCCATCATGTAAATGTCCCCTGTTTTGAGGATGGTTCCCCTGTCATCTACTGTATCCCGTATTCTTAACATAGCCAAAATAAACAGCCACACACTTACTGAAATCATATCATATGTGCATTTTTAAAGAATAAATAACTTTATATTCCATTTGTATAACATTTTATTGTTTGCGTATTGCATAGTGAAAAGAACAGAGTCAGAAGACTCATGGTCAGGCTCAACTACTAACTTGCTGTGTAAATTGGATAGATCTCTTAACCTTGCTAAACCCTTACTTCCTCATCTGAAAAATAGAGATAATACTTATTTTACAGAATTGCTAAATACTGAATGAGATACTTATACTGTTTTCCTCTTAAGTAATTAGTCAAAATAATTATAGAGTTTGCTATTGCTAACCCCTTGTTCATCATCTCAATGCTGTTCTCAATAAATGCATTAAGACAACAGGTACCAATGTAACACTTTAATTTTGAATATTAACAATAGCAAAAGAAAAACAAACTCAAAAATGACCCTACCCTTTATTATTTTTAGAATACTGGCTTTTAAATACTTATTGATACTATCCCATCAGGAATTCAATTCATTTAAATATTTTTTTTCTTCTTCAACCTACTCAAAATGAATACCTACATATGTGAAAAACCCAAGATTACATGTGTAATTACTTTATAGTTTCCTCTCTGGCATAGTATAAGTAAAATACATATCATGGGCAATTAAATACTTCCCCCTGCTACATTAGGGATGATAATATATATGAAGATTAATTCCTTATGCATTATCCCTAATGTAAAGAAAAATCACAGGTATTTTATACTGCTTGTCAAGAATACATACACATGGTAGACACAGCTAGACATACACACCCCTTCTAAGAATATTTCAACTATCATCAATATCTTCTGTATGATCCCTTACAACTATCTGTAGTTGAAAACATAAGACTCCCTTTTAAGGTAATTCTGTATGAAACTGTATTATAAAATACTTTTGTTAAGCAAAATTGCATGTGTGTGTTGAACCCCCAAACACTCAAAGTACTTTACTACTCTTAAAAGATAAACAAAATTCTTATACATTATAAAAAAAATTTAAGCTGCTCTGCAACCCTCCTTTGCTAAAAGTTAGATACATTACACCACTCCAGCAAGAGATTAATAAATAAGGATTAAATATTCTGTTTTACAAAAACATACAGAATGGCCAATATAAAAGTGAAAACCTTGCTTGAGAATTTAACAAATTATGTTCATTAAGAAGGAATAAGACATGATATAAAATGATCACTAAATTTACCTCTCTTAAGATAATCACGAGTTATCTAAAAATACCATGGCACCCTTGTTACAAACATTGTTTTTTTTAAAAAAAGACTGTGTTTCCTGGAACTAGAGGACTATTTGTCTCATAGCTTTTATTAAGCAAACTTGATATAACCACCACACAGTGGCAAGAGATAGACTAGCTGTTTCCAGCTGCAGAAAATATTGAATTCTACCCTAAAGTACAGATCATTTGCAATATAACCCATAATAGTTAAAGCAAATCATAGTGCAGTTTGTATTGAATTTCCTTATTTTTCCTTTCAATGGAGTATATTCATTTTCCTGTCATTTGAGATCAGTTTCTGTTGCTTAGTAACTATTTTCATGTCCAGCCAAGATGTAGAGATTGCTGTGTGCAGTAGGATTTTCTGTTGGCCTACTTTCCAAAACGACAACCCTGTAATTAAACCAAAACAAAGGGCTTAAGAGTAACTACAGATTTCATACATCAAATACTAACATCAAACTAGGAAAGAATATCATTGTTCACATTTCAGTAAGATTACGTAAGGATCACAGACGCACAATCAAATTCAGCTTTACATTTTACAGCTTTAAAACACAATAAGAATTGATGAATATAAAATATTGAAGACATTTTGGGATAGACTCATTATCTTATTCCAACTAAAAAATCTGGGCTAGGTGTGGTGGCTCACACCTGTAATCCCAGAACTTTGGGAGTCTGAGGCAGGGGGATCGCTTGAGCCCAGGAGTTTGAGACCAGCCTGAGCAAGATGGCAAGACCCCAACTCTACAAAAAAAAATAATAATTAGCTGGGTGTGGAAGCCTGCACCTGTAGTCCCAGCTACTCAGGACGCTGAGGCAGGAGGATCCCTTGAGCCCGGGAGTTTGAGGATGCAGGAAACTGTGATTGTGCCACTGCACTTCAGCCTGGGTGAGAGAGTGAGACCCCTTCTCAAATAAAAAACAACAAACAAAATTTGCTTACTCATTTATGCCAACAAAAGGTATAATATAATACTTTAGGGATTTCACTAACAGGAAGAGGATGGAGGAAGAGCCAAGAGAATAAAATAGGACTCTAAGAGACACTCGTCCAAACTGTTCTTCAAGGTATTTGAAATAGCTTTTTAAAAATAGTATGAAATGGGGCCCCTCTCCCTAGTTGCTGGAACAAAAATGGAGAAAGAGTTCAATCAAAGGACTGATAGGAAAAAAAAAAAGAAGTACTATTCCAAACATTTTAGTTGTGGGGAAGAGAGTTTGAGAACAAAATAAAAAATAATATACCCATGCAGAGAAAAAAGTTTCTAGAGGAGGAATGGGAGAAAAAAAACTGCACATAACACTTATTTTTCTAGTGTATGAATTTTCTATAATTAGCATGTTATTACTTTAATAATGAAAACATTTTTTAAAAATCATAGATACTTTATATTAGGCATTACAGAAAAGTAGAAAAGGAAAATATAATTACTTATAATCCAACTGCCCAGAGTTAACTGTTATTAAAATTTTGACATGCTTAGTTTTTTTTTCCTAGACACAAGTATCTATACTTAAGCAACAAAATAATTTTTTTATTTTTATTTTTATTTTTTTAGATGGAGTTTTGCTCTTGTCGCCCAGGCTGGAGTGCAATGGCGTGATCTCGGCACACTGCAACCTCCGCAACCTGGGTTCAAGTGATTCTCCTGCCTCAGCCTCCCGAGTAGCTGGGATTAAAGGCATGCACCATCAAGCCCAGCTTATTTTTTTTGTATTTTTAGCAGGGACAGGGTTTCTGCATGTTGGTCAGGCTGGTTTCGAACTCCTGGCCTCAGGTGATCCACCTGCGTCGGCCTCCTGAAGTTCTGGGATTACAGGCATGAGTCACCGCGCCCGGCAACAAAATAAATTTTTAACCACTTGTAAAGATAAAACAAAAACTCTGTTTAGATATGTATCTTAAAAACAAGGAGATGCCCATGTAAGAGACAAGCAGAGCAAGGCAACAGTCTGAAGGAAGTAGTTTTTCAGAGCAAATAGTGATAGAGTGGACAGAGAATACGAACAGGGAAGGGAAAAGTGATGCACAAAGCTCTGAGCAGAGTAGGTAGAAGGAAACAAGCAACCCAGAGAAACGGCCTCTGATGCCAACCCTCTACCAAGCTGAATTCTCTCACACTTGGTTTCATTAAAGGATTATCTACACCAGGATCAATGGATGATCCACAATTCTTTTTTTTTTTTTTTTAGACAGAGTCTTGCTCTGTCGCCCAGGCTGAAGTGCAGTGGTGCGATCTTGGCTCACTGCAACCTCCGCCTCCTGGGTTCAAGCAATTCTCCTGCTTCAACCTTCCGAGTAGCTGGGATTACAGGGACACGCCACCATACCTGGCTACTTTTTCTATTTTTAGTAGAGACAGCTGATTCACCTGCCTCGGCCTCCCAAAGTGCTGGAATTACAGGCATCAGCCACTGTGCCCGGCCCACAGTTCTTTTCTCAGCCCTTCCTGGAGAAGCAAAGAGCCTCTCATTTTAGTTCTAGAGTCATTTACCAGATGATCCTCAAATTCTCTTTTTGTTGGTTGGACGACTTACTAAGTTGCCATGCTTTGTGGGCTTACCTTTTCTATTCACTAAGGTAGTCATCACTTTTTGAAAATTCCTGTTCTCCTATAAAACTCTCTTCAAAATTTTTATGGAGTTATAACTCCATTTCCCCCTCCTTCCTCAAGTATCTAAAACTTAAGCAATGTGAACCTGAAGACCAGAGGTTCCCAATCCTTGTCTCAGGACTAATGCATACCACTATAGCCAATTTTGCTTTAGTAACAACTTTTGGTGGGAAAAGAGGAAGGAATGGGTATTTTATTAGCTATAGAAGTAGACAGTTGAGCGACAGAGTGAGACCGTCTTAAAAAAAAAAAGAAAAAAAGAAGTAGGCAGTAGATTTTGGAAATCAAAAGCTACAGCTACTACATTTTTTTCATAAGATGACAGTTTTGCAACTTGTCTTTTATTTGGGGTAAAAAGAGACCATATAATTCTTTTTAACTTAGATTAACTTTAGAAACTGAACCAGGCATTTTCTAATATAAAAGCAAATATCATCAAGAGGTACATATTCCTAATAGTTAATGGAAGGCAGCACACCATGAAGAAATGAAGACAAACGGGCCCGAAATAGCTCTCATAGTACTAGGGACATCAACATCTATATCAACACATTTTGTCTCAGTTGAATATAACTGTCTCTAGAATAACAATCCTCACACTGACAAAAGGTTGCTTAGTTAACTTATTAAAATATTACTAATTCTCTCAGTAAAGACACAGAGAAATGTATCTAAGTCAATGAGCTTCTAAGAGTTTTGTTTGAAACAATTACAGACTGACAGTATAATTAAGAGTATGATCTTTGAACTCCTTTGGTAATTAAATTAATACAACCAAACTATTACCTGTCTGATCCTAATAAGCGGAAAACTCTTGTTTCATCTGAAATCTCCTGGGTAACCTAGGAAAGAAAAATACCTATCAGTAACATCTTACTCCCCATATTGCCTTAATAACAATTTAAAATTAATTTAGAGCAATTATTAACACAATAAATATTTTTTGGTAGACTTAATTCCTCAAATAAAAGAAATTTTAGTAAGTTTTTTGATTGCATATTATTAGAAATGAACCCACATTTATGGAACATCTAGTATGGGTCAGGTACTCTACTTAGAAGAACTCTTTGTGATATGCATTATAATTCTCATATCATTGAAGAAGAAACTAAGACTCCAAGAGGTTAAATAAGTTGTTCAATCTCATAGAATGGGTAGACTCAAGACTTGAATACAGGTTTGTTGGACTGCAGAGCTCCTTTGGGGGCCAAGGCTTGAGGTCAGGAGTTGAGACCAGCCTGGGCAACAAAGTGAGACCCTGTATCTACAGAAGTATTTAAAAATTTTACCTGGGCACAGTGGTGCATGCCTGTAGTCCTAGCTGCTCAGAAGGCTGAAGTAGGAGGATCGCTTGAGCCCAGGAGTTCAAGGATACAGTGAACTATGATTGCACCACTGCATTCCAGCTTGGGCAACAGAGCAAGACCCTGTATACTCTGTTTTCTACAAAGCTGCAGAGGGTGCTCAGCCATGTGCAGGTACTATGCCAAAGTGCCCGCAGTTTGTATACCTGGGGGCAGGCCTTAACCAACATGGGATAGCAGTTGCTGCATAAATGCTCAAGCCTCGTCATCTACAAATGAGTCAATTCTGAGGTGTATTTTACCCCATTCCTCAGTGGTCCCTACTGGATTAAGCCCCAGTTGCTCTTAGTGGGAACTAGCTTATTAATGTGTTCTTTATTGGCTTTTTGCCCCTCTTTATTCTCCATTCCTCATTCCATCACTTGTCTTCTGGAATCTATTCCCAAATACACTATCTGTATTTGAGTCCTTGTCTTAGGGTCTACTTTTAGAGGAACCCACACTAAGATATTGTAGATATAAAGTAAGTTAAAAAAAAAAAAAAGTCTGGTATCAAGGAGTTTGCAGTCTACCTGGGAAAATAGAATTAATAAGCTTGAATCAGAAAATAAATTAGGTGTTATACTAGTTGGAGCTGATTTTTCAGAGTATTAAGTTCAGAGATGTTCTAATCATTGTGCCTGGAATGACTGAGTATTACTTTATGAAAGAGGTCAAGACTTTAGCTAGGCCCAAGTTGAAGGATGAGAACATAAACTGAAAAAAAGGTAATCAAGACGAATTAAAAATAGGCCGGGTGTGGGGCTCACATCTGTAATCCCGGCACTTTGGGAGGCCAAGGCAGGTGGATCACGTGAGGTCAGAAGTTCGAGACCAGCCTGGCCAACACGGTGAAATCCCATCTCTACTAAAAATACAAAAATTAGCTGGGTGTGTTGGTGCATGCCTGTAATCCCAGCTACTCAGGAGGCCGAGGCAGGAGAATCGCTTGAACCCAGGAGGTGGAGGTTGCAGTGAGCTGAGATTGTGCCGCTGCACTCCAGCCTGGGCGACAGTGTGAGACTCCATCTCAAAAAAAAAAAAAAAAAAAGAGTTAAAAATAGATATTTCGGAAATGGAATCAATATTTGATACAGTAAGAAACAAGGACCTTCTGTAGATTTCTAACCATAGGAGTGACATAATGAAAATAGCATTTAAGAATAATTAACCATATGATAATAAGTAGGACTGTAGGTTTCATCAAGTGCAGGGACTTGGTGACATTTAGTGACACGTATCAGTAACTAGATAAACTTATATATTCAAAGACAGCTGATTTATGTCATTTCCTCCTGGAAGCATTCTAATTCTGCATTCATATAAGAGGTAGGAATATTCATTTATATATAAGTAAGAGTGTGGATAAAACTAAAGGTAAATGCAAACAGAAGAAGTTTTTGAGCTTTAAGTAAGTTCACAAACTTGTTAGGCCATAGTTAGAAGAATCACACAAGTATTCACGTAAATGTGAAATGTCTCTGTTAGTATTATCTTAGCTAGTAGGACTCATTCCTCAAATTGGAGGCCCAAATCCCATCTCCTGCATGAGACGTAATTATCTCAGCTAGAAGTGATTTAAAGAGACCCTTCAAATCCAGACTCTTCCACTTCACTAGTTATGTAACTCTGGGCAAGTTACTTAACCACTCTGTAGCTGTAAAAATGGCAATATGAATAGTATCTACTTCTACTGGATTATTTTGAGCCTGAAATAAGCAAATATTTGTAAAGTGCCTGGAACACAGTAGGTATTATTTAAAGTTTGATATTATTTACAATAATAGTGTCTTGAACATAGTTGGTACTCAATAGTTACTAAATGAGTCAATTTTCTTAGATTCCCTTATTCTTATGCTCCATTATGTATTAATTTAGATTTTAAAATATATTTAAAAAGAAGCCAGATATTTATAGATTATGGAAAACACTTAATAAATTTAGAAAAGTTTTACAAGCTTAGCAACCATATTTACAAATTACAAATTAGATAAATGAAATTGCATGAACTTATATTTTGCAATTCCTGGTGGCCACTGAGAATTTTGAACTATGATACAGAAGTGAACATAGTTGAAGGGAAAATACTGGCTTTTTTGTTCTACCAGTTCATAGTATTAAAAGCACTAAACACAGTAATGTAGGTTCAGAGAGGAAATGCATAAAACGAGTGCTTCGACATTTAAAATTGTTAGTGGGAGTCAGTGGAGGTAATCTGAGAAGGCTTACCTCATCTGACTTGAAGCTTTTACCCTGCATCCCATGTTTCCAGAAAGCCAACACACTGTCTTGAAGGCATACTAAAAATGATAAGGGAGAAGTGAAACTAATATAAAGCACAGAGCATTTCACTATAAATTTTCTCTACTTTTAATAAATAATATAAGCCTATTCAAGTGTCTAGTGCAAAATTCCACTGTCTAGACCACGATTTCTCAACATTTTTGTGGCTAAGACATGCCTAAGTTCAAGTAATTTACTGAGGTAGGGTTATGCAAGTCTTCAAAGATACATATAAAAGCCATTCATTTAAACATGAACTAACTTCTGATAAGGTGGATGTTGGCATATTCATTTCTTTCATACAAAAGATACAGTGTATCTTTTGTCTTAAATGAATAAAATCATAAAAACATATATAACTGGGTTTTTGCATTAAAAGCATTGTTGTTTAAATACTGTTACATATTCAGAAGTAGCTTTAAACAAGCATTTTTTATGTTCATATTTTCCCTGTAACAAAAGAAATTTTAAAAAATAAACCTGGCCGGGCGCAGTGGCTCATCCCTGTAACCTCAGCACTTTGGGAGGCCGAGGTGGGTGGATCACCTGAGGTCAGGAGATGGAGACCAGCCTGACCAGTATGGTGAAACCCTGTCTCTACAAAAATACAAAAATTAGCCAGGTGTGGTGGCCTGTGCCTGTAGCCCCAGCTACTCAGGACGCTGAAACGGGAGAATTGCTTGAACCCCACAGGTGGAGGCTGCAGTGAGCCGAGATCACGTCACTTCACTCCAGCTTGGGCGACAGAGCGAGACTCCGTCTCAAACAAAATAAATAAATAAAAAATAAAATAAAATAAACCTGCCCCACAATCCAACATTTAACCACACATTGAATATTTAGGATCTGTGAGTCAATTCTTACATAAAATTCTTAGTATTTAACCATTACAAGTAAGTATTAGAGTTAGAAAAGCATAATTAAAAGTGATGGAGGAAAGTAACTGAAAATTAACTGTTTTATTAGACTATTAACTTTTTGTAAAAAGTTAATGTAAGAATGTTCTGGGAACATAATTAAGCTCAATAAAAATAAAAGTATTTGACAATGACAAATCACATGTGTTTCACTAACTGTGACAAATAAAAAACCTAGTTACTGATTTTATTTTTAAGAGGTGTTGTAAAGGCATTTTTTTTTCCCCAGGAGGATTCCTGTAATTATTCCAAGGTTTACTGGCAAGAAAAGATGGTAGCCTAGGAGGAACAAACTTTTGTGTAACAATTAAAATTACGAAGATAATTTGGCACATCTGAAAAAGTTGAGGTATCAGTGTGTTTCAATGAAAGTGAAGAGGAATTAAGGATTCCTATGTCAGAATCTCTCTCAAAAATGTTAAATCCAAATTGGCATGTAATATAAGGAGTAAAAGAAGAAACTAGTTTCCAAAATTTCTTTTGTCCTGACATTTACAGAAAGTTTAGGTTTTCTGCTTTAATAAATTAAATTTCCCAATCATAAGCAAACTATTTTCATGTAAAATGTCACACAGAGGCACAAACATTTTGTGGATAAAACTCCAATTGAGAAATACATATTAAAATGTTTCTTAAAAATAAAAAACTAAGTAATGAAAATCGTGTTTTTAAAAATATGTAATTATAAAGTACATGTTATTTTTTATGGCCCAAATAAAAATTACCAACTTCATTTTAGTGCCTTTGATTTATGGTAGAATCATATCATGAAATGTTTAAAAATGTTTCCATTCATCATTTTTTTCACAAGTTCTGTCACTCCTGGGGAAGATACTGACATATGATCAATGAGCATGCAAACAATAATAAACTGTAATAATTTTCATCATAAAACCAATGAGTATTAGAGAGTAAAACATTCGTTGACAAGGAAGCAAATTAAATGGCATAAAAGTTTACAAGTCCTGTGAGAACTAGCTATTTATATAAAAATAGTTCCAAAAGCAGTAATATCAACACACACCACCCAGAATCTTACATGGCAAAGAATTATGGCATATCTAACACTGTTATCGCATCACACAAATACCTTCCTGACTGGGAAAGAATTGGGGGAAGTATAATTCACTTAATGCAGCAAAGGGAATAATGAACAGAAATGTTAAAAGTGATTACAAGTTTTAAATATTCAGGAAACAATAAAAGATTTATGATGGTCTGAACCTGCACTGTGCAATATGAGAGCAAGAAGCCACATGTTGTTATTTACATTAAAATTTGAATTAAAATCTAAAAAATGAAAATGTAGCACTAATCATGTTTCAGGTGCTTAACAGCCATATATGTTTAATCACTACTGTATTTAAGAGCACAGATAGAGAACATTTCTATCTTTTTTTTTTTTCTTGCTCTTGTTGCCCAGGCTGGAATGCAATGGCATGATCTCAGCTCACTGCAACCTCCGCCTCGCGGGTTCAAGCGATTCTCCTGCCTCAGCCTCCCAAGTAGTTGGGATTACAGGCACCCGCCAGCATGCCCAGCTAATTTTAGTATTTTTAGTAGAGACGGGGTTTCTCTCCATGTTGGCCAGGCTGGTCTTGAACTCCTGACCTTGTGATCTGCCCACCTTGGCCTCCCAAAGTGCTGGGATTACAGGCGTAGAACATTTCTATCTTTACAGAAATTTCTGTGAGACAGTGCTGGTCTAGACAACCCTAAGTACAGAATGAATTTTAATAATCATTAAGTATCGCAAACTGATTTATGAAAAAAAGGAAACTTACCTACAGATTCAATGCGAAAATCAAAACTTAACTCAGAGGCCAGTTTCTTACTTGATTTTAATTTTCCTTGTAGATTTACAATTTTCACAAATTCTTAAAAAAAAAAAACAAGTCAAGACTGGACATGCAAATCTGCTAAAATAAATGTAACTTGATATATGTGGATTTTACATGGATATCAAATAATATTCTTAATAAAGTTCAACTATTTATCTTGAGTCAGGTATGCCAAATGGCAAAAAATACTGTAAGAGTGCCTCCATCGGCAAATGGCAATTCTGCTATTATTTTTTATATAGTATATACTGAATATTTACACTCTCATTTTTAAAAATGTATGCTTCTTTAAAAATGGCTACCTCGGTGCTCAACTATTTAGCCATAAGAGGTGATTTTTTTCGCTTACAAATTACACATGATAAGTAACATTTTTAGTAAAAACAGTAAAAATCTTGAATTATGGTTTAACAGAATAAAAAAATTGCTTTATCAAGTAGTATACTCAAAATAAAATTAAAAATAGTACTTACTGTCTAAACACACTAAAACGGTATCTCTCTCCAACTGTGTTACATGAATGGAATCTAACTGCTGGCTGCCTTAGGAAGTAAAAAACAAGGTTACAATTATACTTTTAAAACCTAGAGCCTAGAAAATAAACATAAATTCTGACTTTTGCTGTGACTTAAAATTGATCTTTGAAATTTAACACAGAATTTATATTTTGTGATGTTATCTTTCAAAAAATGCATGTAAATCAATTTAAGAGGACAAATATGTCCTAAGCATGGCTAACTCAGCTGAAAAAAACCTCAGTATTGCCTTTAATTAAAGCCTCAGCTAGATCTACAAAGGTGAATCACAAAAATAAAATGAAGCAAAGGTAAAATATGAGGAGGAAAAGTAACATGCATGCTATACACAATGGCTCGATTTTGCTCTGCATTTTATATAGCCAATGGGAGATAGAAACAAGATGAATTGGGTGAATCACAGCAAACCTAAATTAAAAATTAGCCAGTGATTCAAAAGGGCACAGGATCAATGAAATCTATAGTAAGACAGAAATTTTCCTGGTATAGGTATGTGTTTACAGGTGGGTGGGAGTTCTTTTACAAAGAGGACACTGAGTAACATAATGAACAATATTGTCAAGAACATCTTTGCAGGATACAACTCTCATCGTTTTGCTGATATTTAAAGGGCTGCTTCTAACATCTGCTGATAGATGTAATAACATTAAAAATTTTTTTGATAAAACAATGCATTTTAAGCACTCAGATTGTTTCAATGGTCTAGCTGAATCTAAGAAAAGATTTTAGATTATTTAGAGCAGTCCTTTTTTTTTTAAATGTATGTGCTTTTATTGAAGAATTTTAAAAACATCACCAATCAACCTGATTTAAGGAATATAGTGATAATAAATGTACTACACAGACATTTCATACTTCTGAACATATTCACACACACACATATATATATATGAACACATATATACTAAGACAAATACAGAAGAGTCCTTAACCTGAGTTGCTCCATTAGAAGTACTTCTTTCTGATTACAAAATGTCATCTAGGTTACCTTTCATTCTCTTAGAACTTTTAAGAGTTAAACATGCCCAACTACATTCATTTAGCTGTATATTTACAAAGAACTTGGTGACCACTAATTTTAAAGAAAAATTGCTAATTGGCCACTGTGATTTCTAATACAGAACTCTCTAGAGACACTGAGGTCACAAGCTTAGGGCACTGAGACAGGGCCACATTCTTAAAAGTACTTTTCCTAACACAGACGCATTCATTGTATGACTTTTCCTTCAAATGGCGGATTGGGGGCAGGCAGAAAAGAGGATTGCCAAATAGCAGGTATTCACTACCTTTTGAAGTTACCTCAACTTCAATGTGCCCTTTCTGATAGTGCCTTCAATACAGGCACCATTCAGTAAAACAATTCAGTGTAAAAACAATTGTATAGAGCATCTTAGAATATGTTTTTCTATGAAAATAAATTATAACTGATCATTATTATCTAAAAGGGTTTTATAAACTTTCTGATATAGGACTGAGCTACATTTCTAATATTAAAATTAAGAGTTTCTAAGCTCTTTATGTCCTAAATCCAGGCAAGCTGTGACCAAAATTAGGAAAAGTAGAATTAGGGCCTGGTAAAAATTTTGATAGCATCATTCATGACTGTGTGAGGGAAACTGAAAGTGGGTGGTAAAGAGCAGAGCTGTTTGCCGGAGTGAGGGCATTCATAATAACATATTCCTTTCTCTTCTTATTCCTTGAACAGAATTCCTACTTAGAAGCCTAAGAGTCAGAGCCTGCTTCCCCCATTTCCTTGTAAAAAGTACATGTTTCCCCAAGGCCACGGGCAAACATGCAATTGAAGGCGGTAACTTTCACCTAATTAGGAAATAGTGGAAATCAATATAACTTAAAATGTTCTTTGGGTAAATATTTCATTGCACTGATTTATACAAGTTTTCTTTCACATACTTTCATGTTTATAAATGAGATTCAACACAAACATACTGTTTTTAAGTACTTTGCTTATTTTTCTATGGGTTTTATCTTTTTTATTTATTTATTTATTATTATTATACTTTAAGTTTTAGGGTACATGTGCACAATGTGCAGGTTAGTTACATATGTATACATGTGCCATCTGGTGCGCTGCACCCACTAACTCGTCATCTAGCATTAGGTATATCTCCCAATGCTATCCCTCTCCCCTTCCCCCACCCCACAACAGTCCCCAGAGTGTGATGTTCCCCTTCCTGTGTCCATGTGTTCTCATTGTTCAATTCCCACCTATGAGTGAGAATATGTGGTGTTTGGTTTTTTGTTCTTGCGATAGTTTACTGAGAATGATGATTTCCAATTTCATCCATGTCCCTACAAAGGATATGAACTCATCATTTTTTATGGCTGCACAGTATTCCATGGTGTATATGTGCCACATTTTCTTAATCCAGTCTATCGTTGTTGGACATTTGGGTTGGTTCCAAGTCTTTGCTATTGTGAATAATGCTGCAATAAACATACATGTGCATGTGTCTTTATAGCAGCATGATTTATAGTCCTTTGGGTATATACCCAGTAATGGGATGGCTGGGTCAAATGGTATTTGTAGTTCTAGATCCCTGAGGAATCGCCACACTGACTTCCACAATGGTTGAACTAGTTTACAGTCCCACCAACAGAGCAGTCCTTCTTAACTATACCTCTTTGGGAAGCCTATGCATTGTCTCCCTTGAAAACTGCACATTCAAACATAAACACAGAATTTTATATAATATTTTGGGGTGTTTGTGGACCTTCTAAAGCTTATACATGGTGAAGAATCCATATCTACAGAATCGATAAACTGTCCCTCAGGTAACACTTCAAAAATAGTTTTTCTTAGCTACTCTATGTTCAGGCACTCATTCAACAGATATTTACTGAGTGCTGACCATATGCTAAGCACCATCCTTGGAGATAAGGATATAGCAATAATAAATCAGACTGAGCCTAAAAGAGTCTTGAATAGGAGTTTATTTTAATGTTATAACTTGCCAGTTCAAGGTATAGCCTGTTTGTTCAACAATGAACACAGCTAGGAGTTGGATTAACAAATCACTTGTAAAAATGGGGAAACCTAATGAGGACAAAGTGCTGGACTAGAAAGATTGCCTCACCTCTGCCTGAAGGTGACCTCAATGATTACCCTCAGGCAGTAATTTGGGTCTTTACTCCCTCAGGAAGTAATCTGGGTCTTTAAACAGCCTTGACCCCAGGTCAGACAGTAGTTGGGGGTCTGCTTTAATTTTAGCCAAGACAATGTTAAAAGTAGGTAGAATAGCATACCTCACGCATTAAAAAACAAAGCAAACAACAAAACTCTCAAAAAAAAAAAAAAAAAAAACAAAAAAACGCAAACTCAAACATACCCCAAAAGGAACTCAAAAACAGGACTCACTGAACTCTTGCCTTGAACAATATAACCTTCTAATATATAATCCAGAAGAAAGTGGTCGCAAATATACATTAAATAGTTGTATTAAATGACATGCTTTATACCATGCTGATGAGCAAAAAAAAAAAGTTGGGCTGTCAGCCAAAACTTGTCTTTAAATAAACTGATCCATAACCTTTCCTTTGAGCAATAAGAACAGGGAAATATTTCTTTCTTTCTTTTTTTTTGAGACAGAGTTTCGTTCTTGTTGCCCAGGCTGGAGTGCAATGGTGCGATCTTGGCTCACTGCAACCTCTGCCTTCCAGGTTCATGCGATTCTCCTGCCTCAGCCTCCCTAGTAGCTGGGATTACAGACATGCACCACCACGCCCGGCTAAGTTTGTATTTTTAGTACAGATGGGGTTTTACCATGTTGGTCAGGCCGGTCTCGAACTCCTGACCTCAGGTGATCCACCCACTTTGGCCTCCCAAAGTGCTGGGATTATAGGTGTGAGCCACTGTGCCCAGCCTGGGGAAATATTTCTATTTGGGCAGTTTATATCTCACGATAATAAAGCAATGCATTTGTACCTTTTCTGTTAGCTGTAACAGCAGGCATACATCCAACTCAACTTAAAGCATTGATCAATAGACTTAAAAGGCAGAGTGCAGGTGGAGGTAGAAGGGTACATAATGTGACCTCTTCCATAAAGAGTATGTTTTATAGACCAGTGCATGCTGGAGCTGGCTTGTACTGAGTTAAACTTTCAGGAATTTTGTAAGCCAAATGACATCAGGTTGGTAGTTTGAAATTGGCCATGGGTGGAGTATTTGTACCACAAAAATAGGCAACTCTAACAAATGGTTGCACCTCAAGAGCCTGTTGTTAGACATTTACCAGGGTATCACTGGTTCATACTGATTCTTATGTTGAAAGTGAATTTAGCGTAGGTTCTATATTATAATGAGTTCTTGTAACTTAGCCTATAAATGATCAAAAGCCAAAGGTTATTTAATAAGAAGCATTAAGCATCAAACTTATAATATATGTAACAGACTTCTTCAAAAGGCAGTAAAGAATACAACAGTGGTGAGTAATGAAATAGCCATAACTAAAGCTTGCTTGGCATATGTAAAAATGGCCTAATAAACCTGGATTATAAATGACCAAATACACCAGCACAACAAACAGGAAACTAGCAAAATGGAGGCCCCACCTCACCCACTTCACATATTATGCAGATTTAAAAAATGATTTATTGAATGATTTGTTCTAATTTTAAAGTCTAGGAATAAACTTCCCATTTTTTTCAGATCTTTCACTGAGATATGTCTGATTTAAATGGAAAGGCTCGGAAGCAACACCTAAGAAGCTTCTATTCAGGTCTGAAAGCCACATTCACTGATTCTAAGAAGTGAGCGGGGAAGACAGGATAAAACAGGATAAGTGAAGCTCTTTGCTTGAGGCTTGAGAAGTTGATAAAATTTTAAGAACTGCTTAGAAAGTGTATTTACTTAGCAAGTCCAAAGATTCACTGGTAAGAACTAAGACTTTTCACTGTCAGGAATCATTAAAAATTTCCTTTGTTTAAATAATTTGTATCAAACTACCTCTGGCAAATAGAGATCATAAATATACGTACACGGTTCTATGGGCTTACTTGGGAAACTATGTTTTGAATATTTAAAAGAGCCCACACTGGTGTTTTGCTTCTTTTATAGGTGGTGTTTTGCTTCTTTTATAGGCAAAAATATCAATATTCTAACATAAGGTAAAAAATACTTACCTGCACCAATTTCTGTAAACCATGAAGATGCAGAGTTCAAATTGATTGTCTCAAACTGAACTACCTGATTCGATTCAGTGCCTTTGCTAATAGCTACACAGACCATAGGGTATTCCTGTTCAGGTATCACCAGCATTTCAAAAACATTCAAAGGACTTGGCAAAGGAAAATCAAAGTGCTGCAAAAAAAATAAACAATAGAGCCATAATTCAGAAACAATCTCCCCATTCATACCACTGTTGAATAAAGTCAACAGAAAGACTCCTATCTTCTTCATTTATCTAGTTCTAAAAAGGATTACCTCTAAGATGATAAGAAGGATGAATGTTCTATAAAAATGTGTTTTAGATAATTAGCCATATTAATCTTTATGACTGATGGTTCTGGAAGTTTATTATCAGTTAAAGAGTAAATCCTAAGAACACAAAAACCTCTAAATCAAATAAACAACTACAAATAACTATAAATGTTCTGACCCTAGATAGTAGTATTGGGATCTGCTAATTTTAGCTTCAGTTATACACTAGTGTTTTCTAAAGGAAAAAAATGTGAACAAAATAATATATACCTTTATCAACATGAATTTCTGCATTGGCTCATACCACTGAAGTAAAACAATTCCAGACTGTAAAGCTCCACAGAGGTATTTATGTCCCGTGTAAGGGTTTCTGACTGGAAAGAAATAAACAAACAAAAAACCCAGACACACTCAAAATACTGAATACTTTCATTGTATCTGTTAACCAGGATGACAAGAGTGGGCAGAAAATAAAAAAAGACTGTGTCTTTTCTTTTGGCTTCATTGCCTTTTCCGTTTTACTTTCTTATCTCAATTTTAAATTATATATGTTTACTTCTAAACAACTTGCATATACTAGGTTGTTAAACATAAGAACTTTTGACAAGCACAATAACAACCTAACATGCAACCTAAAAAGGTGTTTTTTTCCCTTCCTCACTCCCTCCCGTCCTCCTTCTTTCTTTTTAAAGAGACAGGGTCTTGCTCTGTCATTCAGGCTAGAATGCAGTGGCACAGTAATAGCTAACTGCAGCCTCAATCTCCCAGGCTCAAGCAATCCTCCCACATCAGCCTCCTGAGTAGCAGAGACTATAGGTGTATGCCACCATGCCCAGCTAATTTTTCAATTTTTTTTTTTTTTAAGAGATGGGGTCTCACTATGTTTCCCAGGCTGGTCTTGAACTCCTGGACTCAACCGATCTTCCCATCTTGGCCTCCCCAAAAAGTTGTTTCTTAGTAAACTCAAAGAATGAGTTCTGACAAGGTCTAGGAGGCAACTAAAATGCACCTCGTTTTGGTATAGCAGTGTACAGATGTCTACTTAAGATGAAAATAATTCATCTTGTATGTATTAATTTATCATGATGTAATCTTGACTCAAATCTATAAAAATTCATATTGCTCTTTCCTTCTCCCAAATTTGATTTCCATTAATAATTATAATCATTGATTATAAGAATAGTTATTTGCATTAAACTCTAAAGTATTATTTATGAGTTTTTATCTTAGATTCCAAGTTTCTAGGCCTTTTGTGCATCACAGATCTTGGGAATCTGATAATAGATATTGACATGATTCTCCCTAGAAAAATAATATTTATAGCACATTTGTGGTTAAACATTTTTGTTTTACAGTATGGACTATGCTGTGAAACTATTATGTGGCACAAAGATCAATGTGTAAATTCATTGATCAAACAAAAGAATAAATAGGAAGTTAGGAACTTAAGATCTGAAGTCATTGAACCTGAATCTGATTCCTAAGCTCTGTTACTTACTAGTGACACAATCAGTATTATGGAGTTGTTTAAGGGTTAAATGAGATAATTATGTAGTAAAGAACTTAACCTCACCCAAAAAAGAGGTCTGGTCTCTGTCCTGCTTCTGGGAGGTAATTGCTAAGCCTTTGGAATGTCATGCTTGACAGGACTGTCTTTGTCTGGGGGACTCTGGTCACTGGATAATATAACAATAATGATTCAGGGTGGGGACTGGCTGCACTAGATAGTCTTAATGTGAGGGCTGGTCATGCCAGAAATACAAAAAATGTGATTTTGGGTGGGGGCTTTGGGTCATGTAACATCAGATGACCTTTAGTGGGGCTGCATACTGAGATCAGCAAGGTGGTCAATCAATCATGCCAGAAATACAAAAAATGTGATTTTGGGTGGGGGCTTTGGGTCATGTAACATCAGATGACCTTTAGTGGGGCTGCATACTGAGATCAGCAAGGTGGTCAATCAATCATGCCTTTGTGATGAAGCCCCAATAAAAACTCTGGACATCGAGGCTCGAATAAGCTTGTGGTTGGCAGTGGTTGGCAATGGTTGTGTGTTCTGCCACATACCAATGCTGGAAAAGTAACGCCATCCATTAACCATAGGGAGAGGACAACAGAAGCTCCATGTTTGGTATTTTTCCTGGACTCTGCCCTATGTACTTCTTCCCTTGGCTGATTTTAATCTATATTCTGTCCCTGTTCTAAACGGTAATGATTTTAATCTATATTCTTTCCCTGTTCTAAACGGTAATGATTTAAATCTATATTTTTTCCCTGTTCTAAATTGTAATCGTAACTATGAGTATAACTGCTTCCAGTTCCGTGATACCTTCTAGTGAATTTTTTTATTCTGGGGGTAGTTTTGGGAATCCCCTAACTTGCAATTGGTATCATAAGTGAGGGTGTTCTTGTGTGAACTGTTCCCTCTAACTGCATAGTTGGCTCAACTCCTGTAAACATGTTCATAAAACATGGGTGGTAACTGGTAGATGGCAAATATTAAATAAATGAAAGTTAGAATATTAGCAAAGATACAGCCTCAGGGACTATGGTTAAAAAACTCTAGGAACACTATGCTCTGAGAAAACGCTAAGGTTATTATCTCTAAGCATTTCTATGCCATGTCTGTCTATATTCTTGTACTTCAATGGCAGCTTAACTTCTTACTAAACACAAATTTTAAAAACCTACCCTCCTTCCTATTTGATTCCATACGACTCTTCAGATAATTATAAAGATGTTAAAAGTTCTAACCATTCAGTTTGAGAAATACCATTTACTCACCTATGCAACATTTGTGGCAGCCTTTTGTATCAGGAATCTTTGTTGTTAAAGCGAATTTTCTGAAAACGTAAGACGATATAAATGCACTCTACAGTAGTGGTTACAACACAATGATTTGTAAATCAGTTGCATCAGAATCAGACAGAAAGGAGCTTAAAAAACTGTCTTGGATCCTAACTCCACACTATCTCATCTTATAGGACTGAGGAAGGGCCTGACAGTCTGTATTATAAAACTTCCACAGTTGATTCTCATGGTCAAGTTCAGAAAACGTTCAGCTTTTCCAGATATAATACACTTTAGTTTAAACTACCTTTGAAAATTAAGACATAGTTTTTTACTGGGCAAGAAATACGGGCTATTTTTAAAATAAACACTAATTCCCCTCATTCAGTAGAATCAAAATGATATTTTGTACCTTGGTAGTATTCGGTCTGGAAACCTGTGAGTTTGAATATGGGCAGCTAATCCTGGTTTTTTGGCATGTTCAAACAAAGCTATAAGATTGTGAGAGTAGAGCTGAAAGGTTTTTCCTATAAAAGAAAAACATGTTACCTTTTTGAGAATCATTTACAGCAGAGAAATACAATTTTCGAGAAAAAGAAAACGTAATTACCTTCTAAAACGAGAGTCCAGTAATGTTCAAAAAGCCAAGCAAAATAGAAAAACACACACAAAAAAACCCTCAGTTAATACTATTTTGAAAGACAATAGATAAAATGTTTTTAAATTAACAGATAATTTTAATTCAGAATATATAAATTAGGTACTAATAGGTGATCTGGGCAGACTAAACCTTAATGATGCCAGCACACAAAAAGAAATTGTTGTACAAAATCTTATGTTATGGACTGAGTTACAATGATGTACATGTGATTATTTTAATACAAGATGGAAAATTCTATAAAGCTATATTATTATTTCTCTGGGACAGACCTATTTATCAATAACTTAACAAATTACCTTGGATTAAAAATCATTGTGAATGAAGTCTTAAATATAACAGATGGAAATACTTAAAAAAGTAAAACCAACCAATATTATAAGCCATGATACAAGGATAACAGGGCTACAATTCCATATAATAAAAAATATGGCTGTATTAAGTAAGAGGGATGGATATGGTAAACATCATCTGATTTCTCACTATATATGGTATGATAATATAACAATACAAAACAATATTTATCTTTTTATTATTAGAAAACATACATATATACACACACATATACACAGTTTTATCCTCAACAAAATTATCTGTATGTTCTCAGAACAGAAATATTCTGCCTAAACATTAAACACCCTTCCTTTCTCCATTTCCCCAATCTACATAGTTTGCTACCCAGCTAGCCAGGCAGCTAAACACACATGTACATGCCTCCTATTGGGCGTTGCTATCTAAGATGTACCCTGTGTAATTTTTAAGCTTATTTCCAAAGACAAGTATGAGTAGGGATAAGCAGTAAGAGAGTTAGAGAAAAGTTTATATGATACAATTCATAATTGTCAACTCAAACAGAATTGGCTTTATTTTCATAACAGTAATATAAAATATTAACATATTAATATTTTACCAAACAAAAGTAAAAAAGATTTTGGGGAAGCATAATTAAAATATATTAAATATTCTTTTGAGGACTCCAGCTTTTTAGAAGCCATTTAACACACAATCAAATAATATGCTCTCCATAAACAGTGTTATTAGCTCAAATATACAGATTCTTAAAAAATCTCTACTAGAGAGAAATAATAATTAACTATCTTGTACTCTACTACCAAAATGAAAGCAATCAGCAAACTTCTTGGTAGTCATTTAAATCTAAAATATAAGAAAATATTTTTTTCATAGGTAAGAATTAAAAAAAAAAAAAAAAAGCCTAAAACACCACCTACCCACCCGTTCACCCCTAATAATAACCAAGAAAGAATAAAATGAGGTTACCCTGGAATCTTGTTCAGAAGACCTTAAAGAATCAGTCCAAGATAGTTAATGTGTGTCCAGAACAACATGAATTTCACCAGCAAACATCTGTATAAGACTCTACAGTTTACTAAGCACTCTGGATATTATCTCATTTAACTCTCACAACCTCATAAGGCTGTACTGTTACCCCATCATCCTCATTTTATAATTAAGATAAATGAGGCTGAGAGACAGTGACTTGTTCAGGATCGCAGAGAAAGAAAATAGTGTGATCCTCTGCTTCTTTCCTGTTAATTCCCAAAGGAGGCCAGGAGTGGTGACAGTGATAGTGGAGGAGGCTGAGTGGAAGGGAACGGCCTCTAGTGATAAGCACTGTGATACCCTTCAGGTGTTTAGATGCTGGGTGGGTTTGGAAAGTGCAGCCCTAACTGAAGACAGGATCCCTTCCCAAAGTTTCTTCCCATTCTAGGTGGGTAGCAAATATCCACAAGTCCCAGAGTTACTATATTAGATTATAGTCATCCAGAATTACAAATAACATTTAAAAATGGTGTATATTAAAATTACATTTCTCTGCTTATCTATGGTTTATTTTTCATCATCACATACATACCTGATAATGACATTAAAGTATTATTGATAACATACAGCCAAGTACACTTCCGTGGAAATAACTAAGAAAAAGAAGATAATTAAGATTCTCTCATTGTCATTATTTTAATCTTTTAAATTCCAACATTCTGAAATCATATAAAAATAACTATTTTCTAACTTTCAGGTAATTATCAAACCCTTAAGAAAAAAAATCTTTCAACATGAACATGCAAAGAGTACAATTTTATCCCTTTAAATATTTAAATCATAAAAATTAAAATTGGGGCCTACACAGATTGATTTAAAATTAAGACACTTCTTTATTCAATTTGTTTAAATTAATTTCTTGAATTAAAATGCCTAATTACCTGTTCCATCGTTGCCTCATGTAGCTCATTGAGATTCAGTGTGTAAATACCATCTTCAGTTCCAAAAATAATGTACTGATCTAAAATAGTTGAGATAAATCACCAGAATTTACCATCATCTTCTGAAATCATTCACTAAAATAATGACTTTACATTGTAATGGCATCAAGAATTAGCCACCTATCCATCTAAAATAAAATTATTTTCTTAAATTTGTATCACCTTCTTTACCTCTTTCCCCAATTCCTTTCTTATTTTTTAAAAGCAGATATATTCTATGTTAGACTAACTCACTCTGACTTTATCTTACTATATAACCCTGCCTTTCAACATAATTTTTGTATTTTAAGATTTTTATAGTTACACATTTTTGCAAGACACCTCAAACACTCTTTTGACCAAGGAAACAAAAAGTTAATATAAATTATAAATCACGACACACTAGAAATAATGAGCACACCTAGTATCCAGATCTTGGTTTCTAAATATTACTTTCCACTAAAAAGAACCAGGGCTTCTTAGAGAAAGACTGCTTCCAATTCTGGGGCAATAAAAGTAGATGCTGAGCCTAGAAATCTTGCTGTGCCAGAAAGTAAAGAAGTGCTAAAAAATGATGAGGACATTTCAAACAAAAGAACACAGGCATTCCCACTGCTCAAAAATTCTGGGACAATTTAAGTGTGAAAATAAATAATAGAGATAGATCATATCGCATGGAATAAAATAAGAATTAATAAGTTTAAACTGATATAAATAAACGAATGAATAAGTGGGAAAGAAGATAAACTGTCAATGGCTATCAACAGATTGTCAATGGATGCTAAACTGAGTGAGTGAAATTCTGAATGGCAATAGTATAATTATAAACATAATCTCAGTGCATCTCCATATTAATTACCTATAAATCAGAAAGGAAAAAATAGTAACCTGAGAATGGAGAAGGCTAGTGAACACTGCTTTAACCAACAGATCGATATTAACATCACTAGTATTTGGACAAGCTGATACCATGTATCTCCTGATATGATGTACTGAGAAGATGCACAGTAACATTTCTGTGTTATTCCCATCAAAAATGCATAACCTGATTCAAGCATGAGGACTCATTATACAAACCCCAATTAAGGGACATTCTACAAAATAAGTGGCCTCAAAAAAGTTGACATCAGAAGTTGAGGAATTGTTTTACACTAAAAGAGACTAAATAATAAAAAATCAGCTGGGAGAGGTGATACACACCTGTGGTCACAGCTATTTGGGAGGCTGAGGCACGAGGATTGCCCAAGCCCAGGAGTTTGAGCTGCACTGAACTATGACTGCACTACTGAAGTCCAGCCTGGGCAACAGAACAAGACTCTGTCTCTAAAAAAAAATTATTTTATACACACACACACACACACACACACACACACACACACACACACACACACACACACATATATATACCCCCTCTGTCATACTTTTTAATAGTGGCATTTAAAGCCAATCATTATAACCTGTCTTTATTATTAAGTAGAAACACACATTTCCTGAAATCCTCTACTGCCTAATAGCTTCTGTTTGCTAATTGCTAGACACTGGGGTAGGCTTGTTCCTTCCTTGAAATAAAGTAAATATCGGGAGTGATTCATGTTTCAAACAATCACACTGAAAAGCAGAGGTGTTATGTTTGTTTTCAAAGTCACATGGTAATGACAGAGTGGGAATCCAAACCCAGATTTATTTGATTCCAAATTTTTGCCTCTGAAAATGTTTCCTCACTTCAGAAACATAGTCTACATTTTAAAAAAGTTATTTTAACATCATTTCAGATGTACAGAAAAGTTGTAATAGTACAAATAATTCCTAAATACCTGTAACACAAATTCCACAAATGTTGAACATTTACTACTTCTGCTTGATCCTTCTCTCTTCCTTATGTAAATGTTTGTTTTCTGAGCTGTTTAAGATAACTTATGAGCATGATGCCTCTTTACTTTGAAATATTTGTGTACATTAAGGAAAAAAAGTCATATAACCACAAGACATTAATACTTAAACAATAAACAAGGTTATCTATAATTCTTACTAATTGAGATTATAAATTGTCCCAATAACGTCCTTTTACGGTAAAAGAAAATTCTAAATTAAGGATGCAATCAGTTGTGATTTCTCTTTAGTCCTTTAATCAAGAATAGCTCCTATACACTCCTAAATTTTAACGCCTTTAAACCAAAACCCTATTGACCTATTTAGGTTGTTGCAGGTTCCTATACCATTAGGTCTCTAAAGTCGTATTTTTAAAATAAACAACTTCAAGTCACTGATCATAAAGATCTTTCCCATAATAAATATTTTATTGGAGATGTATATAAAATTCAAACATTTTACCTTTTGTATCAGGATGTATCCAGGATGTTGCACAATTAATTTTCAAAGGACAGCCATCAAAAACTTTTGAAAAGCATGCTCCCATCTTATTTATAAAGAAAGAAATGTTAACTTATTTGATTAGAAAATTTTATATATTCTTGGAAAATAACTAACATCATTGAAATACCAAATTAACTCTTATTTGCGTATGCTTGTTGTTTCATTCCAAAACAAAATTCATATTTTCACATCATTAAACCCCTACTACCAAGACAGTCTCATATTCTTTCCTTTTGTAATCCACTATTTTATGGCACAAATATCAAATTTACCAAAAGATCTACATACATCAATAACATAGTCTAGGAATTTTAAGTTACTACTATTTTTTAGGACTGACAATTATTAATGTGAAACAATGGATAATTTTATTCAGTAACATTATAGTGATTACAATTGCAGTATAACTCTTTAATAGTCATAAGAGACAAAAAGGTTGATATTTATATTATACATTAGACTTTCACTGAATAAAAAAGGACAATGTATAAAGCATCCCATTCATACGATTGGTTCCCATCCCATTCATGGGATCATGGGGTTCCCATTCACAGATAAGTTCCACTGACTGGCCAGGAAAATGCATTAATATAAGCTTCCCTGGTTCCTTTTAATTGTATATAGTCCAATGTGAAAATCACTTTAGAGGTAGAAAGATATTTAATCCACATCAAGAAGAGGACACAGTACTATTAATATCATCGCATTAAAATTAAATAGGCCTTTGTAGGCTAATCTGATGACTCAACTGCCAGTATTTACAAAAAGTGAAACACTGTCAATTCCAATTCACACACTCAAATTAGAATACATGATGAGATATCCAAATGCATTCAATATCTTTGTATTTTATGATATCTTAACTTTCAAAGGCTCAAGTATATTGATAGCCAATATATTGCTGCTTCTAAAGAGAGAAAAAACGGCAAATAGTTCACATAAAAATATTCCTTACCAGAACTTTTGGGGTGGGTGGAAGGCCATTGATGGCTGGTTTCTATGGGAAAAATAAAATTTACTAGTGTAAGACCTCCTAAGTCTTAAAAAGAAACTTGAGACATTTAGAACTTCTGTTACTTGAATTACTGAATTAAACAGACTATGCCCCTTGCATGATAAATATAGTATTATTTACAACTAATTGCTAAATGCCTGTTATACCTACAGGGAAGTCTCGTTTGTCCTTTTTTCGTGGTAACTGTGGTGCTTGTGCTGATCCTTCTGTATTTTCACTCATCAGTTTTGAAATACCATCACCATTTCCTAAAGAGAATCATGTTAAAAGTTGAATGACCACACAAATAAGCACTTTCCTTGAAAAATTATTTCCCCTTTCTCCCACTATTTGTCTTTCACTTGGGTGATCCTTTATTGGGGAATATTCTCTACTCTCAGGTAAGTTATCTTTGGTGTCTTTCTCTAGATTCTATAGAGGTAGCATTGCATCTTTAGCAGTGGTCTTAATCCATGTTTTTCCGTATCATGAAGAAAAAAAATCTGACCTACTGACTCTGATATGCAAGGCTTTTTATAATTGAACTTCAATCCACCTTTTCAGTTGTATCTTCCAGTATATACCCTTTAAAAGCTCACATTTCTATTATAATAGACTGCATAATTCAGATTTCCCAGCTTCAGTGCATTTCATCTACCTACTGAAGGCTCACCAAGCCCTTTAACATCCTGCAAGAAGGACCAGGTACGGTCACTCATGCCTGTAATTCCAGCACTTTGGGAGGCTGGGGCAGGCGGATCACTTGAGCCCAGGGGTCTGAGATTAGCCTGGGCAACACGGCGAAACCCCATCTCTACAGAAAAAAAAAATCCTGCAAGAGCTTAGTTTCCTTATTCCCCATCTTTATCTCCCTCAGAAATCTCTGGTCTTCTGTTACATCCAGGTAATTATTTCAGAAGACACATACATAAACTGTCTTTCCTAATGTTATGTGTATGTGGGTATACCTTCTGCTGTAGACCCTGAAGTTCTGGGGGCAGAAACATGCATTCACCCTTCTAGATCCTATAATAAATATTTAGTAAGGATTCAAATTAGGATTGAAGTGAACTGAAATCTATTTATAGCCCATCCATGCAGAATTAAAGAGCCTTTACAAAGCTTTAAGCTATAATAGGATTGACTAAATAAAAAAGATATTTTTTGAAATAGGAACAAATGACTCTCATTTCAGTTTTCACTTTGATTTATTCACCCAGATAACAATATCTAGCCATATGTACCCCATGGCTGCTAATAATGCTAGCCATACCAATAGAAGAAGTCTCTGCCACAGGCCCACAACTTGGGCTACTCTGTCTTCTGAGAATTTGGGGAGCTCTGCTTTCTGAATCAGGACAATGTTTTATGGTTGATGCTTTTTCTTCATCCGGAAAGTTGTCTTCAGGGTAACTGCTTATCCTTGGCTAGTGGTACAAAGACAAAAAAGTACTTTAACAGTTATCATTAGGCATCAGAGTCTTTAGGGAAAGGGAAATGCACCTTTTTTCATTCTTCTATACAGTTCAATTCACTGGGCTAAGTGAGCAAAGTAAGAGGTGAGTTACTGCCCAACACAACTATCAACTTGCCATGTGATTTTTAATCAGCCTTAAAACTGATAAAATTTTTATAACTAATATAATTATATAAAAATCCACAAAACAACTAGAAACAATCAAGAAAAATGACTCCACTAATATGTCAAATTGTAGTCATAAGAATGATAAATGATGAACTGTTTCCCCTCCATGTAGTCAAATATTTTCTTCAATAAGCAATAACCTGTTTTTGCCTTTTTCTTTCTTTCTTTTTTTACTGAGATGGAGTCTCGCTCTGTCACCCAGGCTGGAGTGCAGTGGCACGATCTCAGCTCACTGCAACCTCCACCTCCTGGGTTCAAGCGATTCTCATGCCTCAGCTTCCCAAGTAGCTGGGATTACAAGCATACGCCACCATGCCCAGCTAATTTTTGTATTTTTAGTAGAGAGGGTTTCACCACTTGGCCAGGCTGGTCTCAAACTCCTGATCTGAAGTGATCCACTTGCCTTTGTCTCCCGAAGTGCTGGGATTATATGCGTGAGCCACCAACCACGCCTGGCCGCCTTTTTCTAATAGCTATTAAAAATATTGTATTCCTCATGAAATCTTCTTTACTATATATTTTACACCATCATACACTTCTTTTGAAGAAAACTCTATTCATCTAAAATACATTTAAGAAAATTTTGAAAAAACTCAAAATTATTTTAAAAATTTAACTATATTATTTAAATAAGGATTTAGTGTTCAAAATCATTAAGTAGCTCACCTTAGGAGGTAGGGGAGGTGGTATTGCACGTTTTGAGGTTGATCTAATACAAAGAAGAAATGCAATTTAGATGATGATAAATGACCGTAACCGAAAACACAGATACTATTAAATATGTATTAAAATCAGTTTCTATACAGAGGATGTAAAAGACAGATCACGATGCAGAGTATAAAATCTTTAGGAAGACCTAAGACCTCACTCATATTGTCAAATTGTATGTCTATAAAATAAAGATTTTAAAAAGTGGACACAAAGTCTTATTTTACTTTTATGGTTATGCTTTGCTATATTTCTTATGTAATAAAAACTAAGTTAACTTCTTGGTTAAAAAACTGATTCAGAATTTTAGAGTTGGGACCCATAGATTCAAGTGGGTATATCATCAAACCTTTTGTTACTCAAAGTAGATCCTCAAACCAGCAGAATTGGCATCATCTGGGAACTTTTCTAAATGCACAGAATCTTCCTTTTAATAAGCTCTCCAGGTCAATAAGTTTGAGAAGCACTTATCTAGTCCACTGGTCCCACACACTTATCCACAGTCATTGCAATCAATTAGGCGGCTTTCAGGATTCTTAGATCCAGTCCCAAAGACTGTATTCTATACCAGAGGTTGGCAAACTTTTTCTATGAAGGGCCAGAGAGTAAATACTGCAGGTTTTGCAAGGCATACAGTGGTTGTAACTATGGAACTCTGCTGTTATAGTGTGAAAGCAGCCATGTACGATACATAAACTAATAAGCATAGTTATATTCTAACAAACTTATTTATGACACTGAAATTTGAATTTCATGTAATTTTCATGTGTAATAAAATATAATTATTCTTTTGATTTCTTTTCAACCATTAAAAATGTATTTACTATTCTTAGTTTGTGGGCTGCCATAGTTTGTTAACTCCAAATGTATAGGCCTAATGTGGGAACCTAGGAATCTGCATTTCTAAAGAGCTCTGTAGGCAATTGCAGTACACAGACAGGTTAGGAACAACTCATGAAGGCCAGCCCCCTCACTTAATTGTAGAGGTAACTATATTGGAGAGATGAACTGGGGCTTTTTAACTCTGTTACAGTATTTTTTCCCATGACATCATGTGACTCACCTTTCAGTATATTATCATTACATAGCATATTCTGATTAAAAACAAAAACAAATAAAAAACCTTAATGATCAATACATGATGCTTTTTGGTAAAACTCAAAAGCTTTACCTTCATTAATGGCATAACTTTTTCAAGAATGCAAATTAAAGCTTATTAGAATAAATCACATGCCCCATACTGTTCTTATGTAATCAAATAAAATATAGTTATTAAATTAGAAAACAACTTACTTGCCAGTATTTGCACCATCAACAAAAGGATTCCACTGTAACATGAAATTTGGGTCTGATGACAATCCCTGTAAAGATAAAAATATAGTTTAAAATGTTACTTTGTAACAGGTATTAACCATTTTATTTGATTCAAGAAAACATTCCAGTGTCATGATTATTAATCATCTTGGCATTCAATCAATTTTTTAATCTCTAGCTAGATTTGCTTTGTCATTTGACATATTTAGGTCAATGACTCATTATCAGTCGACCTGAACTTAAGAAATTCCATAAACATACTAAAGGTAGCTTCAAATGTGACAAACCTTCTTTATCAGTATGTGAGCATATTCCAAAGCAAACAATAAAAGAAAACAACTGAATTATCTACATCATCACTCCATTAGCATGGAAAACTAAATATCATATTACTAAACTGTCATGAATTTACTGGTGCTACTACTTTTCCCTCTTAGCATGGAAACTGGGGTTTTATCATACAGCAACATATTTACAGTAAGAAGAGCACTACTTCCAAACATTAAGGATGAACTCAATAGGCTAGGTTAGGCTAACTCTAATAATATCTTGCTTCATTACTTTTTTCTTTTTATTTATTTATTTATTTTTGAAATGGAGTCTCACACTCTGTCGCCCAGGCTGGATGGAGTGCAGTAGCTTGATCTTGGCTCACTGCAACCTCCACCTCCTGGGTTCAAGCAATTCTCCCTGCCTCAGCCTCCTGAGGAGCTGGGTTTATAGGCACATGCCACCACGCCTGGCTGATTTTTGTATTTTTAGTAAAGACAGGGTTCTGCCATGTTGGCCAGGCTGGTCTGGAACTCCTGACCTCAGGTGATCTGTCTGCCTCAGCCTCCCATAGTACTGAGATTACAGGAGTTGGCCACTGGGCCCGGCCACTTTTTTCATTTTAGATAAGGAAAGAGGTAACTAGATAGTAAATTCAAAATAGCAGCAATGGTTAAAAAAGAAACTATATTAACAAATAAAATATATTTAAAAAATAGTAAGGCAATACAGAATGTAGAATTTACTATAAAACAAACAGAATCAGTTAAAAAAAAAAAGGTCCTAAGAGCTTAAAGCTGAGAATCAAATTCTGCGTATTTAATAACATCATGTAAAACCTTCAAAAGACTAAGGAGGTTAAAATGAATGATTGAAATAGTGTATTACATCGTACTCTAGTAAAAATAAAACTAACTATAAACTTTTAAAAACTTTAATACGGGAAAAATTGTCAAAATTAATGCTTAAAAGAGTATATTACTTTGTTTTCTAATCAAAGTACAACTAACAAAAAAAAAGTTTTCTCAAATCTTAATGTGAAAATAATGCTTTAAAAATGAATTCTTACCATTTCATCTCGTGCTTCTGTTTCTTTTCTCAGAGGAGGTTCAAATTGTAATTTGTCAACTGCAAAATATATAACAGGTATGTACAAACTCAGCATCTCAAAGGGTTGATCTCAGAAATGTAATGACAAGTTTGTATATGGGGTGGGGGAGGGAGAAAGAAGAGGGGAAAGAAGACAAAAAATATGTTATTTTTTGACTACAAGAGTACCCCTTTGTTATGCTTACCAAAAGTAAATAACAAAGTGGGATCTTCCTAACATCTCTACTTAATTCTTGTTTGGAATCAGGAAATTAAACAGTTCTTTTTGTATAAAAGAGATTTTTAAAAATTCATCAAAAATAAATGACTAAGTAAAAACTTTAAGAATTTTCTCTATGCTGTAGACTCTGTTTTGAGACGGTTTAAGCTACAGCTTCATGGCAGAGATGAACTAAGAAAAACTACCTAAAAATTATCTAAAAAGAACAAATGACTTCTGTTCAATTAAATGTCACAATGGCATTCAGGAATCTGATATATTTTGCTAAATATGTATTTTATTTGGCCTAGTCATACTGACTTCAGAGTTATTCAAAATATTCAAAGAGTAACTTCTTTTCTATAAAATATTCTAAAACATAGAAAAGGAGGGTTTATTACTTCCTCATAAAGTATTTAAAATTTAAAAATTCTAAAATCTAATGTGATTAAAAGCCCCCCAAATTTTTTTAAACACTCATACTTGCATCATAGAGATGCAAAATTCCTAAATACAATCTTAGGAAACAAAATATTTTTAAAAAGCGCTTTCAAATAGGATCCAGTTGTCCTTATTCCTAAAAACAAGATTTGTAAAAAGCAAACACAAAGTACTGACATAATTCATCACATTAAACAAAAACAGTATGTCATAAATTTTTCAATAAAAGTTTAGAAGACATTCCATAAAATACAGTATCTACTTTAAAAAATAATCTAAAATAAAAAGTCCTGGGACATTAATGACTTAACGTAATTAAAAAACATCTGAATTCAAGAACTACTACTATTCATAAAGAACCTCTTTAGTCTTTTGAAACAGAGATGAGCTAAAGTTTGTTTTTGTGACAACCAGAAACACTGGCAAGCAGGTCTAGAGCTGCATTTCACATTACATAAAATGTGAAAATAATATATTACTTTTTTGTTGTTGTTGTTGTTGTTGAGATGGAGTCTCACACTCTGTCGCCCAGGCTGGAGTGCAGTGGCGCAATCTCAGCTCACTATAACCTCCGCCTCCAGAGTTCAAGCTATTCTCTTGCCTCAGCCTCCCGAGTAGCTGGGACTACAGGTGCCCGCCACCACGCCTGGCTAATTCTTCCATTTTCAGTAGAGATGGGGTTTCACCATCTCATGAGGTTTCCTGACATCAGGAGTTCCTGACCCCAGGTGATCTGCCCACCTAAGCCTCCCAAGGTGCTGGGATTACAGGTGTGAGCCACCACACCTGGCCATTTTTAAATAACAGAAATTGGACTTACCCTTCTGTATAAACAGCTATCTACATGTAAACATATATATGTCTGCATGTTTGTGTGTGTACAAACTAAAGCAACTGTTTGGAGGCAATGCACCACAGACACCGTAAGTCTGTGATTCTTAAAAGAAGGAAAATACATGGTGGTAAGAGCCATATTTACCCTGACTTTCTGCCTGGGGGCACTTTCCAAACTAGGACACAAGAAAATGGAGCCCACAGAGAAAGTAACAGTCTCAACAGGTGAACGGAACAAGGATTTGAATTTAGCGCTGCTTAGGTAGAGGGCACAGTCCCAAAAATAAGCTGTATGAAGGATGAACTCCAAAAATATGCAAAGAAGTTTTCTTAAGTCTTTGGCTGAATACTAAGGGCAAAGCAAGAGTATGCAAGTTATCTCAGAAAACAGCTAACAGAGCGCTGTGAGCTTCTGGAAATCCCACAGTACCAGGAAAAATTTGGCTTTCTACCTGAGGAAAGACCTTGCTGAATACTCTACTAAAACCTGACACAAGCCTTGAAAGGATTAAGTAGACATACCAGGTAATTAACTCTTTAAAGAAAGAGGATAAAATCCAGATGCTCAACATTGTATTACATTGTCCAAGATACAATAAAAAAGACAACCAAAGAAGCTAGAAAATAGGAACCATAACCAGTTGAAAACAAATTAGTAAAACCAGACCCAGAGGTGACACAGATGTTAAAATCAGCAGACAAGAATTTCAAAACAGCTATAAATATGTTCAAGGATTTAAGAGAAAAGATAGACACAGTAAGTGAGCAGATGGAATAGCTCAGTAGAAAAACAGAAATTATATATATGGATGTGTGTGTATATACAGGTATAGTACATATATGACTGAAAGTCTAGATCCAAAAAATGCTTGCCTGAAATGAAATTCACTGAACAGTAGACTCAATACTGTAAAAAAGATCAATAAGCTTCAAGTCACGGCAACAGAAACAAAACTGAAGTACAGTGAAGAAAAAAAAAAACTTACGTGTGGATACATGAAGAAGAGTGTAGTGGGAGTACAAAGCCTCCACGACCTGTAGACAACATTCAGTGTTCTTACGTATATAACTGGAGTCCCAGAAGCAGAGGAGAGAGACTGGGGCAGAAATTTTGAATAAATAGTGGCCAAGCATTTTCCAAATTTGATGAAAAATATTAACCTACAGATCTAAGAGGCTCAATCAGCCCAAGATAGAATACAAAGAAAAAATGCAGACACATCACAAATTGCTTAAAAACAAAACAAAACCCACAAAAGTTTCATACTGCAGTACCTCATATCTTTTTTTAAAAACTGAGTTGATGTCATGAATTGGGTTATAATTGGCAGCTTTAAAAAATACTCATGTAGAAGAACTTACAGATATGTTACAGGTTTTTTTTTTCAAAAATAGTTATTCTGTCAATATAGGCTTTTATTTGGTAATTATAGTCTATTTTTAGGATGAATATAGCTTGTCGAAAAGCCTCAACTATACCAATGGTTAAAAAAAAACAAAACGTGTCTTGAGTTTGCGCTTCCTACTTGGGAAATCTGTGATTACTTCTCTGGAGACAGAAACACTTACCTCCCTAGAACTGTTACTAAAGAGATTTGTAAGACAATATAGATGCTTCCTAACTGACAAAGGCTTGACTTACAAGTTTTCTGACTTTCTCGTGGTACAAAAGTGATATGCATTCAGTAGAAACTGTACTTTGAATTTTGATCTTTTCCCAGTCTAGGGATATACGGTATGATACTCTCTTGAGATGCTGGACAGCGACAGCAAGCCGCAGCTCCCAGTCAGCTACCCTAACATTAAGTATTCTGAGCGTGTTTAAGCTGGCTGGGCTAAGTTATGATGTTTGGTAGGTTAGGTATATTAAATGTTTTTTTGACTTATGATATTTTCAACTTAAATGGGTTTATTAGGATGTAACCCCATCATAAATCGGGGAGCATCTGTACCTCTCACTCAAAATCTCTATTGCCTTTATCACTCTTAGCCTTCAGGTAAGATAAAAAGGACAAATAGAAATCTCAAACTGAAGTTGGTTAAACTTTCAGAAATCCTGAGACTTCCTTAGCCTAAAGGGTTTTTTGTTGTTGTTTTTCTCTTTTGCCTGAATGACAAGTGACGGCAGTTCCCCTGGAGCTCATTAACTCTATGAACCAAAATCTGGGCATCCTATACATCTGGGAATACTGCCATCATCTCAAGTTACTATGTTTATTACATTTCCAGTTATTAACTGTAACTCAGAGTACACACAGTTTTCCATTCAAACAGGTCCAGGAAGCATTTCCTCTGAAACAACCTTTATATTAAAATTCAGAGACTGTCTTCTGGAAAACTGCCCTCTAAACTCAATAAATAGAATTTTGCCAGGTGCTGTTAATAACTAATGCAACAGTAAAATAGGGTGTTGATCCCTGTATTCATGTCTCTCAAACATAGAGACATACGCCAATCTTAAATTGCTGGAAGACTGTCCCAGCAGGACACCTCAAAAAGAGGTGACAAGGAATCCTTCTGAAGCAGATGACTACAAAAAGAAGAGGGCTTCCACCCAAGTCAGTTGGACCAAACTGATAACTACATGAAAAGTCTGCCCAAGACCCATGGAAAGATAACTGGAGCCACTGGTTGTTTTACTTTAACCTGCAACAACAGTACTTTATTTCTTAGTCACATTTCCCCCCACTTTTTGCTAGCTGGAGGTTTTGGACTGTTGACAGATGCTTGTTACTTCTTTATGATGATACCTGTAGAGTCCCTATTCTTACTATTGCCCTTTGCAGCCTTAGTCAGTCTGGAGAATGAGTCTAACACCTGGCTGAAATTTACTTGTGAGTCAGCTAAAACTATACAATTAAACTAACTGTTAGGCTTATACTCTTCGTGAATACCTCCTACCTTCCCTTGGTGCCAATTCCTTGTAATCAGCTGGTTTCCTAGGTAACGACTCAACCACCAATACACTCTTCAGATGACAAACCAAAAAAAAAAAAAGAAAAAAAATTAGGTAATTTAGCTAATACAGTCATATCTGAATCAGACTGAGAAAGTAGGAAATCTGTCTTGCCATTCATAAAGCTGAAAGGACAGACACAAATCCAAATGCAAAGTCAACAAGAAACAATGTTTCTCCCAAGGATACTTTGTACATGTAAAGTTTCATATAATGACCCCCTCTGAGTTATTCTGCTTTCTAACTGAGAAATGTCTCTCTCTCTAAAATCACTGACTGCCAGAAACATTGCTACATGAAATCACATTTAGAATGAATCATCCTATTCTTGCCTGGACTAAATCACTGACACAGAGAAACAGACTCAATTTCCAGTCCAGATGCAGAGCTTCAAATAAAGGCATTTCTGAACACAACACTTCAAAAAGTTTCCAAGGAAACATACTCCCGGGTTTACTTTAACAGCGGAGACCTGATGTTCACCCTTTCAGATACATCCCTACTTTGCATTAAGTCATCATTTAAAATTCACCTGAACTCTACTCTTTCCAAAATCCTGTATTTCTTTTCCCTTGTTTGATGAAATCTTGAATGGTTTGGTTCCTCTGGTGTGTGTTCTCTCTCACTGCAGGGAGTCAGTAAACCTGACTTTGTTGGACTACACATTTGCCCCTGGTGGTCTTAGACTGATTGGGTGTGATTCATAATAATCATTTATGTCCACTAAAAATACACTGTAAAAATGCTTACAGTAGTCATAATAGCCCAAAACCAGAAATAAATCAAATGCTCATCAACAGAAGAATGGATAAATTGTGGTATGGTCATACAATGGAATACTACAGTGTAGTGAAAACTGAACTATTACTACACATGACTCTAACAGACATAAAGTTGAGTAAAAGAAGCCAGGAACAAAAGTTGCTTTTTGTATAATTCCATTTACCTGAAGGTCAAGATCAGGTAAAAGCCAGTTTATGTGACAGAGATCAGAATAGTAATTCGCCTGGGCGGAGAGAGGGCAGGCGAGTATAGAATTTAAGAAAACTGATTGTGAAGGCTCTCGTGAGGGAACCTTCTGAGATTCTGATCATGTTCTAACTCATATTTTTAGCTGGGTGGTAGTTATATGAGTGTATATATTTAAAAATTTACCCTGGAGTATTCGTAAGATTTGAGCATTTTACTGTATGTAAGCTACCACTTCAATTTAAAACACTGAAACAAAAAACAGAGTAGAAATAAATAGTATAAAATCTATCAAACCAACAAAAGCAAAGTGGTAAAACATTCCTGATAAATACAAAAGAAGTTTCACAAAAATTTAAAGACAAGTCATTAATAAAGTGACCTTCTACTCTACCGCTTTGTCTGGTGCTTTAAGCAACCAGAACTTACTCTATGAGGATATTAGTATTTTGGGCTAATATTATGGAATATAAAAGAACTAAATCTTATCTCTGAAGAAGCCTATTTTGATTAAGAAGACTGAATATCATAAATATGTCAACTCTCCCAAAGTAATAAGATCTGTGTAAAAACAATGAATTTTTCTGTTTTTTTTTAACCACATAAGCTGATTCTTAAGTTTATGTGGGGAAGAAGGCACAATAGCCAAATGTCATAATGAAAAAGAAGTGTGACAAGGTACATATGTGTGTGTTGTGGGGAGGGGCAGAGAGTAGGAGTAGGATTAGTTCTAACAGATATTATCAAGATATAATAATCAAAAGTATGCTACTGGCACAAAAACAGACATGCAACAGAATAGAATTTCCAGAATAGAATAGAATTTCCAGAAACAACCCTAAAATATCTATGCCAATTCGGTATATAATAAAGATGGCATATCAAATCCATGAGTAGAAAGATTGCATTTTCAATAAATAATGAAACAAATGAGTAGTCATCTAGAAAGAAACTCAAGTTGAATCCATACTTCTTACCTTCTACCAAATAATGTATATCAGGTTTTTAAATATTAAAAAAAGAAACTAAAAACACAAGAAGAAACAATAGGAAAATTATTTGATAACTCTGGAATCGAGAAAGCCTTCTAAATATGACACAAAACCCAAAACTATACGAGAAAAGATAGATAAAATAGACTACATTAATGGAATACTACAGAACTGCATAAAATAAAGAATATGATGTTACAATGGAATATCAACTTTGTTACTTTTCTCTTTAGTATTGGAGGCCCACAGACTTCACCTCAGATTATAAAAGGAGAGAACAGCATAAGAAGATATCATCAATCTAGGCACTAACAAAGACACTAAATCTTGAATTACTGGCTTAATTATGAAAAGGCCTGATTGAAACAACTGAGAAGGGAAAGATACTCTAACTCTCTAGTGACTAAGAGTTTTAAAGCTATGTCCAGAAAGCTAGAAATGTTTGGGTTTATGAAAACTCAGACTTAAACAAAATGCACACTGGCAATCATTCTAATTAGCTCAAATATTTAATGAATTATTTTCCTCTAGTATGGTTTACAATTTTATTTGATTTTGTTAGTCATAAACCTTATTTTAATATAAACTACTTTAAATCTCTCAGAACAAGTATTCATTTAAGGCAATAAACCAGAGAACTAAAACGTCTTTACGAATCTGTAGTTCTAAATTAATTTAGCTAAGGTGACAAATATTGATAGAAAATTTTCATCTGTCAATGATTATTAAATTAAAAACTAATCTCGCTTTTGAAATATTTCCTTTAGAAAGATTCATCTTAGTGCTAATCTGATTTTTAAAACCTGAAACCAACCCAAATGTACAGTGAGAGTAAACTGGCTAACTACAATATATCAATTAATGAAACAGAATGCAATCGCTAAACAGAATGGTTATAAAGTCTATACTAATATATGGAAATTAATTCTATTGTTAAGTGAAATTTTATGCATAGCATAAATTCAGCCATGTAAAAATACACATGGAAAATGAAAGAAATGTGGCAAAATATTAACTATGGGTTGGCTCTGGGTGATGTGATTGCATGCAATGTTAATTTTCTCTTTTTTTTCTTGCAGATTTTCAGCAATGGGCATGATTTTGTCCATAACTGGAAAATAAAAATTATTCAGAAATTACAAACCAAGGGAATTCCATCGAAACCAGAAAAGCAACCCCTATTTTAAAAGTATTCTGATATGTTGAAGTATGTAGCCTTAGTCTGAAATTTTATTATTCTACAAAACATACAAGAACACGCAGCACAACCCTCCAAAACCACCAATGGAAAATGTAAACCAAACACATACAATTTATTTCTGAAGCTGTCCGTTCAGCTCTGGCATTCCTGTTTGTAGATCTAATGGTATGACGAATGATTGCATGGGGCTGTGAATATAAGCATAATATATATACTTTAACAAATTTCAATGAGAAAGTTAAAAGGTCAAACTTTCTTATCATTTATTGATAAATATGAATATCTACTAGTAAATTATAGGATAAACATAAAACAAATACAATGAACGCTACAATACTTCGGAAGTTTTTTCACTTGTTCCATGTTTATACTGTATAAAATACTGAAGAGATTCAAAGACAGACACAAATCCTGTCCTCAAAGAGCTTACAGTCTAGGAAGATAAGACACACAAATACAGATAAGAAAATGGCAAGTGCCTTTCATTAACAGGATAAATGGACTACTATTAAAGCCCAGTGAAGGGAGAAATGACTTTGACCTGAAGGGGTATAGTTCTTCATGAAAGCTGTAATCTCATCTGGGGCTCTGAAGTACCAGTATGTACTGAATATGCAGCAATGTGGGAAAAGCATTTTAGACAGCAGAAAGAATAAGAACAAAGTGATGTAAGAAATAACAGGAAATTGTGGAGTGTTTGTAGGCAGTGGGGGTTGATTATTATTTGTTTGCAGTGAAGATTAGGTGATGAGATGACAAAGATGGAAAGACAGACCATGAGGGTGAGCCCAATCGACAAAGGCTCTGAATGTCAGCCTGGGGCTCTTCACCTCAGTTTCTTGGCAAAAGGAATTTTTTGGAGACTTTACAGCAAGGAAGTGGCATTGCCAATGTCAGCTTTAAGAGTTATCTATTAAATATGTATGAGACTATGGAGGGGAGAAATATTGGATACAGGGAGATTGAGTAAGAATATTGTAGTAAGCCAAGTGAGAAGCATAATACTTCTACCCACCACGCAGAACCTCCTGCCCCTTAGGCCTTCAGCTCAACCCCTATTTACCAAATTTCTGATGACTCACTGTCATTCACTGATGACTCTCAAAGTGGCTCATTTGTTCGCCCCTTACTTCAATACCCACCAAAACACCAAATAAATTCAAAGCCCCAGGAGGATCCATTGTTCTAGACTTATTTTCTGACCCCATCTTTAAAGACACTCTCATATATTTCAATGTACTCTCAACTCCTAAAAATCACATCTTGGACCCTGTCATCAACTCTAACACATGAATTTCCTCTATATTACAAATCTCTGATCTTTTGAGCTTACTCTCTCACTCCCATAACACTTGTTCAATGTTCCCATTGGAATATCAAGTCCATTGATTCATTATTTTCTCACTCTCCATCAACATCTCTCCTTATCCAGTTTATGTCTGGTAGCACATAATTTCAAGTAATTTCTTGCAAAAATTCTAAATTCCCTTTGCCCCACTGTCTTTTAGTACACTGGGACAGCAAAATGCCAATCCTGGATAAACTCAACTGGTTACCTTTGCGTTTACACATCTGGGGTATCAATCATGCTGGAGGAAAATTACACAGCAGAACACACTGAAAATTCATCTAATCTGAGCTCCGACTTTGCCCACAAACACTTCTCTAGTCATCTAACCCTCCATTCCCCTCAATTACTATTCTGTACCTTCTTCACATTCTTCAAACCTACCCATTTTCCTTCATCCGTACAGATGACCTCACCACTTACTTCACAGAGAAAATAGAAATCACCAGCTACACTGCATTATCAACCATCCCTTTCTCTAATGGAAGAGCAGTGTTGCTTCTCCCTGCTTCCTTCTCATGGACTCTGCCTTTCCATCTTGCTTCCCTTGACTCTTCTATCTATTTTGGACAGTATTCATGAGCATTTAATACTGTTCAAGCAATGCCCCCCACCACACACACAAAAAAATCCTTCTCCAGCTTATTCTCTTCCAGCTACTGCTCTATCCTATCCCTCCCTTCACAACTCAATTTCATAAATGAATTGCAATACATATCTTTCAAATCACTCAATCTAGCTCCCCCTCCTCTATTAGAAAATTATCTCTGTTAAACTCATCAAACACTAACCACCTAAAGCCAAAACTAGTTTAACTTAATTTCTATGTTCTCATTGAAACTCTCCTTTCTTCTTTCAATGTTCCTTATCAATCTCCTTTGCTATTGCTCTTTGCCTACTTGATCCTTAAATTTTGGGAGAAATGTCAGGTTTTGTGCTAGGCTCTCTTCTCATTCTACATGCTTCCCTTGGGTGATCGATCACATTTACTCCTAAGGCATCAACTACATGTGTATCTAATCACTCTCAAATTTATATTTTTATTATTTTATTTACTTTTATTTATTTTTTTGAGACAGGGTCTTGCTCTGTCACCCAGGCTGGAGTGCAGTGGCACAATCATGGCTCACTGCAGCCTTGACCTCTTGCATTAAAGTGATCTTCCCACCTTGGTCTCCCAGGTAGTTGGGACTACAGGAACCCACCACCAAGCCTTGCTAATTTTAAAACATTTTTTGTAGAGGCAGGGTCTCACTGTGTTGCCCAGGTTGGTCTCCAACTCCTTGGCTGAAGTGATCCTCCCACCTTGGCCCATCCTAAACTACTGGGATTACAGGCATTAGCCATCATACCTAGCCTCAAACCTGTATTTTTAGTCCAAACTTTTCTCTCCAAGCTACAATGACATATCTAGCTCCTTACTAGACTTTTCCATTTGGAAGTTCTATGCAACATCTTCTTCAGTATAAAACTTAACTCATCTTTCTTTCCAAACCTGATTTTACCATAGTGTTCCTATCTTAGTAAATAGTAAATATATCCATCCAACTGCTCAAGTCAAAATCTGGTAGTAATTCTCTTCTTATTCCTTACCTTCATGTCTTCATCCAATCATTAACTCTCTAATTCTTAAATTAATACACTTTTCTCCATCCTTGCTCTACCATCCTAGTTTACCATTATTTTTATCTTGTATAATTTCAACAGTCTTTTAACAGGTTTTCAGTAATGAACTCACCATTCTGAAGTCACTGAGATCTTTAAAAAATGCACATTTTGATTATGTCACTCCCTTACCCTTTAATGGCTTTCTACTACCCTTAGACTAAAGCCCAACATTTTAAATACAGTTTGATAGACAGTATCTAGCTCTGTATCGTTATCTTCTACCACTTCCTTCTTCCTTGTTTTCTGCCCTAGTCAGACTGACTTTTCTTTCTTTCTCTTTTTTTTTTTTTCCTGAGACAGGGTCTCATTCTGTCACCCAGGTTGGAGTGCAGTGGCGCGATCTTGGCTCACTGTAACCTTTGCTTCCCAGACTCAAGCGATTTTCCAGACTCAGCCTCCTGAGTAGCTGGGACTACAGGCGTGTGCCACCATGCCCAGCTAATTTTTTGGTATTTTCTGTAGAAATGGGGTTTCGCTACGTTGCCCAGGGTGGTCTTGAACTCCTGAATTCAAAGTGATCCAGCCGCCTCAGCCTCCCACAGTGCTGAGATTACAGACAGCCACTGTGTCCAACCCAGACTGACTTTTCTTTAGTTCCTTATGTACACTGCCTTTTCCCTTATCACTAGGCTTTCAAACATGTTATTAACACCTCTGCTCAGGCCACTTACATTTATTCTCTTCCTCTAATTCTGATTTATCCTTCAGGTTTTCAGCTTAAATGTCACTTCTACAGTAGTGAGTTTTTTCCAGTCCCTATGATATCCCTCCATAGCACCTTTTACCTCCCATTCCATCACATGTGTAAATTATTCGTTGGTACTTCTGAATTTCCTTTGAGACTATACTATGAGCGTTATAAAAGCAGGGATAATGTTAGTCTCATATACCATTGTGCCCCCCCAACTGCCTGGCACGTGGTTTTGCATTTCGAGAACTGAAAAGTATGGTGACATCATTAAACAGAAATAGAGAATTCAGAAAGTAGAGTGGATTTGGGAAGCCCAGCAAAACGAGATAAAAAATAAGAGGTGTCTGGTTATTTACATAACTAGTGAAAGGCAAATTGGAGAATAGAGTAATATCTAATTCTACATTTATGCAAGAATAACTTTACTAAGTTTTGGATCTTTAAACAATTAAAATATTTACTAATCCCAAGTTGCAAACAGTGGTTCAAGTAGAAAACAATTTTGTTTGGCTGGTTTATTTAATATTTCCACTTCAAGTTCATTTAACGTTCAACTAAATATTCACTGGGTACTCATGACATGACAGGATTATGCTATATACCAGGCAATGGGGAAATAAAGACTGGAGTTTAAAGATTGTTCAATGACTATTTCTATTAAATACATACATAGATATGATGGTGTATTAACTAAGAGAGTAGGCTCTGGAGTTTGCCTGGATCTAAATCCTGGTTCCATTTCCTATTGGCCATATGATGCTGGGCAAATTACTTTCATTTTTTGTCCCTCGTTTCCTCATTTATAAAACAGTATAAAGGACTGTTTTGATATTAGATGAGTTAACATAGAAATTATTTGGCCTAATACTTGGCATACATTGAGTACCCAATGAGTGCTAGTAGTTACTATAATATTTATTTATTTATTTAAAGACAAAGTCTCACTCTGTTGCTGGGGTTGGAGTGCAGTGGCACAATCTCAGCTCACTGCAACCTCTGCCTCCTGGGTTCAAGAGATCCTCCTGCCTCAGCCTCCCAAGTAGCTGGGACTACAGGCGCCTGCCATCACATCCAGCTAATTTTTGTATTTTTTTCAAGTAGAGACAGGGTATCACCATGTTGGCCAGCTGGTCTTGAACTCCTGAACTCAAGTGACCTGCCCATCTTGGCCTCCCAAAGTGCTGGGATTACAGGTGTGAGCCACCGTGTCTGGCACACAGTATGATATTTATAGGAAATAATTTAAAGCTGAAAAACAGGAAATAGAAAATTCCCTTTAGTGAAGGTAGAGATAAAAGGGAAATAAAATAAATAAATAAATAAATAAAGGACATGAAGAGACAAATTCAGAAAAACTTAGAAATAAAATGGAATCATAAAAGGAGAAGAAGGAACATAAGGAGAGAAAGAGACTGGTGAAAAAATATAGCTGTGCTATAGTCATAAATAGATACCTGTCAATGAAGAGGAAGTCTCTCATTCCTGATTTCCTGACAAATTGTGTTGTTATAGAAAATACATTACAGGCCAAGCATGGTGGCTCACGCCTGTAATCCCAACACTTTGGGAGGCTGAGGCAGGTGGATCATGATGTCAAGAGATCAAGACAATCCTGGCCAACTTAGTGAAACCCTGTCTCTACTAAAAATACAAAAATTAGCCGAGCGTGGTAGCAGGTACCTGCAGTCCCAGCTACTCAGGAGGCTGAGGCAGGAGAATCACTTGAACCCAGGAAGTGGAGGTTGCAGTGAGCCAAGATTGTGTTACTGCACTCCAACCTGGCGACAGAGCGAGACTCCATCTCAAAAAAAAAAAAAGAAAATACATTAAAAATAATTCTATAATGTTTTCAGAGAAGGCAAGCACAGTTATGAATAGCCCTACAACTAATTATATAAGAAATAATAGTTTTGAAATACTGAAAAGGATAACATTTTCCAACAGGAACTTCAGCTTCATTCTTTAAAATTATTTGTATTTTGTTAATACAAATTCAACTACAAAAATGCGCAGCTGGATTTCGAAGAAGTCCTTTTCATGAAAAATAATATGCATATGTGTTGTGGCTACACTTTTGTTTTCTTGGTTGAAAGCAAGGCTCTTAAAACCTTTATTTCCTTGGAAACAGATGTTCTTTATATATATCCCACAGAATGATCAAACTCACTACAGAAGCTGAGGTCTAGAGATAAGGGCAATCACTAAAAGGGAAAGCACCTCTGCATTTCTGCAGAGGGACCCCTGATTTCAATCTCAGCTACCAAAACTTCAGGCTAACCAAACTAAGAACATAAAAAGAGACAGTGTTAAGAACTAATCCTAGTTCTAAGGAGAACTAGGATAAAAAAAGTATCAACTGGTTATACCACAATAAAAAAGTATCAACTGATAATTATGTGCAGGAAAAGTGTAGTTTACATTATTAATCTCTGTAGCTAAACCTGTTTTAACTAAGTTAAAAGATAGACTCAGAAAACAAAGAAAAAAAAGCAAACTTTAAGGCCTTATAAAACATTTATTTTCAACTATGAGACTGCAAACACTTCCTTACCTCAAAGTCATCGTCATCTGCTTCAGTGTAATGTGCGTGGTTATCTGGATTGTTCACTTTGTCTAACAGTTCAACTGCTAGGGCTCTAGAGAGACCTGGCTGTGCAACAAAAGTGTGCTAAAAGACAACAAAATGAAATTTCATGAGTATGCCTTTACATCTATGGCTTAAAGAAAATGCTATCTTCATTTTTTCATTCAGTAACTAGCAGAGACAAGTATATGGGAGTCTACTAACACAAATAAACTGTGTTAGTAAAAATATTAATCAGAGAATCCATAATTACACATTATATAAAACTGAAGAGCCTTTGTAGGGTAAATTTAGAAAGCAATTTCTTTTTGTGAAGTTATCTAATCCATATTAAGTTCTAAAATTAATATAGATTAGATATGGCTATACCAATGACATTCATTACTCATATCACTATACTGATGCAAATGAATACTGTGGTATGGTACATAATCACAATAAGAAAAAAGCATGTATATCATATATCTGCATACATTTAATTCTGTAAAATTATGTTAATTTACAAAGACATATATAATTAAATATTGGCATGTCAGTAAAGCTTCTTAGGTTGTTGTAATCACTGACTATTTCTAACATAAAAGTGTTTTATACACACACATATGCAGAGTATTCTATAAATTTACATTAGAAGACAAGAAAAGCAATTTGTTTTAGCTGACAGCAACATTTTAAAGTTTTCTCTAAGGCAGGGGTCAGCAAACTACAGCCCATGGGGAAAATCTAGTGCACTGCCTGCCTCTTTTTGTAAATATTTATTGAGTATTAAAACTATACCCACATATATACACTGTTTATGGCTGCTTCTGGGCTATAATGGCAGAACTCAGTAGTTGTGGCAGAGGCTGTATGGCCCACAAAGTTTAAAATATTTACTATGTGACCCGCCTATAGAAAATTTGCTGGTCAGGCATGGTGGCTCATGCCTGTAATCCCAGCACTTTGGGAGGCTGAGGCGGGTGGATCATTTGAGGTCAGGAGTTCAAGACCAGCTTGGCCAACACGGTGAAACCCTGTCTCTACTAAAAATACAAAAATTAGCCAGGTGGTAGTGGCACGCGCCTGTAATCCCAGCTACATGGGAGGCTAAGGCAGAAGAATGGCTTGATCCCAGGGGGTGGGGGTGGAGGCTGCAGTGAGCTGAGATCATGCCACTGCACTCCAGTCTGGGTGACAGAGTGAGACCCTGTTTCCAAAAAAAAAAAAAAAAAAAAAAAAAAAAAAAAAAAAAGTTTGCTGACCCCTGCTGTAAGAGATCACTAACATTTTTATCTTAAAAACATAAATACTTTTGTTCTACTGATATGTCTAATTTATGACTATAGGAAGACCCCTCGTAATTTCAATGACTTACAGTCAGAAGTCTTTCAGCAGTTGGTCTTTTTTTTGGGTTTTTGGTTAGTGCTATTTTGACAAAATTATGGAATGTTGATGACCTTAAAATAAAAAGAGACGTACAAAAATATTTCACTACTATTACGTTTCGGTGTTAGTAAATAACATTAACTTAGGAACAGTTAGTCTAAAACACCATGATTTTTTATTGGGCCACTTAGTTAAAGTACAATATATTCCGTGGAAACATCTGTGTCAGTTTTGTCTTTCATATAAAATACAATTAAGTAACAGAACAGTAATATACAACCACAAAAATTACACTAACAATCAGAAATAGATAGGCTGTGTCATTTATATATGACCTTCTTTTCTAGGTACTACTTAGGAGTCAAAATGTCCTTTTCTCATTGCATAATTTACCTAGTATGTAAATATTGTGCTATACCAAAAGAGTTGGACGGCACGAAAGGTAGGCATGGGGTAATATAAGAGACTATTTAAATCCCAAAGAGGCTGATGAATTTCTTAGAAAAAAAGGCAAAGAGGAGGGAGCAATTTTAGCAACTAGAAGGGTTTTCTGCCACCTTCACTGATGAAGTGGGGAAAGGAAGAAGACATAAATTAAAGGTATCACATTTTGATTATTAAGAAATGACACAAAAAGGTATTTCTACCATTGCCAAGATTCCACTGGAGAGAATGGACAAGAACTAAAGGTATGAAATAACCGTATTTATCAGCAATGACAACCACCACACAGCAGTTCTCTGCAGAGAAATCACATCACTGCATCACATTTGGTGGCTTGCGATAAAGATAACATGGAGTCAGACAGTATCGGGACTGGCAAAGGTTCTCCAATGGTAATAACTGCTCTGAAATCTGACTGTGAATTTAGCATTTATAGCTAACAGTCATTCATTCCTGAATGAATATCAGTCATTCCTGCCGTAAAACCGTTCAGTTCCAGATGTCTAGGAACTTAGAGCAACAGGGAAAAGGAAGGACCCAGTGTCAATACAAAGGAATATAATTAGCAGCACAATATAAACTCCTTTCTTTCCACGGTGTGATTTGCCATTCTTTCCTGTCATCATCCCCAGAATGGCTTGAGTCCTAAATAAAACTATGCTAAGACAGACTACTGAAACATAAAGCAGTGGTTGAGAACCTGTTTGTGGGGAGGGGCCTCTTAGAACCTGAAATAAGCAATGGACTGTCTTCTCAGAAAAATGGATATACATACAGAATTTTGGGGGCTCACAGATCCTCAAAGATCTATGTAATCTAGATAAGGAATTCTAGAATTTAAGAACTCAGAAACTTATTTGCACAGCTTCTTTTATTAAATGTATGGGGAAGACATTACCAGAAAAATAATCTTTAATTTTTATTAACCAATTGATGACATCTTTTTGGACTATAAAGATAGGTAAACTGCTTTACTTTGTAAGAGAAAGAAGGGATCAAGATGAAAATAAGTAATAATCTTTTTGAGTATTACGTAAGGAAGAGAGGGAAAAACCAACAGAGATTGATTTTAAGTGTCATGTTATCTGGAAACCCTTTTCATATCACCTTCCATGAAAGTCAATGTGTAATTAATGGAAGTAAAGGAAGATAGAGCAAAAATAGATGATTCTTCAAAATCTTCATGTAATCACTTCTAATTCTTTCCTCACCACACTTCTTACCCAATCTGCCGAAGACCTAAGAAAATTATTGAGTTTTATGAGAACACTGGATTATAAAGAACACTGGGCCGGGTGAGGTGGCTCATGCCTGTAATCTCAGCACTTTGGGAGGCCGAAGTGGGCAGATTACGGGGTCAAGAGAATGAGACCATCCTGGCCAACATGGTGAAACCATCTCTACTAAAAATACAAAAATTAGCTTGGCGTGGTGGCATGTGCCTGTAGTCCCAGCTACTCGGGAGGCCGAGACAGGAGAATCACTCGAACCCAGGAGGCGGAGGATGCATTGAGCCGAGATTGCGCCACTGTACTACAGCCTGGCAACAGAGTGAGACTCCGTCTCCACAAAAAAGAAAGAAACACTGGGCTGGGCACAGTAGCTTACACCTGTAATCCCAGTACTTTGGAAGGCTGAAGTGGGAGGATCCCTTGAGGCCAGGAGTTTGAGACCAGCCTGGGCAACATAGTGAGACCCTGTCTCTATAACAAACAAACAAACAAAACTTAGCCAGTTGTGGTGGCACATCCTATAGTCCCAGCTACACAAGAGGCTGAGGAGGGAGGATCTCTTGAGCCCAGGAGTTTGAGGTTGCAGTGAGTTATGATCATGACACTGCACTCCAGCCTGGATAACACAGCAAAATCCTGTCTCAAAAAAAAAAAAAAAAAAAAAAAACTACCAGAAAATAAATCTAGATCCTTGCCATAGGTCTGCAAGCAAATCAGCTGTGTAACTTTGAGAAAACTGCTTAATGTCTATGGACTTCTGTTTAATCATCTGCAAAATATGGGAACTGAATCTATACTCCTTTCGATTGTAAAATTCTATAAAACTATATATTCTTTAACTCACCATTTTGTTTTGTCCTTTAGTTTTGGAGGCTGAAAATTACTTTTTGACATTAAGAAGAGAGCCCTGAAATAAAAATTATAGTTAAAGAACAATATCAAAATTACTACATCTAACAATTAGAAAGAATATTCTGTAATGAATTTATACAAGACTACCACATAAGTGGACAATGATGAAAACTACTATGGGATATAGAAATTAAATTTTTAATATTTTAGATAGCTTTCAAAAAATTTCTCTTGACTACAGAGAAGATTTTTAAATTTCCAACAAGTCCTTATTCACAAAGCAAACCCACCAAATATTGGAAAAGAGTTTTCTTACTATACTGTTACATATGTAACTAGTATTATATCTTAAGCACATGTCTATATAATTGTATATAATTCTCTAATACATAGAGATGACATGTTACTCTAACATTAGGTTGCATATTTAACCAAAGACTGGCCTCCATATTTATTTTGGGTGGGTGTATAGGCAAATTATATCCATTTCCTGATTGTTTTCCTTTTTTGGACAATGATTTCCCATATTCTCTCAGTATATTAAATACATAAACCAATCTACAAGAGAACTTTGTCTATAAACTCACGTGTGACCCATTTTCTTGTGGGCTATGGGGGTAGTATGATAGAGGATTTAAGAAGGAAGTTCTAAAATGCTCTATTTCAGCATTTCCTACAAAAATCCCAGGTTTCTAAGCAAATTCCTGTTTCTTTTTTAGCATAACAAATACATTTTTCCTTTCTAAAAATTAAATGATTCAAAGGAAAAATAAAAAAAACTATATTCCCACCATTCTATTATTTAAAATTTTCTAATCTCTTTAAAACATTTTTCTAATCTTTTTAGTCTTTATCTAAATGCTTACCAATTACATTATATTCACATTAGTATTTATAATTTTTTTCACTAATAATCAATTTTCCATTTTGCTTTGGTTCATACATATGTAATGGCTGCCCTTAACTGTTAAATAATTGGCTTAAGAATTCACCAACTACTACATATTTAGATTTTTTCCCTTGTTATCCTGAAATGCATAATTCTTAGCATTTTCTTTCCTTAGATTATTTCTGAATTATAATCCCCTAAACGGTGGAAGCACTGAAACATTTGTATTGCCCATAACAAATAACATCAAAGTATTTTTCCAAAAGGTCTGTACTTATCAGCATTCTAGCTAAAAGTAGGTATCTTTTAATATATATTATCTTTAGCTGCTTATGAGCTCAAATAGATTCCCGTATCTGGTACTTGCTCATAAACCTTAATCTATTTTTTGCTTGTAGTCTTTGAATGATTTCCTTATATAGTATATATCAATCTGTTGCCAATCACGTTAGCAAAACACTTTCACCATTCTGTTAATTTTCTTTTTAGCTTCATACCATTTAAAGTGTCAATTTAAGCCTAATCTATCTTTTCCTTCAAAGTATCAAAAAACTTTTCAGATGCCCTCAAATATTTTTTTCTGAGATAATACATCCTAGAATGTAAATGATAATTATATTCAGCATAGATACCTCTTCATTATTCCTGGATAAAATAAAAAGAAACAAAATCAAATATAACTAGAAAAGTTTCATCTGCATTCTATCATTTACTTATAATTCCACATAGGACAAAAAAAAAGATCAATTGATAAAAGAATGAACATGAAGACTCAAAAAGTCTTAAAATAATGTTAACTCTCATATCCTAGTGTGATTATGAAGAGAAATTTGTTTTATGGAAAAGCTTCAAACAGTACAGACAATTTACTCTTATGTTGTTTTAGGAGCAGCAATACAAGACAGGTTTTATTTATTTAAAGACTAGTCAAGTACAGTAGTGAGAAGGAGAAAAGCAGAACAAGGAGCTTGATCTGTAATTGTGAAAAATGAATTGAGGTAACTACCTTCGGACTAGCCCACAATAGGTTTTGGATGAGATTACTCCTAAATCCCTTACAATACCTTTACTATTTTTCATTCTTAAAAATGAGCTTGATGCTGAGTTATCAGCATTTCACTTTCCCCATAGACTTGATCAATAACTGGATAATTATAAATAATGAGAACACCTCATTGGGTGGAGATCAAACATAGGTGGCTGAAGTTCTCCAAGTTCAATTGCTGTTATTCCTACTGCCCAGATATCACAGAGTTGGTTGTAGCCACCATTCTTCTCTACTGCTGCAACTTCTGGGGCCATCCTAGAAGGAATCAATGAATACAACATTTTTGTTGTTAAATATTGATCTGAATCTGTTACTTCCTGTTATAATCACCAGACTTGTTGGAGGGAAGGAAGCTGAGAGGTGTTTACTAGGAAAGAAGAAACATTACTAAGTAAAGGCTTAAATCTCTATTTCACACACATACACACTTTTAAAATTAATTAAGAATCTTGAATGCCCTCCTCTGAATGTTTATGCTCTAAGGAAAAATCTTGTTTTAGTTTGGTTTCTATTTTTGTGAATCTTGTTATGTAATAGGCAAAAAGAAAAAGAATACCTAAATCCCTGTGAAGGTCAAAGAAAAGTTCCTAAAGGAGGTGAGACTTCTAAGTAGGGTGGGGAGCCTGGACATTTCAGTGACAGGAAACGAGTACAAATTCAGGGAGACCAGCAAAGCTGACAGGACAGTGCTCAATGTATCACCTGCAAACTGATAAGGGGCCATACATTGCTGGCTACCAGTCTGTGATAAATACAGAAATGGAGAGTAAGCATTTATGCTTGTCCAAATGCATAAATTCATTTTTATCTTATTTTACAAATAAGTCTGTAATGGACAGGAAATAACACATGGTTAGAGAAAGTCTCAAAAGTGTTTGGGAAATCAACCTCAGAAGTAGAGGCTAGATTATAAATGATCTACTGTTTATACAAAAAAGGTTAGACTTTATCATGAAAATGATGGGGACCCAATGAAAGATTTAATTATGAGGTCAAACAATCTAAAACTGCATGGCAAGATGAAGGATAGTGTGAAATCAGGTGAAATCAGTCAGGCAGATATGTTAGAGAACTTTTCAAAGGCCGTAGCAGAGGGAACAGAATGAAAGGGGTTAACTTAAGATATAGATCTGAGGAGGAAATGCTTGTGGATATTGAAATAGAGCTATTATTAAACAACTGTTGAATATACAAAAGACTGAAGTTGGAGTTACAAGTTTGGGAATCAGCACTGTAGAAGGCCTCTGAAGTTATAAAGTATAGATGATACTGTTCAGGGGAAATATTCTTTTATCTTTTCAAATGTTTACTAACTTAACTTCAATTAATTTGAATTGAATATCCACAAGGTACAAGTTGCTTTTATATGTACTTAGGCTACAAAAAGTTATATTAACACCCTGTCTCTCAAGTGTGGTTAGCATATAAAGTATGTATACTAAAAATGTGAACATGTAGATGTGTACTATATGCAAGTGCTACATACATAACAATGGATATAGGAGTAAGGAGAAGTAAACAATCACCACGGAGCAAGATAATTGAAGGCAAGTTTCACAGAGGAAAGAGGCTGAGGTGGAGCCCAGAGAAAGCAAACAGGATTCATCTCCTCTACCCACTGGAATCAGCTAGTGGTGGCTAACTGGAATGTCAAGTTGACTATGACTGTTGCACTTCCTGGCTCAGTGGGAAACTGTATTCAATCAGTTGGCCATAGGTATAGAAAGGTAGAGAGTGTGGCCCTCTTAAGAATGGGGAGGGCTTAAGATAAACACAGAAAAAGGGTATCTTAGGGAAGAGTAAAGAAAGCTAAAGTAGTAGTATTTCACCTGATATAGTCAGGATACAAAAAATAGACAATTTAGACTAGAAGAGTATTCACAAAAAGGACAGTCATAGAAAGTGAGGGACTCTGATGTGACAAAGGCAATCCTATAGGTTATCTAACTCACCTATATCTTCATTTAACTTTTATTTAACTGATACTTATTGAGGCTTTTTTTCTGTTAAAGTGATTTGTGTTGACTGAAAACAATTTGGAATATATGAAAAAATATGGAAGAAAACAAGCTAAGCATGATCCCACTCAAAGAGAGTTCCTGTTTCACATATTTTCATCCATTTTTACACACACACACACACACACACACACACACACACACCTTTTATAAAATGGTATCATATTGCATATACTACTTGGAATCTTGCTTTCTAAAATTAACAACATATCATGAGCCGTAGCATATTATTCCACTGAATTGAATAAATGTAATTCCCTTCCTGTTGTGTATTATTTTCCCTCAATTTTTATCATTAAAATAGTGTGATAAAGCTTATCATATACAAATCTGTATGCCTCTCTAATAAATTACCAGATATGGAATTACTGAGAATAAAGAAGATAAATATTGCTTAAAGTTTTTGATAAACATTACCATCAAATTATGCTTCAAAATCGTTCTACCAATTTCTTTTCTTTTTTTCCTTCAACTTTTATTTTAAGTTCCAGGGTATATGTGCAGGATGTACAGGTTTTTTACACAGGTAAATGTGTGCCATGGTGGTTTGCTGCACAGATCAACCCATCACCTTGGTATTAATATTAAGCCCAGCATCCATTAGCTATTCTTCCTGATGCTCTCCCTCCCTAACCCCTGTTGTACCAATTTCTACTCTCACTGCCAAATATTTAGTGATAGTAAGGATGCCCATAATTCCAAATATTTTCCAATTTGATAGAAAAAAGTCATTTAATTTGTTCATCAAGGGACACATTATTCAGAATATATATATTTTTTAGGTTAGTCAAGTGAAGCAGTGAGAGTAAAGAAGGAACAAAGAAATCTGTAGGGGTTGCATGCCCCTAGCCATGACCTGCAGGCCACTACATGATGTAAGAAACATGAGAAAACATTTAAATTTTCCTATTTACTTCAAAGACATAAAGTAATTCACATTGGAGAAAAACCCCGAGAACAGAAGAAATCTGGTAAATCCTTGAGACTCTGCAGTTCTTTTCAAAAACATAACTAACAGTGGAGAAAAACCTCATAAATGTAAGAAATGTGATAAAGCCCTTGGATATTCCAGTTACCTTCATAACCACAAAGGTGCTCACACTGGAGAGAAACGCTATGAATGTAGGGAATATGCGAAAGAATTAAGTTGTCTTAGTTACTTTCAAAGGGCTCATACTGGTGAAAAATCTTTTACATGTAAGAAATATGGTAAGGGAGTTATTCTTTCTAGTTTCCTTCAGAAACATGAAAGAAATAATACTAGACAGAAACCCTATAAATGTAAGAAATGTGGTAAAGTCTTCCGTCATTTCTGCTCCATGTGAAGACATGAAAGAACACATAGAGAGAAATCCTGTGACTATAAAAAATGTGGTAAAGCCTTCAATCAATACAGTTCCCTTAGAAGACATGAAAGCTCATACTGGAGAGAAACCCTACGAACGTCAAAAATGTGGTAAATCCTCCAGTCATTTCAGTTACCTTTAAACACATGAGAGAACTCATACTGGTGATAAACTTTATGAATGTGAAAAATGTGGTAAAACCTTCAGACATTTCAGTTCCCTTCGAACACATGAAAAAACTCATACTGGAGAGAAACTCTATGAAGGTAAAAAAAAAAAAAAAAAAGTGGTAAAGCCTTTAGTCGTTTCAATTACCTTGAAACACATGACAGAATTCATACTGGAGAGAAACCTTATGATTGTAAGACATGCGATAAAGCCTTCAGATATTCCAGTTCTGTAGGTAAACATGAAATAACATACTTCATAGAAATCCTAGGAATGTAAGGAATGTGGGAAAACATTCAATTATCTGAGTTATCTTTGAAAACATGAAAAAAATTATACTGGAGAATAACCATATGTATATGAGAAATGTTGTAAAGTCTTTGTATGTTCCAGTTCCCTTTGAACACATTAAAAAAACTCATACTGAAGAAAAACCTATGAATGTAAGGAATATGGGAAGGCATGTAATTTTGCCACTTCCCTTTTAAAATATAAAACTCATACTGGGGGGAAAATATGCATGTAAACAATGTGGTAATGTCCTCAGTGTTTCCAGTTCTAGTTGAAGACATGAAAGAAGTCATTTCTGAAAATCCCTGTAAACATATGGAATGTGGGGATGCCTTTGTTTCTCTCAGGTACATTCAAAGACACATGACATGTGCACATTGGAGATGAATCTTATAAGAATGTATTCTGTATCTAAATCCTAGTACTTGGCAAAACAGGTAAGTTTCCATTTTAATAATTATTTCAAAAGTCATCTGAGAATGCCTATTGAAAAGAAATCTTATAAATTTAATTTGAAAAGCCTGATGCAAATTAAACATTGACTAATGCTCAAAACATGCACATGAATATTATACAACTTATAAATATATTGTGTTTATCAGTGGCTCATTCTTAATGAGGATCTCTGGACTATTGATTTCCACTTATTTTCCATGAAAATATTGAGGTGAGAATTCTGTAGACACCCTTTAAGTGATAGTAAATGAATTCGATACGTAGTGTTTTTTTGTCAGTTAATAATTTTTCTTTATATGTCTAAAAGGTTGTTGGATTTATGAATGAATTAAAAATGTATTTCTAATATGTAGGTAAGATTTTTATGTAGTTTTTTAATTGGTCTGTGATGAATGTGTCATTGAAAACTGAGTCTTTGTTAATTTTGGGGCTTTTCTTACTGGTCTCAGGTAAAAAGTTTTGGTTACCCCTCACCTATTAGATATATTCTACCTTTCTTTTTTATGGAAAAAGTATTCTCTTTTGGCACAAATAAGTCTATGCCATTGTTTTTGCTAATAGAGTTGGTATTAGAAAAAAAAAGAAATCCGTAACTTCTTGTGATCTATTATCATATGTTACGATACTTAATATGTATTATTTTACTAACTGCTTCTAATGAGACATTCTTTTTAACGACATAAGAACTTACATATGAAAAATATTAAACCTAGTTTGGCATATTTTAGACAATATTTCCTGTTTTTTTACTTGCCTTTTAATTTTGTTTAAGCTGGTGGACATAAACAAGTTTTAAATTTTCATGCAGTTAAATCTATCAGCATTTCCTTTTAAGGTTTTATTCTTTATGTTCAGAAAGCCTTCCTCAGCTCTTAAAGCAGATAGTTACTGATGGCTCTTTTGGTTTCACTTTTTTTTTTTTTTTTTTTTTTTTTGAGACGGAGTCTCGCTCTGTCGCCCAGGCTGGAGTGCAGTGGTGCGCACTCAGCTCGCTGTAAGCTCTGACTCCTGGGTTCACGCCCTTCTCCTGCCTCAGCCTCCCGAGGAGCTGGGACTACAGGCACCTGCCACGACGCCCGGCTAATTTTTTTGTATTTTTAGTAGAGACGGGGTTTCACCGTGTTAGCCAGGATGGTCTCGATCTCCTGACCTCTTGATCCGCCCGCCTCAGCCTCTCAAAGTGCTGGGATTACAGGTGTGAACTTGACTATTTCCACATACGATTTTTTGACATCAGGTATGAGGTACGGAGCTACTTAAATTTCTTTTCAAATAACAAATTATCCAAACACTGCACATTAAAGAATCCAAATTGGCTAAGCACAGTGGCTCAAGTCTGTAATCTCAGCACTTTGGGAGGTAGATCACTTGAGTTTTAGACCAGCCCAGGAGTTTTAGCTGAAACCCTGTCTCTACAAAAAAAATTACAAAAAATTAGCTGGCTGTGATGTTGCATGCCTGTAGTCTCAGCTATTTCGGGGGCTGAAATGGGAGGATCATCTGGCTCTGGGAGGTCAATGATGCAGTGAGCTGTGATTGTGCCACCGCACTCCAGCCACGTGACAGAATGAAACCCTGTCTCAGAAAAAAAAAAAAAGAATCTAACCTTTCACACAAACTGCAAATGTCACCTTTTATAACATTCACAATTTTAAATATTAAGGTTTTGTTATGAGGCTTTTTATTTCTATCATCTATCAATAATGAAAGCAGTGTTTTAGAAAGATTATTTTGTCAGTAATCAGTGGAATGCACTAAGAGTGGGGTGGCTGGTGAGAGTAATGGTAGGTAGGATGAAGGAGTTTTAACAACCAGGAAGAAGAATCCTAGATTAAACTTAGGTGATGGGTCAATAGGTGCAGCAAACCCACCATGGCACACGTTTACCTATGTAACAAACCTAGACATCCTGCACATGTACCCTGCAACTTAAAATAAAATAAAGTGGAAAAGTCCTAGATTAAAAGAGAATGCCAGAAGAAAGGGTAAGAAAATTACAGGAGGCAAATCTTTTGAAAATTTCATACCTAAGAGCCCTCTCAATATAAAATCACAGGGATAGTAAAAATTATTAGCACTTCTACAGAGGGAAGGCTGAACCATGAATATGAGCATCAAAGTTCCCTAACCCAAACAGAACTTATGATACTGTCAAAGAGCACGCAAATCTCCCTACTTTTAATTATTACTTCTATTACCAAGTATCGAGGTTGATCACAAAACCATGAAGAAATGAAAATGGATCAAATTCAATCACAGTAATGTCTTACCAGTAAGGGGTGCCAATGAAAGATTTTCGTTTTGCAATGGTAGCTGTTATTTTTGCAGCCACACCAAAGTCAGCTAGTGAGGAAAAAAACAGAAAATTTTAGTTCTTTACAATACACCAAACAACATTTTTACTTTCGCCCTTAGGCATGGCAGTATTAATAATTCAAATATTAATGTTAGAAAAATGCGCATAAATTGAATACCTAAATCTCTTCTTGCTTAGTTCACAACATACTTATTAAAAAAATTTACTGGCACTTTACTAGAATGAAAATACTTTATTAAGAACAAAGTTAACAAAAAATATTTTTATTATATACACAATGAAGTTAATTTGGGAAAAAGAGAAAAAAAAAAGCACAAAAAATAAAACACATGGGAGAAACACACACCTGTATTCCTTTTATCCTAATATAACAAGGATAGCATTCTGGTACTATTTTTTTTACAGTCATTTTTTTCTATGTATGAACTTTTTAAGTGTTGTAGTTAAACATGATTGTATTGTAATCCCTGCTACTTGGGAGGATTAGGTGGGAGCATAGCCTGAGGCCAGGAGTCCAAGTACACAGTGAGCTATGACTGAATCACTGCACTCCAGCCTGAATGACAGAGTGAGACCATCTCCTTCAAAACAAACAAAATAACACACAGAAACACGTGGTTGTAAAATACTAAATAAATATACAGTCCATTTTTGTCATTTAACACACCAGATGTTACTCTTACACATTCATAGATATCAATGATTGAATAGATTTATCACAGTTTAACAGTTTTTCTATTGCTAGACTTACATTTGCATTTTTTCTACCACAAGTAATATTATGGTTAATGCTTTAGTGAATATGGATTTTCCATCTTTAGGTTTAATTTCCTTAAAATGAGTTTTGGGAGTAAAATTACTGGATCAAAAGTTAAACATTACTGCGACTCTTGATATGAAAATGAAATCTGCATAATGTTAATTCTCATTTAAAATTTTATAAAAATTTTATTAAAATGTCATTAAATTTTTGGAAAAAATTTTAGGAATTTGAAATAACATACCTAATTTTACATCGCCATGGTCTGTCAATAAAATATTAGCACCCTAGAACAAAAATACAAATACAATTAAATTAGCATCATAAAATTTCTTCCAATAGAATTGGCAATTTAAATGTATTAAATGAACTTACTTTGATATCTCTATGCATTTTGCCTTTAGTATGCAAATAGGCAAGACCCTAAAAGTTTAAAAAAAAAAAAAAAGAATGTATCAGCAAAACTGTAAATGTGACTCCTAAATTTTCTACTTAAATTCTTATTGAATAAGAAAAACTAGAATGTCTTTTTTGGGGAGAAAAAAACCTAGATAAGTAAATCAATGTTTACTATATTTTAAAGATTTGTTTTTGTTTTTGAGACAGAGTCTCACTGCCCAGGCTGGAGTGCAGTGGCAGTGATTTTGGCTCACTGCAGCTGCCATCTCCTGGGTTCAAGTGATTCACTTGCCTCCGCCTCCCAAGTAGCCGGGATTACAGGCATGCGCCACTATGCCCAGCTAATTTTTGTATTTTTTAGTAGAGACGGGGTTTCACCATGTTGGCCAGACTGGTCTTGAACTCCTGACCTCAAGTGATCCACCCGCCTCAGCCTCCCAAAGTGGTGGGATTACAGGCGTGAGCCACCACACCCGGCCTGAAGATTTCTAATTTATTTTCTGATAAAAATCAGAAATATTTCACTAAACACAATCAAGATATCAAATATATTAATTACTCCTAAAAGTTTCCTTATGTGGTGCTCCTTTATAATTTTCCCATTCTTCCCCACAACCCTCACAAACACTGATGTGCTTTCTGGCACTATAGTTCAGGTTTTCAAAGTTGTCTGACTATTCTAGGTGTTTTACATTTCCACAGCAATTTTAGAATCAGCATGTCAACTTCTTTAATAAAAAGCCTCCTCAAATTGTGATTGGGGTTGCACTGAATCTACAGAACAATTTGTGAAGAATTATCATCTCAACAGTATTGAGTCTTCTGGTTTGTGAACATGGTATAGTTCTCCATTTATTTGGGTTTTTAATTTCTTTCAGGAGTTTTGTAGTTTTCTGTATGCAGGTGTTTATGCATCTTTTGTCATATTTATCCCTAAGAATGTCATATTCTTTATGTTATTATATGTTGTATTATTTTAACTTCAGATTGTCCGTTGCTAGTATATATAAATCTGATTGATTTTTGTACATTGATAGTGAATATTACAATCTTTCTAGCCTAATTTATTAGTTCTAGTAGCTACTTTGTAGATTTTATTCCATTTTCTACACAGATGATGATGTGGTCTGTGAATAAAGAGAGTTGTACTTCCTACTTTCTAATCCAGATGCCTTTTATTTCATTATTTTCTCTTTTTGCACTGGCTGAAACCTCTAGGACAATGTTGAAAAGTAGTAGTAAAGGCAGACTTCATCACCCTGTTTGGGTGAGCCTGGAGGAAAAAACATCCCGTCTTTTACCATTAAGTATGAGTTAGTCATAGGTTTTTCACAGGTACGCTTTATCAGGTTGACCAAGTTCCTTTCTATTCCTACCATGTTCAGAACTTTTTTTTATCAGGAATGAATGTTGGATTTTGCTAAATGCCCTGTGTGTATTTAGATGATAATGTGGTTTTTCTTTTTTAGTTGTTAAGATGAAATGATTTTTGGATATTAAACCAACACTGCATTCTAGAATAAACTCCACTTATGATGTATTAACTTTTAAAATATATTACTGGATTACCTTTGCTAAACCTTTTATTTTTAATGTTTGCACCTAGGTTTATGAAGAACATTAGCCTGTAGTTTTGTTCTCTTGTAAGATTGTTGTCTAATTTTGGTGTCAGAAAAATGCTGACTCAAAATGATTCGGGAGTTATTTCTCATTCTTCAATTTTCTAGATAGGTATATATAGGATTGGCATTATTTCTTTCTTATATGTCTGGTAGAATTTACTGTATGGCATCATCTGGCCCGGAGTTTTCTTTGTGAGAATACATATAGGATTATTCAGGTTATTTATAATTGAGTGAGCTTTGGTAGTTTGTATCTCTTGTTGAAACTGCCCATTTTATTGGCATAATACTGTTCATAATACTGTCTTGTTATCTAATATTTGTAAATTCTGTCTTGATATCCCATCATTCATTTCTGATGCTTATCACTTGTTTCTTCTCTTTTTACTTTTTTTCCTGATCAATCTGTCTAGATGTTTATCATTTTTATTGCTCATCTCAAAGAATCAGATTTTTATTTCACTGACATTCTCTATTACTATTTTTTTTCCTTTCCATTTCGTTTATTTTTATTCTGATCTTTATTTCCTTTCTCTGCTTACTTTGCATTATATTTGCTCATCTTTTTCTAGCTTCTTAGGTGGAAGCTGAGGATACTGATTTTGAGAGCTTCTGTTTAGTGCTATAAATTTCCCTATAAGTACAGGCTGAATATCCCTATCTAAAATGCTTGGGACCAGACATATTTCAGATTTCAGATTTTTTAGTACTTGCAGAATATATACTGGTTAAACATCCCTAATCAGAAAACAGAAAATACAAAATGCTCCAATGAGCATTTTCTTTGAGCATAATGTTGGACTTTCTTAAACATTTCTTGTAGGATAGGTCTGCTGGTGACTTGTTCTTTCAGTGTTTGTAAGTCTGAAAAACTCTATTTTGCCTTTGTTTTTGAAAGAGATTTTCTCTAGGAATAGAATTTTAGGTTGACAATTTTTTTTCAGTACTTTAAAGATTTTCCACTGTCTTCTCACTTATTTCTAACAATAAATATTCCTTGTCTTTGTTCTTTTGTATATCATGAGTCCTGTTCTGAATGCTTCTAAGATGTTCTAATCAAATAAGCAATTTGATTCATGTGTCTTAGTGTAGTTTTTTTCGTTTTTTTTTTTTTTGTTGTTGTTGTTTTTTGTGCTCAGGGTTTGTTGAGCACTTTGGATCTGTGGGCCCATATTAATAGTTATCATCAAGTATGGACAATTTTCAGCCATCTCCCCTTTTCAGTTTGTCTCCCTTTTCTCTTTCGTTTCCCTTTTTTCTCTTTGTCTCTTCATTCTCTCTCTTTTTTTTTTTCTCATTTTTGTCCCTTTTTCTTCTGTTGTCCCTTCAAGGACACCAATTATATCCATATTAGGCCACTTGAAATTGTCCTACAGCTTAATGATACTCTTCACTTATAAAAAATTACTTTTTCTTTCCATGTTTCATTTTGAATATTTTCCACCTCTATGCCCTCAAATTCAAATATACGTTTTTTGCAATATTTAATCATCTGCTAATTTCATCCTTTGTTAATTCCATCAGACACATGTTAATTAACATCCTTTGTTAATTCCTTTGTTAATTCCATCCAAAGCTCACTCAGTATTTAATCATCTGCTAATTTCATCCTTTGTTAATTCCATCAGACACTGTGGTTTTCATCTCTAGAAGTTTGACTTGGGCCTTTTTTATACCTTCCATATCTCAACTTGTTAAGCATCTTAAACAGTTATAACTGTTTTAATGTTTTTGTCTGCTAATTCTGGCATCTGTCAGTGTGGGTTGGTTTTACTGATTTTCATCTTATTTTGCTTCTTTGCTTGTCTGGTAATCTTTGAGTAGATGCCCAACATTGTGAATTTTACTTTGTTGGGTGCTGTATATTTTTGAATTTTCAAAAATACTCCAATACTCTGAAGCACTCTCCAATACTCTACCTTAAATACTCTAACTGGCTTGGGACCCCACCTGGGTTCCTTCTCCCTGTACTGTGGCCTGAAAACTTTCCCAACGCCATAAGCTGGGGCAATTATATGGCTTCCTTGGTTTGTTTCCTATTTTTCAGGCCTCATTGTCCTTCATTACCTGATGTTCAGTTTCTTGAAAATCACTGTTTCATATATTTTGCCTACTTTATTTGATTGTTTTGGGTAGCATGGTAAATCTACTTCTTGTTACCTGATTTTGACCAGATGTGGAAGTTTATCTGCATAATAGAATTTTAAAATTGGAAATAATCTTGGAGGTATTCCCTTCCTAAGCTTCATATTGGTTTTTTTTTTATTTTAATTTTTGTGGGTACATAGTAGGTATATATTTATGGGGAATTTATTTGGTACAGGCGGCAATGTGAAATAAACACATCATGGAGAAAGCGGTATCCATCCCCTCAAGCATTTATCCTTTGAGTTACAAGCAATTCAATGACACTCTGTTATATTAAAATATAAAATTCAGTTATTACTGACTATAGTCACCCTGTTGTGTTATCAAATACTAGAACTTACTCATTCTTTCTTTTTTTTTTTTTTGGTACCCATTAACCATCCCCACTCCCCTCCGACCATATCAAATCCCTTCTCAGCCTCGGGTAACCATCCTTCTACTTCCTATGTCTGTGAGTTAATTGTTTTGATTTTTAGATCCCACAAATAAGTAAGAACATGTGATGTTTGTCTTTCTGTCCCCGGCTTATTTCACATAACATAAGGATCTCCAGCTCCATCCTTGTTCTTGAAAATAAGCCTCATTTTATAAACTCATGCTCACATAACAATAGGGATGCATACATTCTGAGAAATGCATTGTTAGGCAATTTTGTTGTGCAAGTATCACAGAGGGTACTTGCATAAACATGGATGGTATATACACATAGCCTACTAAACACCTAGGGTATATGTATAGCCCTATTGTTCTTAAGCTACAAACCTGCACAGCACATTAGTGTACTGATATTGTAGGAACTGTAACACAATGACAATTACTGTGTATCTAAACATATCTAAGCATAGAAAAGGTACAGTAAAAATATAGTATTATAACCTTATGGGACCACTGTTGTATATGTAGCCCATTGTTGACTGAAATGTTATGCAGTACAGGATTGTATTTTGGGAACTAGAACTATATAAAAGATTACGGTCACATACCAGCGCCAGAGTGCAAATTCGACTTTGTTTTTTTTTTTTATTTTTTCACCTCTACTCAGTACTTTGTTTAATACTTAGGGAAACAATGAACTTTAGAAATTAAAATACAAAGAAAATGAATTTGTCAATAATTCTCTGCTATGAGTGTATAATTAAGTTTGTATTTTATGTAGATACAATGAAGTAGGTTTCTATGTTATGTAAACGTTATAGGAATATACACACACATACGTACATACATATATATTACACATCTCTATATATATATATAAATATATATATGTTAGATAAATTAATCTGATTTATCTCTCAGTAAGATTTGGCAGTGTTTATGTCTTTTAAAGCATGTGGGAACCAACTCTTCAAAATTGACTAGAACTTTTTCCTGATCAGCCAAATCTCCCATTTTGGAAAATATTAGAGAACAACACATAGAGTATCAATTTCTTTCTAAATTGAAACTACACAATATAGGAAATTTAGGGATAGAAGCATTAATTAACAATTATCAGTTGTAAATTACAAAAATACAAACCACAATCACTACTACTTATTCCCTCCTGCAAATTTAAATGCCTTAAATTATATGAACAAAATTGTTAATTCCTAATTTTCTCAGTGAGTAGTCTTTCAGGGCACTGAAAAAAATAAATAAATTGGGAGAAATACCACATACTCTATATCTTTATTGAATATTCATAACCCATTTTAGCATACTAAAAGTTCTCACAGGCCCTGAAGTAAAGAAACCTGTTTAATGCAATGTTAACCAAACTTACAAAAAGAGATTCTGCTATCAATAACATTTAATACCACATAGAACTAGGGTTTTCAGATAACACCTTGAGTTAATGCTGTGCTAATTTATTTTATTTCAAGAGAAATAGTAAAAGCCCCTATGTCTCATGGAAGAGATTCCTTTTACTGCCATAAACTTGAAGGGAACGCTTAGACAACATGTTACAATTGAGAGGTTTGGTAATTCATTCTTGAAAACCAATTTACACAACTGAGGGCCAAGTGCTATAAAGGAGAATACCTCACATGACCATGGTGTGCATCAGCATCAAAGTGGAATTCCACATATGATCACTGTATATGTCGGCATCAGCTTAAATGAATTCATGTGATTCATTCATGAAAGAAAAATAACTAGTTTTACAGAATTATAAGAGATTAACAGAAAAATCATTTTGTTTTACCCTTTCTCTTTAAGGTAGACTATCATTTTATAGTTATCAATTGTCAGGCAATTGCCTTTCTAACTACATTAAGAAAATATTGCCTAGAATTGCCTTTCTAACTATATTAAGAAAATATAGTACCTGTAAGGTTTCTCTGCATACATAGGCTATTTGCAATTCTGATAATGGTCCAGTAACTAGAAAGAAAAAGAGACCACATTGTTATACATTTAAACCTAACATTAGAAACAGTCTACTTAAAAAAAATGGCAAACTAGGCCAAGCGCAGTGGCTCACGCCTGTAATCCCAGCACTTTGGGAGGCCAAGGCAGGCGGATCACGAGGTCAAGAGCTCGAGACTATCCTGGCCAACATGGTGAAACCCCGTCTCTACTAAAAATACAAAAATTGGCTGGGCATGGTGGTGCGCACCTGTAGTCCCAGCTACTCGGAAGGCTGAGGCAGGAGAATTGCTTGAACCCGGGAGGCAGGGGTTGCAGTGAGCTGAGATCACACCACCGCACTCCAGCCTGGCGGCAGAACGAGACTCGGTCTCGGAAAAAAACAAAAAAACAAAACAAAACAAAAAAACAGACGAACTATTATAAAACAATTTCTATTTATACAGTTGAGTGATTTCTCTTCTGATTGTGAGCATATATTATTTCTGTCAACAAGAATCAAAAACAAAAGGTAACACTGAGAATTTTTTCAAATGTACTTTAAAAGATTTAACTCCGTAACAACTGTGGTCCTTGAAAATATTAAGCACTCATGTGCAAAGCATAGTGGTATGCATTATAGGAAGGTCTATAGAATGCAATCCTGAACAATTTTTCAAAAATAAAGAAATACATATAACTAATTATACAGAGAAATAGAGAATCATAAAGAGATTGACTATCCAATATATTAAAAGGCATCATATACTTTTTTATAGATCAAGATGCTATTTCTTTAGTATAATTCTTTACCACACCTATCAAAAGAGAGGCTTGATCCAGTACCTTATCTAAGAATTTAAAAAATAACCGTGTCACTTTTGGCAACCAGATCTCTCCCTAATATGAAATATAAAATTCTACTTATTTCAAGAACTCAACCAGAGGCTTCGGGACTATGCCTTTCAGTACCATGAGAGTAACTCTGGGGTGGTATCTGCTGACAGCGAAACCAAATCAGGTAGTCATGTGTATTCTTCACCTAGAGAAATTTCTACCGCGTATTTTAATCACTGGCTCTCTCTACCCATTCAGGAACATAAATTTTTGATTCTTAGTAACATGATAAATAGTAGTAAAAGAAAAAAAGTCACTTTATTAACAACATCTAATTATAAGTGTAGATTTTATTGATTATTATGCTATCTAGTATACTAACTACCGGGATGGGTACTTCTTAGGTTCAATTTAATTCAACAAATATCAGGTTTAATAAGAGAAAGTCAGAATTTCATGAAAAAATAAAATTAATGTTTCAAAGCTATTCTTTAAACTTAAAAGTTGCAAAAAAAAAAAAAAAAGCCAGCTATCTTGAGTGCTCTCATTTTATAAAAATGTGAATGGACAAAAATTACAATTACCGAATAAAAACTTTTCACAGAAAAGACAGCAATTCCATTTATTTATTTATTTATTTATTTATTTATTTATTTATTTATTGAGACAGTCTTGCTCTCTCGCCCAGGCTGGAGTGCACTGGCGTGATCTTGGTTCACTGCAACCACCGCCTCCTGGGTGCAAGTGATTCTCCTGCCTCAGTCTCCCAAGTAGCTGGGATTACAGGTGCCTGCCACCACACTTGGCTAATTTTTGTATTTTTAGTAGAGATGGGGTTTTACCATGTTGGCTAGGCTGGTCTCAAACTCCCGACCTTGGCCTCCCAAAGTGCTGGAATTACAGGCATGAGAAGATAGCAATTCTTTATAAAATCATAGAAAAAAATTAAATCCAGTGGCACAGAGAATTTTAAATCCACATGCCTAAGAAATAGCCTAAATCATAGTAATTTGTGTATTTGTAACATTTATGTGATGTTAAAACATTTTTGTTAATAAAGAGGTAGTGATCAGTGTTTAGACATCAGTCAGAATTTTTGTTGTTATGGATTATTTGTTGTGACAAAATTAGATAATTATGACATTTTAAAATTGATAATTAAGTACTATATTGATAAGTTTTTTTGTAATTTAAAAGTTTACTTCTGAGCTTTGCTTTCCCTCTCCTCTGGTAATGACTTAGTCAACTGGTAGGTATTCTTTCATTTTGCTATACATTTACATTCTATATTTATACTTATAAAAATGTAATTTTTAAAAGCCTAAGTATGACCCAGTATGTTATACATATTCTTTCACAATTCACTTTTTCCATTTAAAAACAAGCCTTAGGGATATATACCCAGGTCAATAATTATGAAGTAACTTCATCTTTTTAAGTGCCGCACAGTATTCCATATTACAGGTTGAAGAGTAGTTTATTTAACCACTGCTCTATTGATTGACATTTTAAAACTGAGCTCTGTAGTTACAACCTATTATTTGAAGTGAAATAGCACTTCTGTTTTTATATCTACTGTGGCTGCATTTGTAAACTGCATGACTGAAATTTGGTAAGGTTTCCAATATAAAGATTTCAGCATAGAAACGTTTAAAAATATTTCACGTAATTCTTTAAAACAAATTATAAAATAAGTAGCTGCAATGGGAGTTTTACTATCCCATATCCATGTTAAACAAGGAGAAGAAAAATTATAAGGATCTATGTTTAGTCTCATAAATTCTAGAAATTCAAGAAATTGCCAGCAGCAACAAAACAAATTAAAAGCTAAACAGTAGAGCCAAAACAAAACTTTCTAAACAGTATTAGACTGTAATGTCAAATTCAACTCAGGAAACTGCCTAAATTAATATGAATACTAAATAAAATACTCGAAACTTTAAAACATACATATTAATACAAAAATATTACAGTAACAAGCAAATTGCTTTTCTGGTTAGCAGGTTAAGTTACTAAGACAGACACGTAACTTCCCTTCTGTGAGTTACCCCTTGCATTTCAATTTTTTTTTACAAGGAAATTTAGGAAGTTTCATTTGTAGATAAAACACTTTCCTAGAGATATCTAAAGAGTAAAATTTGGATTATATAAATACTTTTGCATTTGTCACTTCAGGCTCAGGCAAGTTTAATTGACTAACCAATAAAAAATAAATACAGATTTCTGTTATGCAGTGCTCCGGGAACAGAAGAATGCAAAATAGTAAGTCTACCTGTTAATTTCCGTGGTTAACTGGAAATATCGAACAACAATCATTAAAACCAAAGTCTGTTTAAAATGTAAAGTCAAATTAACAGTACCATGGTAAATATCTTGAAGTGATCCGCCACCACAGTATTCCATACAAATCCATAGTTTTTCCCGACTAATACAAAAAAAAAAGAAAATTATATTAGCTAGTAATTTTCAATCACTGAAATACTCTAAGGCTCTCACTCTTTAGCACACCAGGGTTCAGAATGGACTGTGAAGTGCAACAGGAAACTGCTATGTAATCTTGCTACAATATACAGAAAAGCACATTAATTTCAGCTTTGTTCCCATCTTCAGTGGTTTAGAATATGATCAGTTTTGTAAGTTAAAACACTTACTTGTAATCACTTATGTTTCATTAAAATTGCCAGATGAGGTACAACTATAAAAATGGGAGTACCATTATTAATATGTAATAGGGGAAAACCGTAGAAATAGGAAAACCTTAAAAAATTTAGAACTTTGCAGTGTTTAAAAACATACAAATATAGTAGCACTTACATACAAGGGAGAGAGTGTAGTAGCAAAGAATATATAAAATACAGAGAGAGATGATGCTTTTTTTTCTCTTACCTAAGATAACTCCCAAAGTAGGCAACGATGTTACAATGTTTACATTCTTTAACCATAAATATTTCTTGTTGAATCAAAGAAAAATCATCTCCTGGAAAACAAAATAAGTTGTTTATCATGTTACTCAAAATCTCTACATATGAAAAGAAGGAAGGAAAACTTTACAATAAATATTAGAGATGAGGAATGAGGCATTCTTAATACTTCAATGAAAATGTAAACTGGTAGAATCTTTCTATAAAGTCAGAAGTCTTTAAAATATACAGAATCTTTGAACCCACAATTTTACTTACAAATTTTTTTTTTCTTAAGGAGATATGTACAAAGACAGATGTTTACCACAGTATGGTTTAATAATGCAAGGATGGTTAAATAAATTACAGTACAGTGTGCTGTGACATGAAAATAGGTTTATATTATGTGAAAAAGATTATATATTATTTAAGTATATAGAAAAAGTATTGCAAAAGTAATTTTGCTTTCTTCCTTTTTGGTCTGTATTTTACAATCAAACCCTTATGAGTTAATTAGAAAAAGCTACATTAGGCCAGGCAGGGTGGCTCACGCCTGTAATTCCAGCACCTTGGGAGGCCGAGGTGGGCGGATCACTTGAGGTCAGGAGTTCAAGACCAGCCTGGCCAACATGGTGAGACCCCGTTTCTACTAAAAACACAAAAATTAGATGGGTGTGGTGGTGGCACCTGTAATCTTTAAACTTGAAATGGAACTTCAAGTTTAAAATCAGTGGGCAACATAGTGAGCCTCCCTCTCCCAACTAAAAAAAAGTTCAGTGGTGTCCAGACAGACTCTGGCTCTAACTCAAAGTCATCTTAGAAAAACATACAAGGCCAAGAAGGAAAAACTCAGCAATTAGGTCTTAGATAAATAAACAAAATCTTCACACAAGTCAGAGATATTTTTTCCCTTTATACTTTCAACTTTTTCAGTTCAAAACCAAAACAGAGCTTTAAATATTCTTGTCATGCCATTAAAAGCTTTTAAAGAACCTATCACTACTGATGTGGTTTAAACATCTATTTAGTTTCATACAAAAATTAGCTGAGCATAGTGGCAGGTGCCTGTGGTCCCAGCTACTCGGGAGGCTAAGGCAGGAGAATCGCTTGAACCTGGGAGGCGGAGGTCGCAGTGAGCTGAGAGCATGCCACTGCACTCCAGCCTGGCGACAGAGCGAGACTCCACCTCAAAAACAAAACAAAACAAAAACCCATACATACATTTAGTTTAACTATTAATATGACACATTTATTTATAATCATTGGAACTTTTTTTAACAGTCAATTCACGTAAACATTAACTGATAGTTCAGTTACAGAATTTCATGTTAGCAATTTTAAAGGGTTAGGGAAGCCAAATGAGGGTACAATCTTCTAACTGAATGAACGTCTGAGAGAAAACCTTTAAAGATAATCTACCTTTTATTTGTAACCTGGGAAAACATGTATTACATAAATGGTTACGTATACCTTAAACATAAGTGTACGAATGGCTACTTGTTACAATTGAAAATGTGCTTCTTAATGGTTTTACAATAAAAGAGGATCAAAGGAGATAATCCAAAATAGAAGATGATCTCCTGTTCCTCATTATCAGTTTAGCCAGCTGTGAGTAAGCCCTGAAGGTGACAGTAGAAAGTCTGCCTACCTAGGTGCAGAGGAAAGGCCCTGCTTTCTGTGTTCACTCGCGGGCACCAGAATACTTTCTTCTTTTATATCACTCCTCCATCTGAGCCTTTTCCATCATAGCATTAAAACTTCTCCTTTACGCATGCTAATTTCCCTCAAACTGGCTAAATTCTAGCCCATCTTTCATGTTTGAAAAAACATGAATTACAAAGAAGAGTAAAGCAGCACATAATTTTGTTAATATATGTGTATATATATTAACACATATATATATAGTCCATTCTCACACTGCTATACAGAACTGCCCAAGACTGGGTAATTTATAAAGAAAAGAGGTTTAATTGACTTACACCTCCGCATGGCTTGGGAGGCCTCAGGAAACTTACAATCATGGCAGAAGGGGAAGCAGGCAAGTCTGACACTGTGGCAGGTGAGAGAGTGTGTGTGTTACAGGAACTGTCAGACACTTATAAAACCATCAGATCTCATGAGAACTCACTATCATGAGAACTCACTATCATGAGAACAGCATGGGGGAAACCACCTCCATGATCCAATCACCTCCCACCAGGCCTCTCCTTTGATGCCTGAGAATTACAATTCAAGATGAGATTTGGGTGGGGACACAAAGCCTAACCATATCAATATGTTATTCTTTGGATTCCCACCTACTCACTTTTAAATGTGCACAGAAGCCTTATATCTGAGCTATGCTGAGAAATTCTTCAGTTAAGTCTGGGATTTAGAACAGATTTTCTCACAAGAGTAGCTTCACATAATATGGTGCCTAACTTCTCAATTGTGTGTAAATTCTTAAACTGACCCATAAAAGTCAATAATATGGCTGAATTAATATTACTAGTAACAAACTACTAACTCTTGGTAGTAGTTTGAGTTCTGGGTTCCACCCTGCAACTGTGTTTCCAGCAGCAGCTATGTGAGGTTTCTATCAGGCAAGGTGAGGTCTTGGTGAGAGTGAGTGACAACTTTTTACAGCTGTAGCTGGAAGCAAGAATTCCCAAGCACAGGTTATTAATAAGTCAGATGTTTGAACTCCACCTTCAGATATATTCTTCGTATATCTGCTTCACTATTATATTATTTGAAACTTTAATGCAAAGAGAGTAAAATCTTCTGTGAACTGAAATTGTATCATGGAAGAGACTTACATAAAGCTACTATTTTTGTAGTTTATCCTGAGAGGTAAGTAAGCTAAATATGGTTATCACAGATGTAGCTATTCTTTGATGGCCTACATCAGCCTCATAAAAATAATCTGAAATTCGGATAGTTGATTTTATTCTTTTAACTGGGTGATACGCCAAATTAATATTACTTTCCACTGAGATGTGGCATAAAATCCACTAGGTTCAGAGAACTTAGGCTTGTAGGTTCCAGCCCTGTTGCTCACCAGCCTGGGCAACATAGAGAGATCTCGTCTTTCCAAAATAATAAGCTAGGCATGGTGGCATGCACCTGTAGTCCCAGCTACTCAGGAGGCTGAGGTGGGAGGACTGCTTGAGCCCAAGAGTTTGAGGTTGCAGTGAGCTATAATCACGCCACTGCACTTCAGACTGGGGAACAGAGTGAGAGTCTGTCTCCAAAGAAAAAGGTACTTGCTTAAAGAAGAGAAATTTTATTCTTCACACCCTGACAATGTAAGGATGAGACTAGTTGAGAACCACAGAGCCCCTTATCTTATCTTCAGTTTTGACTATATACCTATTATTTCTATTTGAATGTCTTGCTAGTACCTTACATTTAATACATGCCCTGAAGTACCAATATCTTCTCTTAAAAACCAATTTTTCTTCCTGACTTTACAGTTTGTGTTAATGACACTTTATTCTAAAGGATTAATCACTACCAGTCTGATCATAGCCCTCCTAACAAAATCTACCTCCATCCATGGCACTGTTTGTGTCATGTGACCTTGTACTAGCCAAAGGAACCAGGGTGAACAACTGACTTGAAAAGAACTAATCCATAGCCTGGCAAGAGCTAATCACATTTGATCTCTTGAAAATGTGAACCATGGAGACTCGGTCAGTTGTCAGTTACCAGCAGAATCATAATAAAAGTGAAATATTAGAACAAGAGGCCATGAATGACTATGGCTAAGATTCCTAGAGATGTCCTACTGGAAACCTGGCTGCTGAGTACATCCTTACACAGGAAAGGGAGAAATACTAGAGACCGAAAGTACAGGTTGTTTTTTTTCTCCTCCTTTCTGTAAGGGCAGTTGCAGGTTCTACCAAACCGCAGACAGAGATGGGAACCACTGAAGACAGATGCTTATTTCCTTGGGCTCCTCAAGTATGCATGGGTGTGTGTGTGTGTGTGAGAGAGAGAGACAGACAGAGAGAGACAGAGAGCGAGTGAGAGTGTGTGTGTGTGTGTGTGTGTGTGTGTGTAAGGGAACTCAGCCTGATACTCTTAGAAAAAAAAAAAAATGACCCCCTTCAGCCAGAAAGGGGAAATATGTAGAGCCAAAAGGGATGGTAGTTCTGTATCTGAGACAGTAGACACTGGAACTAGTCCTAATTAAAATGATAAATTATTAAAAGCTCCTAAAACTGGCTTGAGCCCTGGGAGGTAGCTATAAAAATTAACTAAGAAATGTAGATATTTGTTATAGCATGCTGGGTTCTAAATGATGTTAACATTGGGGGTTTGTGTTTTAAAGTTTTTTGAAAAACCACTGTATTACTGTTTAAATTAAGCATGTTCAGTAACCACTAGAGCAATGATCACAGCCTCCAACATAGTGTTTCAAGGCTGACATTAAGAGACAGATTTGCTAAAAAGTGTACAAGTACAAGATCCTGAAGGCCAAGTTTTCTGCCCCTTGTTTCTAAGCCACCTTCTGCCTAGCAGGCACACTGCAACTCTAAACTACAATTTTTAACTGGAGTGGGCAGCCAACCCCCTAAAACAAGTTACACTACAAAGATACAGCCTTAGTATCTGGGGTCACCTTGAGGGGCTGGTCTTTGCTCCCAGTTTCACAGCTCTGAATACAATTAGCCAATGCCAGTGTTAGCTACCACTTGCTTCTGCTACCATCAGTGCATCAAAATAGGATCAAGTTAGACATTATTAATGCCACACTCAAAACACTTGTAAAAACATAGTAAGAAAAAAGTAGAAATCTTGGGAAGCAAAAGACTAGAATTTTAGAGTTTCCTAATACTATCTGCAGGTTGACATAAAGCAGTTAAGCCTTCATACTCTGGGGATGAACTGGAGTAAGTCGGTTGCACCCCTCGTGTATAAGGGTCCTCTGCATTACATTTGGATTCAATACCCTCTTAAAACTTTCTTGCAATCAAATGAGTCCTAACAAATAGTACCTGGGAAGGGATTAAAAGCAGCAGACCCTCAGATTTTTTTTCAAAAAAAGGTACTAGGCATTAAAACCTGGTTGTGCCAAGATAAAAGGCAGTAAGATTCATCACACCCCTCCTTCCAAAAATATGACAGTAGATCACAGATTTAATACTGAGGTAATTAATTCAACCAATGTCTATAATTATGTGGATAGCTATGTTTCCTGAGCACAAAGTCTATTATCTCTCTTTTTTTTTTTTTTTTGAGATGGAGTCTCGCTCTGTCACCCAGGCTAAAGTGCAGTGGTGTGATCTCAGCTCACTGCAACCTCTACCTCCTGGGTTCAAGTGATTCTCCTGCCCCAGCTTCCAGAGTAGCTGGGATTACTTTTTGTATTTTTAATAGAGACGGGGTTTCACCATGTTGGCCAGGATGGTCTCAAACTCCCGACTTCAGGTGATCCACCAGCCTTGGTCTCCCAAACCACTGGTATTACAGGCATGAGCCACAGCACGCAGCTTATTATCTCTTAAACTCCTAAAACTGTGTTCCAAGCTATAAGCATGAACTAATACCAAAAACTATCCTCTAACATTACATACTGAACTTTCTTTTTTTTTTTTTTTCGAGACAGGGTTTCACTGTATTGCCCAGGCTAGAGTACAGTGGCACGATCTTGGCTCACTGCAGCCTCAACCTCCTGGGCTCAAGCAATTCTCCCACCTCAGCCTCCTAAGTAGCTGGGATTACAGGCACATGTCATGACACCTAGCTAATTTTTTGTATTCTTTGTAGAGCCTGAGTTTTGCCATGTTGCCCAGGCTGGTCTCGAACTTCTGAGCTCAGGCGATCTGCCTGACTCAGCCTTCCAAAGTGCTAGGATTACAGGTGTGAGCCACCACACCTGGCCTGAGCTTTCAGAAAGTTAGCACATTATAATAATTCTACAAAAAGTATATTAGTGAGTATTTTCCATTTGTTATTTCATCAAATATCAACTGGTTTATGCTTTTTATGTCTACTGTATTTCTACTTCATTGTTCATGTTGAAATTATTAACGTGATGCTTCGAGTTGTATTTCCTATTTTAATCCTCTAATTTTTAACTAATCTCACAGAATTATTAATAAATCCATGACACTGGATTTGGTAGTGATTTCCAAGATACAACACCAAAAGCACAGGTAACAAAAGCAAAAACAGAGAGATGAGACTGCCTCAAATTTCAAAATTTTGGCTGGGTGCAGAGGCTCACGCATAATCCCAACACTTTAGAAGGCCAAAGTGGGAAGATCATATGAGCCCAGGAGTTCAAGACCAGCCTGGGCAACATAGCAAGACTCTGTCTCCACAAAAAAAACACAAAAATTAGCCAGATGTGCTGGCGTGTGCCTGTAGCCCCACCTACTCAGGAGGCTGAGCTGGGAGGATTACTTGAGCCCAGGAGTTCAAGGCTGCAGTGAGCTATGATCACCACTGCACTCCAGCCTGGGTAACACAGCAAGACCCCATCTCAAAAAAAAAAAAAAAAAATTTGCTCACGAAAGGACACAACCAACAAAGTGAAAAAGCAACCTATAGGAGAAACTATTTGCAAATCCTGTATCTGGTAAGATATATCTGGTTGAGAAGTTAATATCCAGAATATGTAAAGAAAACTATCAGACTCATGCCTATCCTATATAGGTATCAATAATGGAAACTACCATTTCTTAAACTAAAAATAATTGTTTTATTCCATATTATTGTATCCACATTAATATACTTATCTTAGAAAAGTAAGCCAATGTAGAAAAATATAAAGAATGTAAGCCACGTACGGTGGCTCATGCCTGAAATCCCCACTATTCAGGAGGCTGGGGTGGGAGGACTGCTTGAGCCCATGAGTTTGAGGCTGCACTGAGCTATGACTGCACCACTGCCCTCCAGCCTGAGACTCTGTCTCAAAAAAAAGAAAAAAAAAGGAAAAAAAAAAAGAGAATGAAATAAAAATCACCCATAAATGTACCAGAGACACCCACTGTTAGCTTTCTGTTTGTTCAAGAGACAAGGTCTTGCTGTCACCCAGGCTGGAATGCAGGGACACGATCATTGCTCACTGCAGCCTCAAACTCCTGGGCTCAAGCAGTCCTTCTGCCTCAGCCTCCCAGGTAGCTGGGACTACAGGTATATGCTGCCATATCCGGCTAATATTTTCAAAAATTTTTAGTAGAGACATGATCTCCATTACGTTGCTCAGGCTGACACCATGAGCATTTTGATTTTTTTTCCAGTCCTGTAAGTACTATACTTATGAAGTTCTGCATATCACATACACAATTTGGACCATACTCCAGAGTTTCACAGACTATTTTCACTAATCAATATTGTGTAAGCATTTCTCATGTCATTAAAAATCACATAAAAGTTACCCAAACTGGAAAGAAATAAGTTAAAAAATCTCTGTTCACAGATGACACGATCATATGTATAGAAAATCCTAAAGTCCATTAAAAAAATCTATTAGAACAAATAAACAAATTTAGCAAAATTGTAAGATACAAAATCAAAACAGAAAAATCAGTTGTGTTTCTATACACAGTGAACAATCAGACAAGGAAATTAAGAAAACAATTTATTTACAATAGCATCAAAAATAACAATTAGGCCGGGTGCAGTGGGTCACGCCTGTAATTCCAGCACGGGCAGATCGCCTGAGGTCAGGAGTTAGAGACCAGCCTGGCCAACACGGTGAAACCCTGTCTCTACTAAAAATACAAAAATTAGCTGGGCGTGGTGGTGGGCGCCTGTACTCCCAGCTGCTTGGGAGGCTGAAGAACGAGAATCACTTGAATCCGGGAGGTGGAGGTTGCAGTGAGCTGAGATCATGCCACCGCACTCCAGCCTGGGCGACAGAGTGAGAATCCATCGCAAAAAAAAACAAAAACAAAAACAAAAAAAAGAACAATTAGAAATAAACTGAACTAAGGAACTGAAAGACTCGTGCACTAAAAACTATAAAACATTGCTGAAAGATATTAAAGATGACACAAATAAGTGGAAAGACATCCCATGCTCATGGATTGAAAAATTTAATATTATTATTATTATTTTATTTATTTATTTTTTTTGAGACAGAGTCTCGCCTGTCACCCAGGCTGGAGTGCAGTGGCACAATCTCAACTCACTGCAACCTCCGCCTCCCGGGGTTCAAGTGATTCTTCTGCCTCAGCCTCCCGAGTAGCTGGGACTATAGGCACATGCCACCACACTGGGCTAATTTTTGTATTTTTAGTAGAGACGGGTTTCACCATATTGGCCAGGCTGGTCTCGAACTCCTGACCTCGTGATCCGCCCACTTCAGCCTCCCAAAGTGCTGGGATTACAAGCGTGAGCCACCGTGCCCAACCCAACTTAATATTACTAAGATGTCAATACTACCCAAAGTGATATAAATAGCTACACAATCCCTATGAAAAATTCTGGTAACATTTTTTTTTGCAGAAATAAAAAAGAATCATTCTAAAATTTGTATAAAATTTTAAGAGACTCTCCATAGCCAAAACAATTTTGAAAAAGAAGAACAAAGTTGGAAGACTCATGCTTCCTGATCTCAAAACTTACTAAAAGCTACCATAATCAAAACAGTAGGGTACTGACATAAAGACAGATATATTAAAGACCAATGGAATAGAACCGACAGCCCAGAAACAAACCCTCATGTAGTATATATGGTCAAATGATCTTCAACAAGGGTATCAGAACTACTTGATGGGGAGAGGGCAGTCTCTTCAACAAATGGTTTGGGGAAACTGGATATTCACATGCAAAAGAATAAAGTTGGACCCCTGCCTTAAACCATACACAAAACTTAAAATGATTTAAAGATATAAATGTAAGACCCCAAATTATCAAACTCCTAGAAGAAATCACAGAAGAAAAGCTTCATGACATCAGATTTGGCAGTTATTTCTGGTATATGATACCAAAAGCACAGGCAACAAAAAACAGACGAGACTACAAATGAAATTTAAAAAATTTTGTTCACCAAAGGACAAAATCAACAGAGTTGAAAAGGCAACCTATAGAACAGGAGAAAATATTTTCAAATCCTGTATCTAAGAAGGGTTTAATACCCAGAATATATAAAGAACTCCTACGACTCACAAGAAAAAATCAAATGACCTGATTTTAAAAATGGGAAAGGACTTGAATAGACATTTATCCAAAGATGACCTGCAAACAGCCAATAAGCACATAAAAACATGCTCAACATCATTAATCAGAGAAACTCAAATAAAACCACAATGAGATATCACTTCACATCCATTAGGATGGCTACAATTAAAAAAAGCAGAAAATAAAACTGGTTAGAGGTGATGTGGAGAAGCTAGAACCCTTGTATACTGTTACTGACATTGCAAACTGGTGAGACTGCAACAGAAAACAGTATTTCTCAACAAATTAAAGGTGGAACTATCATATGACCAATTCATGCTTTTAGGTTTATATCCAAAAGAACTGAAAATAGGATCTCAAAGAGAGATTTGTACACCCATGTTCATAGCAGCACTATTTACAATAGCCAAGAGGTAGAGGCAACCCAGTTTGACAGAATGTCTATTGACAGATGAATGAATAAAACTGTAGTATATGAAAACCATGCAGACTTAAAAAGGAAGGAAATCCTGTCATATGCTATAACATAGATGAACCTTGAGAACATTATGCTAAGTGAAACAGCCTAGTCAGAAAAGGACAAATACTGTATGATTCCACTTATATAAAGTATCTAAAGGAGCCAAATTCATAGATACCAACAGTAGAATGGTGGTTACTAGTGGCTGTGGGGAGGCAGCAAAGAGTTGTTGTTGTTTAATGAATATAGAGTTTTAGTTTTGCAAGATGAAAAATTCTAGACAACTATTTCACAACAACGCAAATATAGTTAAAACTACTAAAAGATGCACTTAAAAATGGTAAAGACAGCTGGGCATGGTGGCTCACATCTGTAATCCCAGCACTTTTGGAGGCCGAGGCAGGTGGATCATCTGAGGTCAGGAGTTCAAGACCAGCCTGGCCAACATGGTGAAACCCTGTCTCTACCAAAAACATAAAAAATTAGTCGGGTGTCGTGGTGGGAGCCTGTAATCCCAGGTACTCGGGAGGCTGAGGCAGGAGAATGGCTTGATCCCGGGAGGTGGAGGTTGCAGTGAGCCAAGATTGTGCCATTGCACTCCACCCGGGGTGCCAAGAGCAAGACTCCAACTCAACAAAAACAAAACAAAAAGCAAAAAAACAAAAATGGTTAAGATGGTAAAGTTTATGTGTTTTTTACTGAAATTTTAAAAATATTAAAATGATGTGAGCATAGCCTAATTTAATCATTTCACTACAGCTGGATGTTTAAATGAATATATATATACACACACACATATATTATTATATATATATTTCTTTCTTTCTTTTTTGGGACAGGATTTCATTCTGTTGCCCATGGTGCAACGCAGTGATGTGAACATGGTTCATTGAAGCCTCAACCTCCTGGGCTCAAGTGATCCTCCTGCCTCAGTGTCCTGAGTAGCTGGGACTACAGAAGCAGGCTGCCGTGCTCTGCTAATTTTTAAAAATTTTTGTAAAGACTGGGTCTTATCATGTTGCCCAGGCTGGTCTTGAACTCCTGGGCTCAAAAGATCCTCCCACCTCAGCCTCCCAAAGTGCTGAGACTACAACAGGTGTGAACCACCGCTCCCAGACCAAAAAAATAAAAATAAAAATAAAAATAAAAATAAAAACTTTTAAAACAAGTATTTAAAATAAATATGCAGTAACCTAAAAATTTGTATATCATTTAGAGCAAAATTACAATGTAAAAATTAGATCTCTTAATTAATATTTGCAATGGCAAAAGTTTTCTGTATTAGTAAGTACTAGATACATTTCTGAAGTTTATGAAATAATGTTAAAGATAGTTATCAAAACGAAAACTAATTTTAGCGGTAGTTCATTATACAGTGAATAAATTAGCAGTACTTTTTCAGAAAATCAATCCAATGCTAAATATTCAATCAGCTAATTTTTAAATAACTATGAAAAATACAGTGACACAATGGTGGCAATCTTGTGAATATGGTTGTTTTGGTTCATAATAAGTAAATATGGTTTTTTTCCATTGAGCATAATGAATGTACAATGTTAAACAGAAGACATTAGTAAACAACACTAACCTTTATTCATTTTCTGTATCTATTATTTAAAACCAATAAAATGACATTTGGGGCATGTATTTGTGCCTTCAAATTAACATTTTCCATTAATTCAGACTTGAACTGTCCAAACAGTGAAGACAGGATACAAATATTTTACTTTACAGAATATTTTTAAAAATCAAGATTGTTAGGTTTTTGAATAGAAAGTCTGAAAAGAACATACCACGTAACCTGAATAGATGACACTTGTCCTATTTGGCCAAACAGCCTACCCTGGGATTTCTTTCAAGAACTTTGCCAAGTTCTTTCAAGAACAAGGCAAACTAATGGCTGGTTTAAACCTCCGTATAGTTCCTGACTTTTTAACACTTACACTACCTTCTCTGCTTATACTTTCAGGAAACAAGTTAAAGTATTCCCTGCAAGTCCAAGGAAAGCTTTAAACATCTATTCAAAGATATTTAAAGATTCCTATTTATTTCAAAAACTGTCTAAAGAAACACATTTAACTTATTTTATTAAAAAATACTAAACTATTTTATAAGTATTTCCGATTTACCGTTTTAAAAGACAAGCAAGGGAACAAACCAAAAGGGTATTGCATTAATCATCCTGGGTAGTGATGTATTAAATTACATCCCTGTAAGCAAGGCCGAAAATATTTAAATAAACTGTAATTTTCATAAGCTTAAAATATTATTTTGTAGTTTTGCCATAAAAGAGGGGTAATGGAAGGAGGAGAGAGGGAAGGGAAAGTAGGATTCTGATGGTAAGTTTTCCCACAAACTTTGTTCCTGCTCTGGCTGTTGGCCACCAATAGCTACAGACTTGTTGGGCAAACTGAGCATCTGTAAAATGAGTTAGATGGTAGGCTGAAATTCAGACAGAAGACAGGAAAACATGGTGGCATGAACCATCACAGTATCTGCCTGGGCTTATAGGGCACTCTGGATGTCTAATCAAAGAGATGAAAAATGCAACTAAAACTCACAATGGTATCACTGGTGGTATTATTTTCAATGCTAATCACTGGTAAGTCAAACTCTATTTAATGTTACCATTTGTAAGGTGGTGACTTTAGTAAGTATCTACTATAAAAATGAGATAGAAATGGTTAAATCATTCCTGAAAATAATCATTTTGCCTATATATACAAAGAGCAACAAGAACATACAAACATAGGAAGGAATGCTGACTTCATTTTCTTTTACAAATATTTTTGTGGCTAATTAATAAACGCGATTTTCTGTGCTAACCTATTTTCAACTCTAAGGCTTACTGTAGCATTTTTTTGACTATTAGGAAGACCTTCAAAAGCAATCTGTTTCAGCAAAATTTTGAATATAGCATTATAAAATTAAATTGCCAGGGGCAAGTCAGTAAATACAATTTAGGACTCTAAAATTACTATAAACTTTAATATCCTATTTTTCACCATGGAGAAAAGCATGTTAAGTTTACAGCTGGAATTTCATTTACTTAAAAAAATTTTTGTTTATGTATTACCAGACATAAGTTTTTTTCTAAGTCACACTGGCAAATAATTATCTTTTCATGTCTAAATACAATTTTAAACCAGTTCATCTGTTAAATCAATACAAGAAAGCACTTTTGTATTATGCTGGCTTTAGTGCAAGTTTTTGAAAGCTGCTAAATACAGTTGAGAATTCATTTTTGAAATACAGCAGTCTCCAAAATTATTTGAAGTATCTGAACTGAATGTTGGGAAAATTCATTAGCATACCATCATATTTTTAACCTAAAGATACCCTTAAGTCTGTTCCAAAAATGTGAAAAATACCATCTACTTTGGCTTTACTGACAATGCTAAAAGTCCACTGATTTTCCACAAAAATTCCACAGCAAAAAAAAAAAGACAAATACAGGATGCTGAAGATACGAAGAATTTGTTTTGAAAGAAAATTTAAGACAACAGTGCTTCAAACTCTCAGGGATATGAAAGGGGGAAAAAAGAGTACAGGAAAATTAAGGCAACAAAATGAAACAGAAAGAATGCTGGTAGAGTTAAGGGGGGAAAGCTGTGTAAAAATAATACTTATATAGAACTAATAAAAACATTGGAACCAACAAGGAATAGAAGCAGTATTGGGGGCCAGGCATGGTGGTTCACATCTGTAATCCCAGCACTTTGGGAGGCCTAGACGGGCAGATCACTTGAGGCCAGGAGTCCAAGACCAACCTGGACAACATGGCGAAACTCTGTCTCTACTAAAAATACAAAAATTAGCTGGGTGTGGTGGCACATGCCTGTAATTCCAGCTACTCAGGAGGCTGAGGCACGAGAATCACTTGAACCCGGTTGGCAAAGGTTGCAGTGAGCCCAGATTGTGCCACTGCACTCCAGCCTGGGCAACAGAAAGAGACCCTGTTTAAAAAAAAAAAAAAGTCACTGATATGGAAGACTTTAAAAATTCATTACTTTCCAAAGTAATGAAATAAATTCAAGAATCTTAAAACAAAGTTTCTTGAAATAAAGAAAAAATCAAAACTGCAGATGAAAAAAGCAGCTCATTGTGTCTCAGGGAGAAAAATCTGTAGAAAATTATTGAGACCAAGTTATATTCTGTTGAGATTACTAATTTTGAAGACAAAGAAAGAAATGCCAGCTTTTGCTACAATCAGGTAGTAACAGCAAGTTATCTACCAGGGGAAAAATATCAGTTAGGCCTTACATTTCTTTCCAACAATATTCAAGGGAAAAAAATGTCTATAGAGTTTTTTGAGGGTAGAGGGAGAAGAACGTGTGATGCAATCATTTTATACCTAGTCAAATCGTCATTCTCATTCAAAGGCAACAGAAAGACATCTGTAATATTCTTTTATAGGAGGAATATTTATTGCAGTGTCCGTTACATGCTTACACTGTCCCAAGTGGTGAAATATAGCAGTGAGGATAGATAATCGCTATTCTCATTGATCTTACATTCTAGGAGAGAGACAAACACAATATATACACGTATACATATAAACAAACAAGAAAAGTATCAGGCACTCACGTGTCCTATGCAGCGAACTAAAATAACAAGGGCATTGGCCTCTCCGAGGATATGATATTTATTTAAGCTGAGGTCTGAATGACCAGGAGCCTTCAGAGCAAAGATCTTGAAAAACAGTTACCTCAGGCAAAAGGGAAGAATTGCTTTAATCTTGGACTGTTTAAATAAAAAGAAAACAGAGGCATAGTAGAGTAGGCAGAAACATATGCGATGAGCTCAGAGAGGTGGATAGAACAGATCATGTAGGGTTTTATAAACAAGGCTAAAAATCTGAGTATTTTTCTAAGTTGATATGAAAGCTTCAGGGAAGTGTTAAGCAGAAGTGATGATATGATTTATGTTTTTAAAAGTTCACTCCAGAGGCTTTCTGGAAAATAGATGGTGGGGAATGGGAGGTGTGGGCAAGGCAACAGGCACTAGAAGGGTGGAGATGGGTAACAAAGACAAGTAGATGGATTCAGGATGTGTTCTGGAGGTAGAGCTGAGGGAACTTGCTGACAGACTGATTCTTGAGCACAAATAAAAGAGAGAAATCGAGGTTAATGCCTACATTTGTGGATGGGTTAACTGCTTAGCAAAATGCAGAAGAAAAGCAGGTTTGAGAAGAATAATCAATTTATGGATTTAAATTATAATATTCCTAATACGGGAAAATCTTTTTGATAATATGACTTAGCCTATTGATAGTTGATACTAAGTAGGTGAGAATGGAAAGGAAATGGCATAAAAAGACCAATGGTGGGTAGTAAATCTACTAAATATAAAACTAAGTCTAAATAATTGGTCATGGCATTTATAAATTATAAATATTATATTTCTTAAAAGAAGGTACACATAGTAATACATACTCATACCCCAGTGCAATCAGAAAGTTTCTGGGCTAAAATCCCCAAATAAACCAATGAACAGTTGAAAATTGGGGGGATGATGAGGCAGGAAGAGTATAAATATGCAAATTTCAAAATCTGTAAACCAAGAATTCAACAGATGACTGTTTTATTTCTTAAACTGATAAACTAAAACACCCACAAATTTAAGTATATTATTCAAGGTCTTACAAGCCATTCTCTGACAAAACTACAGAATTGTATCTTACAAATTATCAGCAGTAAAAATAAAAGAAACCCCCAGCTATAATTTTTTTTAAAATTTAAGAAAATATTAAAAACAAAAACAACAACAGAATTAAAATTAAACATCTCTCCAAACAATATAATAGTGGACAGATTCACATATTAAAAAAAGAAAAATTCAGATTGGGTTATAAAACAAAAGTCAAATATAATTTTTTACAAGAGAAACATCAACAACCTAGAAAGGATAATGATAGGCCCAAGTATACCAGTTCTATCCATTTGTTGTATGCCACATAAATATAAACAAAAAGAAAGGAGGGTTGGCAATATCAATGTCAGATAAAGTTATATTCAAGGTAAAAAGGGTATCAAAGATCATTAAGGGAGTGAATGATTAAACATGGAGGATGCAAGTCACAATAGTAAGGGAAAGACTGAAGCCACTGACCAATATGAGTGACTAATGCATTATACATTTATTCCATTATTCTAACTCCCCCACTGGAATTCAAGTTCCGTGAGAACAAGGTCTTTGCCTTTTTGTTCTCTTCTACATTCCTATCCTCTAGAACAGAGCTTGGCGTATATTAGGTATTCAATAAATATTTATTAAGAAATGAAAATATAACATGAATTTTATGGGTCAACTGACACACATATAATACATTAAGCAGATGTGCCACAAATGGAAGGAGAAATGGACAAAATCACTCTAGTGGAAGATGATCAACACTTCTGTCAGAACTCATTTATGCCTACTGTTCCATTATGGGAACGCTAAGCACGTGGGAGTTATTTATAGCCTATGGCTCAAGGTCATCACCAAGGTCTGATTTTTCACACGTCTGCAATTCAAAAAACTGCAAACTCCAGCATAAATGGGTTAATAACACTGGAAGCACTATCCTACAATGTGAAAGTCTGGGCCAAAATAACATTCTATGTATGTCCGTATAGTTGCAAAAACCACGAAAAACATTTGAAAACTGCCAGAAAAATATGAATTCTGTAAGACTGCCAGAGACAAAATATAACCAATAAAATCAATGGCGAAGTAAATATCTATAATAACCAATTAGACAGTGTAAGAGGGAAAAAGGAAGCCATTCCCAATAGCGAGAAATACCATAAATATGAAGACGTGGCAAAAACTTTCCTAAAGACCTGAATAAGAAAAAACCTTTACTATTGTCAAAATGCCAAATATCCTACATTAATCTATGTGCCTTTTTTCTTCTTGATAAAAATGATTTTAAAGTTCTGAAGAAAAAAATTTTACAAACAGGAAATACCTGAAAAATAAAAAGAGTGAAGATTATAATACGCAACAAAAGTTTTGGTAATCAAAACCAGGATAGTGTTGAAGTAGGAATAGAAAAAAGAAAGTCACTGGAACAGAACACAAAATCTATGTTTACATGGAAATTTAGTTTATGACAACCAAGGCACTTCAAATCTGTGGATAAGAGACTGAATCTATAGTAATGGCTTTGGGAAACTAGCCATTTGAAAAAATACATAGAGAGAGTTCTCTTTCATCCCTTAGAACAAACTTGCTCCTGATTGAGCAAATATTTAAATTTTGGAAGGAAAAAAAGGAAAAACTGGAAGAAATTACAGTTCAAAATTGTTATAATTATCTAGGAGAAAAGGCCTAAGTACAAGGAAATGGGGAATAGAGAAAGGAGGACTGACAAATTTGTCGGAGAGAAAAAAGAACACTTCCACATGGAAAAAAAAAAGTATAAGCAGAGTGCAAAGACAGAAGACAAATTGTGGGAAGTGTAAAATACATGATGAAGAGTCACTATCCCCAAAATGCAAACAGCATCTAAAAATCAATAATAAAATACAAATAACCTGATAGGACTGGGGCAAGGCATAAGAATAGGCAACCAAAAAAATTTTTAAATGGCCAAATACTAAGATCACATCATCAATATTTACTGAACTTCCATGTTATTCTTTTTTGGGGGACAGGTTGAAATATTACTCAATCTTAATACATGGGTCACATCTAACATAAAATAATCAGTAGCTTTTACAAAACAAGGCAGTGAGAAATTCCAGCCTTTCAAAAGAGTCTTATGATCCTTGCATTTAATCCTTATATTTTAAGTAATCATACACATATTTTTCTTTTTTACTGAATTGCCTTCTTATGTTAGTTCTAATATATGGCTTATTGAGAATTCAGAATTGCAGGATTTAAAAAATACACTCATTAATTCATTATAATGAACTATAATATTAGGTTGGCAAAAACTGCTATAATATTAGGTTGGCAAAAACTGCAATTATTTATGCATCAACCTAATGAAAAATAAGCCATACCCTCAAGTCAAGTAAGTGAAACCGTGTTGTAACAAGCCCACTGCACTCGCTTAAGACAGAAAAGGGATAAATATCTTTGTTTTCTCTGAGAGCACACGCCAGTACCTGGACATAACTTGAATAACCATCCTTGAACATAATTTGAATATTTGCTCTAGTGACTTTTCCAGGACAGGCAAAGGCTTGTATAGTTCTGTTATATTCCCTATTTGTGTTAGTGACATTTTGGAGATCATTTTAAACTTATTAGGTGGCACTTAATAAGAGGATCCTGAAAGAGTATTATTATAACAATTTCTATTTGCCAGGACAAAAAAGATACTGGGACATATCTGAAAGCTTATTTTTAAAGTGTTCCAGCATATGCTACCTCAGTACTATTATCTCTCTAATGAATCACATGTATAATGATTCAAATACTGTGTTTGAAATGCAAAGTCATTTTAACCGCTCAAACTAGGAAACTGGCATAATTATGGTCACAAACTTATCCTACGTGCCTAAGCTTATGAACCAGCAAATGAACATACCACCAAATATTCGCTTACCTGGTCAAAAACTACTACTGCACTCATTAGAAACTTTTAGGATATCAAAATCATAAAACCGTTCCAGGACTATAGTTTTATTTGCAAAGCAAACTATTCAATGTGTTTTGAAACAAGCAGTCTTCTGACACACAGAAGTGTTAATAAAATAAGCATTAAGCTAAGACCAGAATTAACAAACCTAAATCAATCAAAGGGAATAGCTGACAAACAAATGTCATTATCCCAAATATTCACCCCAAAAAATCATTGAATACTTTCCTAATCAAATTCTCATAAAAGCTAAACCTGAAGTTCAAATACTTCACTATCATCTTAAAAGAAAATTACTTTAACAGTGTCAATGTGTCTTCCAATTCTGAATGTGTACATGTCAAATTTTATTTGGCAACAAAACTGTCACATCAAACTTACCTTTAACTAACCACCTTCAGGGTAATTTAATTGAAGATATTCTACTGACCTGATAGAACATATAAAGACTTCTTCTGGGAAGAAGGGAAACAAGGAAAGAAATATGGAAAACCCTCAAAAATTGTCTTGAGGGTTTTAACACATACCAGGCTCCAATTTAATGATTTTTACTGCAGCCAGCTCTCCTGTGTGTACATTTCTGGCCTAAAAATAAAATAAAAACAAAAATCTTGTTAATTAAAAGCTTGTTAATTACATTAAAATTACTTGGTACTATGTTAATTGCTTATCAACCATACTTTTATCAAAACTAAAAAACAAAATATTTCCAATAAAATGCTGAGCAAACTCATTTTCCCATTAAAGAAAAATATAGATAAGACACAAAAGTGTTTAAAAAATTACCAATAGTCCCACCACTCAAAAACAGCTCCTGTTTAAAATTTGGTCTACTTCCTCCAAGGCTTTTCTTCAGCCTCGGGTTAGTTAATATTTTTAATTTTAAAAATCTCATGGGTTTTATTTATATCAGAAAACATAATCATAGGTCATTAAAAATTTTCATCATCTGTATCTAACTACCTAGAGAAAAACAGTGAACATTTCAGTGTACATGCATCTCTTTCCTGGTACACATATGTATATGCATGTGCATTATGGAAGAAGATGACCCCATCATAGTCTTCTAAGACATGATTACAAATGCTGCCTGATTTTCCACTGACAGGATATATAATTTACCCAACCCTCTATTGTTGGGCATTTACAATTTTAATATTATTTTCAAGTTATAAAAATAGGGATACATATATCTTAGCTTTGTATCTATCCACAGCCTTATTTCCTTCAGTTAAATGTCTAGAAGAGAAACTATTTACTATTTAACACAATATCAACAAACTTACTATAATTAGCACTGCAATGAATATCATTACCAATATTTTACCATAGATCAGCTTATAAGGAAGGCAACCTAGACATACAATTGTGAGACCAAAAGGTATGTGGACTTATAATGGGTATGTTGCCATATTGCTCTAAAACACTGTGCGAATTTTTACTGTCATCGACCTTGGATGTTAAAACCTTGGATGTTAAAACCATGTCTGCCAAAACTTATTGTTGGTGAAAATTAAATGATTATAACATAGTCCATATAATAATCCTCTTTATTGTTGGACATAAAGGATGTTACATATAGTCTTTTCATTATTTAAGACATATTTGTTTTAAATGGATTCTAAGATACGGTATTACTAGGTCAAAGGTTGTGAATATGAACACATACCATCAAATAGTCTAAAAACATTTTACCACTATACTCTCTTTGTTAATGTGAGTGCTCATTTTCATCGTACCCCGTGGTACATCATATGTGGAAATGGAATTTACTAATTTATGACCTTTTTCATTTACTATATTAGATTTGAATATCAACTTTCAAATGGCAGAAAAAAACAAGAAAAAGACATGATAAAATAGAAAAGTATAGTTATACTAATCTGCCAAATTAAATAAATCAAATTTTCTGAGGAAAGAAGAGAAAAAGGGAAAGGAATAGAAGAATGATAAAGTAGGGAAGAGTGCCTTCAAAGAGATCCTTTTAAAAATGACATACAGAGGGTGAGAAAAAGAATAGAATGGGGGAGAGATATACAGAGGAAAAGACACAAACAGAAAGAAAAATAATTTGTCTTTTGTTTGTTTGGTTTTTGTTGTTTTGAGACAGGGTCTCACTTCTGTCACCCAGGATGGAGTGCAGCAACAGGATCTCGGCTCACTGCAGCCTCTGCCTCCTGGGCTCAAGTGATCCTCCCACCTCAGCCTCCCAAGTGGCTGAGACTACAGACACCTGCCACTACACTCAGCTAACTGTTGTACTTTTTGTAGAGACGGGTTTCGCCATGTTGCCCAGGCCGGTCTCAAACTCCTGGGTTCAAGTAATTTGCCCATCTTGGCCTCCTGAAGTGCTGGGATTACAGTGAACCACCAGGCCTGGCAAGAAAATAATTTTCAACAGCAGAAGTTGCAACTACTTTGTGATAAGTTCACATTTTCCTCACTAAATCTACTGAATAGGGTAAGAAGGTGTCTCAGGAAAGAAGAGCAGGCCTTTTAACTCCTCTCTTTCATAGTTATAGTTACTTCTCTCCTAACTACGAACACATTTACAAAAAGGGGAGCAGTGGTCAGCCAGATGCCTCACACCATTCCTACCCTCTCCTCTTTCTGCCATTGGACATAAGAACTGTCTGTTAGCCTCACGTCTTCTTCTAATTCCTAAAATTTCCCTTGGGTCATAAAAGGCTATGTGCACGTAGATTTAGCCTGTCCACCTCTCAGCCAATTCACATGCCAGTGAGACTCAGGTATAAAAAATATGGCCAGAACAAGCAGTGATAATTGACTTCCTGGGCATATTGTTCAGTAAATCATAAAATGTGTTAGAAGATGAATTCCGTAATAATGATGGCAATTATGTTTGTAATGCTTTACAGTTTGCAGGAACTTTCATATACATTACTTAATTCTATTTATTTAAACACAAAAAGACTTAGTTTAGTAAAGCAGACCTGCCCAAGGCCATCCTGCTGCCAGGGGTGAGTCAAGAGTTAGAATCCAATTTTGCTGATCTTTTCAAAAAACCAGCTCCTGGATTCACTGATTTTTTGAAGGGTTTTTTGTGTCTCTATCTCCTTCAGTTCTGCTCTGATCTTAGTTATTTCTTGCCTTCTGCTAGCTTTTGAATGTGTTTGCTCTTGCTTCTCTAGCTCTTTTGTGATGTTAGGGTGTCAACTTTAGATCTTTCCTGCTTTCTTTTGTGGGCATTTAGTGCTATAAATTTCCTTCTATACACTGCTTTAAATGTGTCCCAGAGATTCTGGTATGTTGTGTCTTTGTTCTCATTGGTTTCAAAGAACATCTTTATTTCTGCCTTCATTTCGTTATGTACCCAGTAGTCATTGAGGAGCAGGTTGTTCAGTTTCCATGCAGTTGAGCAGTTTTGAGTGAGTTTCTTAATCCTGAGTTCTAGTTTGATTGCACTGTGGTCTGAGAGACAGTTTGTTATAATTTCTGTACTTTTGCATTTGCTGAGGAGTGCTTTATTTCCAACTATGTGGTCAGTTTTGGAATAAGTGCGATGTGGTGCTCAGAAGAATGTATATTCTGTTGATTTGGGGTGGAGAGTTCTGTAGATGTCTATTGGGTCTGCTTGGTGCAGAGCTGAGTTCAAGTCCTGGATATCCTTGTTAACTTTCTGTCTCGTTGATCTGTCTAATGTTGACAGTAGGGTGTTAAAGTCTCCCATTATTATTGTGCGGGAGTTGAAGTCTCTTTGTAGGTCTCTAAGGACTTGCTTCATGAATCTGGGTGTTCTGTATTGGGTGCATATATATTTAGGATAGTTAGCTCTTCTTGTTGAATTGATCCCTTTACCATTATGTAATGCCCTTCTTTGTCTCTTCTGATTTTTGTTGGTTGAAAGTCTGTTTTATCAGAGACTAGGATTGCAACCCCTGCTTTTTTTTGTTTTCCATTTCCTTGGTAGATTTTCCTCCATCCCTCCATTCCAAAGGATTATAAATCATGCTGCCATAAAGACACATGCACACATATGTTTATTGTGGCACTATTCACAATAGCAAAGACTTGGAACCAACCCAAATGTCCATCAATGATAGACTGGACTAAGAAAATGTGGCACTTACACACAATGGAATACCATGCAGCCATAAAAAGGATGACTTCATGTCCTTTGTAGGGACATGGATGAAGCTGGAAACCATCATTCTGAGCAAACTATCCCAAGGACAGAAAACCAAACACCACATGTTCTCACTCATAGGTGGGAATTGAACAATGAGAACACTTGGACACAGGGTGGAGAACATCACACACTGGGGCCTGTCGTGGGGTGGGGGGAGAGGGGAGGGATAGCATTAGGAGATACACCTAACGTAAATGAAGAGTTAATGGGTGCAGTACACCAACATGGGACATGTATACATATGTAACAAATCTGCATGTTGTGCACATGTACCCTAGAACTTAAAGTATAAAAAAAAAAAGGCAACAACAGATGCTGGTGAGGATGTGGAGAAATAGAAACACTTTGACACTGTTGGTGGGAGTGTAAACTAGTTCAACCATTGTGGAAGACAGTGTGGTGATTCCTCAAGGATCTAGAACTAGAAATACCATTTGACCCAGTGATCCCATTACTGGGTATATACCCAAAGGATTATAAGTTATGCTACTATAAAGACACATGCACATGTATGTTTATTGTGGCACTATTCACAATAGTAAAGACTTGGAACCAACCCAAATGTCCATCAATGATAGACTGGATTAAGAAAATGTGACACATATATACCATCGAATACTATGCAGCCATAAAAAAAGGAAGAGTTCATGTCCTTTGCAGGGACACAGATGAAGCTGGAAACCATCATTCTGAGCAAACTATCACAAGGACAGAAAACCAAACACCACATATTCTCACTCATAGGTGGGAATTGAACAACAAGAACACTTGGACACAGGGCAGGGAACATCACACACAGGGGCCTGTCATGGGGTGGGGGGCAGGGGGAGGGATAGCATTAGGAGAAATACCTAATGTATTCTGATGACAATATTTCACTGCCCCTTTTCAGAATTCGAGAATTCTCTTTTTCTTTTTTAAATGCAACAGATACTAGAGAAAAGTATTAATTGTGTATTATTTAACAGATCAGCAACAGTGGTAACTTTTGTTGAAACAGATTAACAAAATAATCTACTGAAAACAGCTAACAAAGCAATATACTAATCCTCTTTCACATTAAATTTCTCCGTGATAATTTTCAATGTAACAGAAGGTGAACTATTACACATTTAATGTCTTAAAGAAATAATCTTAGAGTTGAATTTGATCCAAAGAAAACAGTAGTATTTTAAACATTTTGAAAAAAATTATCGAATAAAAGTTAGTAGCCTTCTAATATGTTTAAAATCCATCTAAAGAACTGGAATTAAAAAAAAAAAAACAGATTCAATGAACTCTTATTTTAACTCACTTACGTCATAATCTAGCAAACATAATAGCCACTTCTATGCCTAAATGTCAGTACCCTGGTTTTCCCTCTTTCCCTATCCACCTAAGAGATCATTTAAATTGTTTTTTCATTTAAAATTTTCACTGGACTCCTATAGAAAACAGAAAAACATCTTTGAACATACAGTATAAGTTTACAAATTGAGAAGAAAGATTTAAGTATAAGTGCCATAAAGGCACAAGAAAGTTACAAAAGTACACTCACAAATTGTGACGGTTGAAAAATTCAAGATTATACATTTCAGGTAAAGAATACAATGTTCAACTCATATGACAATGACTGATGCTAACACATTTTCAACAACAAAATATCTTCAGGCAATTCATTATGCCAAGCAAAAACAGGCATTTGGGCAATGCATTCTGCCATTCACTGCCACTTACTTTGAGGAACCAAAAGAAAATGACTCCATTCTTCTCGGTTACCAATTATTAAACAAGAGTCAACAACATGAAAAGATCTAATATGCTTCTCTGAGAGTTTGGAACAATTAATTCTGATTTTAGTCAGATTAATCAGAAGTGAATAGCTCGGTCTCTGATCTGAAAACTGTCCTCATTCTGGTACGTTCTCCTTTCCCCGCCTCCCTCCCCGTTTGGCCTGGTTAACTCAGACTCGTCCTTCAGAATTCAGTTTAGTTATCACCTCCTCCAGGAAGTCTCCCTGGTATCCTAAGGCTGGATTAAGTGTGTTGTCATCTTAGCTCTACGCATGATCCTTTGAAAGGCTGTGCCACATGGTAGATGCTCTACAAATTTGTTGAATAGACAATCATGGTTGTAGGAAGGTTATTGCTCTCTTAAAAAAATTAAAATCTTCCACAACTAGAAAATGCTATGAAACTGACAATACATTATTTTAAATAGTCTTACTTTTTTCACTTATGTTGAGTCATATTATGATGAATTAAAGTATTTTGAAGAAAATTATTTGAAAAAAATTACTACAAAAGTAAGATTTTGTGGTAGAAAAATTAAAATAATATAAATCAGTGAAAGATGACAGTCCCTCTCCATCCCAATCTCATCTTCCAAAATAACTATTGTTAATGGTTTAGAGTATATCCTTCCAAACTTTTAATTAGGTTGAGTCCTAAGAACACATATGGACAGAACACAAACCTTGATACTTTGGCAGTTTCTCACAAAGCTAAACATAGTCTTACCTTATGAGCCAGCCAGCAACCCCACTCCTTGGCATGTACCCAACTGAGCTAAAAAGTTATGTCCACATAAAAACCTATACATAAGTGTTTAAAGCAGTCTTTATTCACAGTCACCCAAAACTGGAAGTAATCAAGATGTCCTCCAATAGGTGAATACATAAACAAACTGTGGTAAATCCATACAGTGGAATGTTTATTGCAGCACTATTCACGACAGCCAAGACACAGAATGAACCTGGGTGTCCAACAATGATAAATAAAGAAAATCTGATTATATATGCTCAAAATGGAATACTATTTAGCCACAAAAAAGAATGAAATGCTGCCATTTGAGGAAACTTGGATGGAATGGAGGATATTCTGTTAAGTGAAATTGGCCAGGAACAGAAAGTTAACCATCACATGTTCTCACTCACATGTGGAAGCTAAAAAAAGTTAATCTCATAAAAGTAAAAAGTAGAACAGAGAATACTAGAGGCTGAGAAGGGTAGGGGGAAGGGAGGAATAGGGAGAAATTTGTTAAAGTATACAAAACGATAGCTAGATAGGAAGAATAAATTTTAGTGTTCTATACTACTACTACAGGATAGCTATAGTTAACAATAATATATTACATAGTTTCAAATAGCCAGGAAAATACCAAATGTTCCCAACACAAAGAAAGGATAATGTTTAAGATTATAGATTTGCTAATTTTCCTGATCACTACAAATTTTATGTATCGAAACATCACTATGAGTCACTATGAATCTTACCCATATGTACAACTGTCAATTTTTTTAAATTAAATTTAATAATAGAAGAAATGGAAACCACAAAAAGATACGGAAGAATCCTAAATGCATATTGTTAAGTGAAAGAAGCCAGTCTAAGAAGGCTTACAAAGTGTATGATTCCAACTCTATGACATTCCGAAAAAGGCAAAACTACAGAGACAGTAAAAAGCAATGGTTGTCTGGGGTTTAGGGGAGGAAGGAAAGAGACAAATAGGTGAAGCACAGGGGATTTTTAGGAGAGTGAAAGTATTCTGTATGAAATGGTAATGATAGACACATCTCATTACATATTTGTCAAAACCCATAGAACTATACAACACAAAATGTGAATCTTTAGGTAAACTATGAACTATAGTTAATAATATATCAATATTGGTTCAATAATTATAACAAATGTACCACACTAACGCAAGATGTTAATAAAAGACAAAACTATACAGGAATTCAGGGGTTGGCTAAATGTAATTCTATGTACTATGTGCTTTATTACTCTGTAAATCTAAAACTGCACTAAAAAATTGTCTATTAATTTAAAGATAAATTATTTTTGAAAAGAATACACATTTTCAGACACATTTATGAGCCAATTTTTATTATTAGAATCAACCATTTATGTTTCAATTTAATAGAGCCAAAAAGAAAAGGAAGGATACCTTGATTTTTTTAGAGATTCTGAGGGGCTCAGAAACAGATCATTGGAGGATTTGAACAACAATCACAAAATGACATAAAATAAAGATGGTGTTTTACAGTTACACCACGCAGAAGCCAAGATATATTATATGTGGTTACAGAAGTAAAATGCAAAAAATACAAACTACAGCTCCCGCTGATAGGAATAAATACTTAAATGTCAGCCTCCATTTTGAAGACATATTTCTGTTTTCTCCAAATGAAGAACCGATGGGCAAATGTTTGTGCTCTGTAATTTTCCAGCTGGATTTTTAAAACAGAGAGCAGTACCAGGCTCTTTTATAATGAAAGGCAAAGAGGCTTTCAGAAAAAGAGATCTTCTAAACAGAGACCTTACAGATTCAATTTACTAAAGAGATCTTTCAGAAATTTAACTATACAAATTCGCGCTATAATCCAAAAGAGTTTTGGAGTACCAGTTTTTGAAATCCACCATTTCTTTCCAACAAGTTAAATGTGATACTCTCAATTCTTTTTGTTTTTAACTTTAATACACAAGAATTGAAAGATCCTGCATTATGTTTATAAAAGGAACTAACTGGAGTACAACGGCAACTACACAAAAAAGATCTAACTATATTTCTGATTCCTATTCATGTTAGTAGGGTTTTGGTATACACTAATACTCAGACTTAAGATATACTAAACACCTAGAAATCTAATAAAACAGTACAGTTACAGGTCTTATTTAACTCTTATTAATCAGGAACTGAAATTATTATGTGGAAAAGATAAACTCATAATGAATGGAATCAATATCACTATAAAATCCACAATAGAATCATTCCAATTAAATTAATTTTCTATTCGCATTGCTAATGCAATTCCTTTTCATCTCTTAATTCATATTTCCAAGTCAATTTACTACTAAGGAAGTATTTCAACTCAAGCCCTCCAGTCTTCAATCTTACTAATAGTAAAAAGTTACCTATGGATTTCCACTTAAACAAACAAAAAAAATTGAAAGATGTTAATTAAGCCATTTCTACTTCAGTAATATTATGCAATTGCCAGTTTTGTAAACTATGAACTCTTCTACATACTGTAAAATTTTTAATGAAAACTAAAAGTTAATGAAGAAAAGTCTAAACATTTTACCTACAAGGTTTCAACACAGAATTGGAAGACACGAATCAATACATAGTAATACATCCTAGTATTCATGAAGTTGAAAGATAATTTTTTATAAACTGGGGCTAAAAAAAAAAAAACCAGCAAGTAAGGACAGCCATCTAAAAGCTATGGCAACCAAGACCATCACCATGAAGAAAAATGAAAAAGCTCCTGTATTTCTCTGTTCTTCACATTGGGTCTCTCATCCTACCCCAGACAACTTTCTCCCAGCACATTCTTAGGGTCACAAAACTTTTCCATTAAGCCAACTGTGGACTTCAGTTTTAAATATGCCCCTTTATTCTATAACATAACATCAGAAAATCCAGACATCTCAATATTTTTAACAAGCTATCTCCAGTGGCCAGTGACTGCTTCTCAGAGTCATAATTATGTATTCCAGATTTAAGAACATGATCTACAATACAAAAGAAGCAACGCAGCACCCATAAGGTTTGAAAAATACAAAGTAGCTGATTAATCCACAATAAAAGTGAAAAGTCAACTATGTCATAGGCTGTAAAACCTCTATACTCAATACTTTATGGAACATTGCTTTCTCTGTTATTGTTTTGTTTTGTTTTTGTTTTTTTGAGGCCGAGTCTTGCTCTGTCACCCAGGCTGGAGCACAGTGGTGTGATCTCAGCTCACTGCAGCCTCCACCTCCCAGGCTCAAGCAATTCTCGTGCCTCAGCCTCCTGAGTAGCCGGGACTAAGGCAGGCACCACCAGGCCTGGCTAATTTTTTTTTTTGTATTTTTAGTAGAGAGAGGGTATCACCACATTGGCCAGGATGGTCTCAAATTCCTTACCTCAAGTAATCTACCCACCTCATCCTCCCAAAGTGCTGGGATTACAGGCGTGAGCCACTAGTCCCGGCTGAAACACTGTTTTTAACTGGTTCATTTATTCAACAAACATTACTTAATACTTACTATGTGCCAGGTACGGTGTTAATACTAGGAATGTAATGAAACAAAAACAGTTCCTGTCTTCCGAAAACTTTTATCAGTTAGAAAGACAGAAAAGGGAAGAGTAAATACTACAGAGTGTGAAAAATGCTCTCATAGATGACACAAGTCAACATTGGAGGATTCTGAGCCCAGTCAAACTAGATTGAAGAAAAAGCTTCCAGGAGAAAGTAAATTTAAACTGAGACCTAATAGAAGACTTTCCTGGGAGGAGTGGTGGGTAAGAGATTATGGATAGCAAAATTCCAGGCAAAGGTGTAAAGACAAGAGAAAACATGGGCAGTCTAAAAGAGCAAAACTACCTTGCATTAAGGGAATATAAAGATATAAAGAGGGAATGGTGAAAGTTAAGATTCCTTTGATGCTCAGGACAGAATGTATCACCGCCTATCTTCCTGTAGCTATCATATACTAACTTCTTGGTCATCCTTATTCTTTTTTTTTTTTTTGAGATGGAGTCTCGCTCTGTCGCCCAGGCTGGAGTACAGTGGCGTAATCTTGGCTCACTGCAGCCTCTGCCTCCCAGGTTCAAGTAATTCTCTCGCTTCAGCCTCCCGAGTAGCTGGGACTACAGGCACTCGCCGCCACGCTAGGCTAATTTTTGTATTTTTAGTACAGACGAGGTTTCACCATGTTGGCCAGGATGGTCTCGATCTCCTGACCTTGTGATCTGCCCGCCTTGGCCTCCCAAAGTGCTGGGATTACAGGCGTGAGCCATTGTGCCTAGCCAGTCATCCTTATTCTTTTAAGATTTTATGACCCCTGGTTCACAGTTTCCTCTCTATCCTTTCTCTTGCCTCCACCACTCTTAGTGACTTCAATATCCGGAACTACTCTGACTTTTCATTCTCTGACCTAATTAACATTATACTTCCTTTCTAATCACTATCTCCTATCCTTTCAGCTCACTTATTCTAGTCCTCCCATTCCAGCCATTCTCCCACCTCATCAATTTGCCAATGCATTTCTCCATGACCACCAATTATTTCTCTCAACTCCATACATCCTCCCTTACCTATCAGGATTAAACTTCCTCTTCCCTCTATTGTACTAGCCTGGCAAAATCCTAATCTTGATTAATTCCAATTATCCACTAATCCCACACTGGCATCAAATAGCTAACAGTTACTAGAAAAAAAATGACAAAATCATGCTAACTGGTCTTACTTTCAAATCAACACAAATCCCAAACTACAACTTCTTGTATAGGTTTTATTTTCCACTTTTTATAAGAACTATTCCACTCCTCTTGCTTCAAACTTTCAATGATCCCTCAGCCTCTTTGTTAACCCCTCTTCTCTCACCTATCCTAACTGATCATGGAACTGCATCTTTTCTTTATCTAACATTCACCTATGCAGCCAACCATCTATTTCTAGGGCACATCTCTCTCCTCACTTTGCTCCAGACTCCTACATCCATGGAAACCTGACAGGCACCTTAACATTAATGTGTCTAACACAGAACACTCGATTATCCCTCTCCCACAAACTTTTTCATTCCCACATCTTCCTAATCTAAATCAAATTTACCGTATCCACCACACTCACTTAAGCCCAAAATCCAGGTCATTCTTTATTTCTTTCCTTCACACTCTTCACATCTGACATATCAGCAAATCCTGACAGCTTAAACTTATAAGCCAAATCCACACACTTTCTTCTATTTCCAGTGCCATACTGTAATCCAAGCTTGTCTCCATTAGGAACTGGTAAACTATCTGTGAAACATAAAGAAATAGCAAGTCAAGAATAATTCCTGTTCTGGATTGCACAATTGGGTAGACAGTGGTCCCATTTACTGAGATGACAAACATAGGAGGAAGCACACATTCTGTGGCGGGGAGAGGGATACAGATGGGGGCTCAGTTTTGGACATACTTAAAATTTTAACTTGCTATGGAAAACCAATCTAGTGATATCCTATAAGCTGCTTAACAAGAGCTAACCTGGACTGAAAACAGAGTTGGGCATCACCAACATTACTGAACGCAGGCAGGTGGATGAGATTACTTAGAATAAGTAGTCAGAAGAAAAGAGGATCAAGAACAGAATCCTAAAAAATTAGCCACACTTATGGAATAGTGAAAATAGACAAAGTTAAAATGAAACTATTACAGAGACACTATTCTCTGGAATCTCAGTTTGCAGGAATTTTTTTAAAGTCATCCAATCCAATCTCTCTTTTAAAGAGCACATCTCTTCTACTTAATCTATGGTGGTCTAATACATTCATTTTTAGTATAACTGTAGTTGTATAAAGGCTTTTCTGCGATAAGCAAATATATTCTCCAATAATTTCTCTTCAGTGGTCCCAGTTTTGGTTTGTAAGATAACACTGACTTAACCTACTCCTTCTACTATATGACAAATTCAGATCTCTAAATTCATTAATTTATTCAATAAGTATTGAGTCCCTATGAAAGTCAGGAGGCCTAAGCTCTAATTCTAACTCTGCTCAGATAAAAATATAAGTTTGCTTCTACCTACAGACAAAACACAAATTTTTCAATATGCCATGCCATATAAATTCTAGACCCTTCCCACCAGTCTAGTTATTATTTACTTTGATTATGTGCTCAAAGTTTGATGTCCAACAAAAATGATAGTAGTTATAACATTAGATTCATGACAACAAAGGCAACATTTCTTTTTTTCAGGTTTCTACAAAATTACAATACTTTTTTTTTTTTTTTTTAAGACAGAGTCTCACTCTGTCACCCAGGCTGGAGTGCAGTGGCGTGATCTCCGCCCACTGCAACTTCTGCCTCCTGGGTTGAAGCAATTCTCCTGCCTCAGGCCCTAGAGTAGCTGGGAGTACAGGCACGTGCCACCACGCCCAGCTAATTTTTGTATTTTTAGTGGAGACGGGGTTTCACCATGTTGGCCAGGCTGGTCTCGAACTCCTGACCTCAGGTGATTCGCTCACCTCGGCCTCCCAAAGTGCTGGGATTACAGGAATGAGCCACCGCGCCCAGCCTACAATATTTTTAAGTTTTAAAAATAAATGTTGAGGCTGGGCATGGTGGCTTACACTTGTAATCTCAGCACTTTGGGAGGCCGAGGTGGGTGGATAACTTGAGGTCGGGAGTTCAAGACCATCCTGGTCAACATGGTGAAATCCTGTCTCTACTAAAAATACAAAAATTAGCAGGGCATGATGGGTGGGCACCTGTAGTTCCAGCTACGCAGGAGGCTGTGGCAGGAGAATTGCTTCAACCCGGGAGGCGGAGGTTGCAGTGGTTGCAGTAAGCCAAGATACCGCCACTGCACTCCAGCCTGGGCGACAGTGAAACTCCGTCTCAAAAAATAAAACAAAAAATAAACGTTGAAAGTGTTCGATCCAAAACAGAATGCAATATTTTATCCTCTGACAAGAGTAAAGAAAGTGCTTCATTTTACTTTTATTATAAATCATTTTGGGAAAAAGAAAGGCTTTAATCACTACATATATTAGTCATACATCAATTTAACATTTATTCACTGAGCACCTCTGAAGCATCAGGTACCTCAGATACAAGGATAATATTAGTAGAGTAACAGCAAGGAATTACTAAGATGAATAAAAATATCTGTACCTGCCCTGAGTTTCAATGGGGCAGATTTTAGATCCATATAAGAAAGTTTTCTCTAGCAATTAAAACGTCCAAAAAAAAGACCAACTACTTCCAAACACAGTATATCCTTATTATTTAAATAAGAAGTTATAAATGACCATTTGTAAAGGACAAGGTAGGGGTTATATGCACTATGTGCCAGCCACAGGTTCCCTGCTAGCTCCTAAACTCATTAATTTTTTTTTTATTTTTACTTTAAGTTACAGGATACATGTGCAGAAGAATGTGCAGGTTTGTTACATAGGTATATGTGTGCCATGGTGGTTTGCTGCACCTATCGACCTGTCCTCTAAGTTACTTCTCCTCACCCCCCACCACCAACAAGCCCTAGTGTGTATTATTCCCCTCCCTGTGTCCCTGTGTTCTCACTGTTCAACTCCCACTTATAAGCGAGAACATGCGGTGCAAAACTCCTTAATTTTTGTGGAGCAAGTTACTTCCAGGCTGGCTTCCACACAATTATACAGGTCTGGACAGGTGCTTCCTATCCCATGGAAGGAGGCTATACTGCACAATTTCCCCACTCCCAGGCAGACAGATTCAGAGCCTAAAGCCTTCCCTTAGAATGACCCAAAATCTGTTCACATGACTTCAATCTCAGGTCTTCCGCCCAATCTATTAGGATACTCATCTGTCTCTGAAAAGGTTTCTCCCAACTCTTTTCTAACACAGACTGATTTTATTAAAAGAAGAATTACTTACAGAGGATTACTTAAATTGAACTAATTATCTGGAGGTCTTAATGGCAAAGGAAAGGGAGGAAAGGGCTTGAGTTTCAGGGTAGGGAAGATGTGAACTCTCAGTCATTGTTGATGGGTGCAAATTTTTTTGGAGAATAATTGGTTAAAATTCACCAAAACCTTTAAGACAATTTAGGAAATTTAGCTCTAGAAATTTATTTAAAGAAATAATTAAGATTGTGTGAAAAAAATCTGTTCAAGGATACTGATCCCAGCATTATTTACAATAAAGAAATATTGGAGACAATTGCTTGTATGTTTGTATATAATGAACTAAAAATTATATAACTATACAAGAAAATAATACACAAGTATTAAATATGTATATTTACTGACAAAAAGTTGTTATATATTGTTAAATTTAAAAGCACGTTATCAAATATACATCTATATAATATATACTGTATATTATTATACATATCTATTCTATGATTTATACGTATGTCCTTAATATGAATTTTTAAAAGTTGGGAATGTTTATCTCTTGGTAAAGGAGACACAAGTAATTTTTCATTCCTATATAGTTTTAAAAATGAACATGTATCACCAGGTACAGTGGCTCATGCCTGTAATCCCAGCACTTCGGGAGGTCAAGAAGGGCAGATCACCTGAGGTCAGGAGTTTGAGACAAGCCTGGCCAACACGGTGAAACCCTGTCTCTATAAAAATACAAAAATTAGTCAAGTGTGGTGGCACGCACCTGTAGTCCCAGCTACTCGGGAGACTGAAGCAGGAGAATTGCTTGAACCTGGGAGGCGGAGGTTGTAATGAGTCGAGATTGTGCCACTGTACTCCAGCCTGGGCGACAAAGTGAGACTCCATCTCAAAAAATAAATAAAATAAATAAAAATAAAAATAAAAAATGAACATGTATCACTTAAAATGTATTTTGAAAATAAAAAGGTAGGTAAAAGAAGGCTATCTATGCCAAGGCAAGAAGAGAGAGACAAACATATAGGAAGGTGAGTCCTACCTGTAGATCTTTACTACTACATTAAGAATAACAGGAAACAATTCCTGGAAAAAACTGGTAAAGGACCCAAACATCTCTAGCATGTATTACAATGAAGAACCAAAGCTGAAAATGCAAAACTAGTTCCTTAAAAGATGTCTTTAAAAATATATTAAGTTACACCTGATTCTTTCTGATTTGGATACATGAAGAGTTAATAAGGGGGTCAAGAAGGCACGGGGCACCAACAAAGGGATGCATGCATGTGAGAAATAACACATTATTTCATAAGACAAAGCTGGGGCTGGGCGTGGTGGCTCACACCTGTAATCCTAGGACTTTGGGAGGCCGAGGCGGGTGGATCACGAGGTCAGGAGCTCAAGACCAGCTTGGCCAACATAGTGAAACCCTGTCTCTATTAAAAATACAAAAATTTGGCCGGGCGTGGTGGCTCACGCCTGTAATCCTAGCACTTTAGGAGGCCAAGGTGGACACATCACCTGAGGTCGGTAGTTCAAGACCAGCCTGGGCAACATGGTGAAACCCCATCTCTACTAAAATAAAAAAGAAATTAGTCGGGCATGGCAGCGTGCGCCTGTAGTCCCATCTACTCAGGAGGCTGTGGCAGAAGAATTGCTTGAACCCGGGAGGCGAAGGTAGTAGTGAGCCGAGATCATGGCACTGCATTCCAGCCTGGGCGACAGAGCAAGACTCTGTCTCAAAAAAAGACAAAGCTGGAAGTCACAATCCTTCTCAGGCAGTCCTAATTATCCTAAATCAGAAAGAAGCAAACAAAACTAGCTAATGCTACTTAAGGCAGGTTATTCTATCTGCCTGAAATCATTCACATTTTATAATTTATAACAGCATTACAGAGCCTAGTTTATAGGACTCAGTTAATTAACAATAAACATAAATATAAAGTTCCAACAAAATGAGGACAAGAGAAGGCACAGCAGGAAGAATATGCAGCAACCAAAAACGGGACCGTTTCTGGTTTTAGTTATTTGTATTGTAAGGTGG